>NC_000008.11:11320901-11625382 GCF_000001405.40 Homo sapiens | reverse complement strand
ACCCTGGGTCCCAGGGGTCACTCTCCAGCCAAGGCTGGCTGCCAGCTCTGGTCATTACTCCTGTGCCCCTCCTCTCTGCCTTCCTCAGCCCTTCCCAGCCCAGCCTTGCTTTGCCCCAGGCCTGCTGGGTGCAGGCATGCAGTCCTGCCTGGCTTCCCTTGCCTCTCTGCAGTTTCTGAAATGAATAATTTAGTGACACCAGGTTCCCCTCCTCCTGCACTGGTTGCTTCTGAGGCTTCTTGGGACAGGTCTGTCCTGTCCCTCTGCCACCTCTGACTCTCTGCTTCCTCCAGAATCTTCCTTAGGCAGGCTCACTTCCCTGGACCCTGGAGATGCTCCAGTGCCTTCCGTCCCCCAGGCTGAAGTGCCTTGTGCCTCCTCTCAACTCAGAGACAGGGAAGCCCAGGAGAAACAGCTCCACCAGCCCTCTTTTGATCCGCTGTTCCTCTGCATGCCCAGTTTTTGTTTTCAGATTGTGTATGCTGATTTGGGTTTGCAATTGATCATCAATGTGCTTGGGATAGCGTACAGCCCCCTCCCCACCATTCTTTGGTGAATAACTAGGATGCAGAGGGGTGAATAGATTTCCCTAAAGTTCCCCAGTGTCTGCCAAGACAGGGAAGGACAGGGAATAGACTGTGGAAGCCAGACCTCCTGAACAACTTGCCCCAGCTTTCTCTCCCCATCTCCTTATTTGCTCCATGGCCCACCCAACCTTGCCTCCCCCATCACACTGCAGACACAGCTCTTACTCAGGCCACTAGTGAGCCACCATCACCTCCACACTCTAACGTTACCACGTGATATAGCAGGTGATGAAAGTGGAAACCAAAAAAAAAGAGGACCAGCAAAAAAAAAAAAAAAAGGAAGAGGTGGTTTGCAACAGACACCTAGCGAGTTAGCAGTAAAGCCAGAACTGGAACCCTGGTCTCTAGGTTCCTTCCCCAAGGATCCTTGCTCTGTAACAAGTTGTCTCCTGGGATGGCAAGGGTGAATCTCCCCAATCACAGAGATCCTCCTGCAATAAAAGCTGCATTAATTTACCAAAATAATATTAACACAGCAGAATAGAGTTGGAGGATTCACACTTCCCAGTTTTAAAACTTACTCCAACCCTGCGGTCTTTACAACACCGCAGCAGTGGTATACGGATAAGCATACAGACCAGTGTAACAGAACTAAACCAGAATAAGCCAGACATAAACCCATACACCCATGGCCAATTGATTTTCAACAAAGCAGAGTCATAAAACACATGTACTGCATAAATGGAAATTATGAACTGGCTGAACCCCAGAGGCCAGTCTAGCTGGCTGAGATTTTCCTCCTAACCACATACATCCCTGCCTCCAAGGGACGTGGTGGCTCATGCCTTTAATCCTAGCACTTTGGGAAGCCGAGGCAGGTGGATCACCTGAAGTTAGGAGTTCAAGACCAGCCTGGCCAACATGGTGAAACACCATCTCTACTTAAAATAGAGATTTCTAGTAGCTTCGCCACTGCTGGGGTCACAGGCTGGGGTGTGGTGGGATGAGAAGGAGGCTGTCCCAAGACACTGATCCTCTGGGATTGCAGACAAAGTGCCTGTTGGCTGGCAGAGGACAGTTAGGAGGATAGGGCTGAAAGGCTGCAGCATTTTGTTAGGAGGACCTGAGAACAAAGCCTGGGCCCAAACTGGACATGAGGAGCTTCACCACCCAGGTCCCTCGTGGGGCTCAGGCATTGGTAGTATTCATAGAGATGTCTGTGATGATGGAGGCAGGAAGTAGGTGGCATTGGATGGACCAGACAGGTGGATTATGAAAGGAAGAATCAGGGCCCTGACGTGGGCCAGGTGCGAATGGAAGGATGGGAGGTTGGACTTGAGAACAAACAGCATCATGGATGCCTGGAAGAACCTTGGAAAGTCATGTCCATGCATCCAGCCAGCTTGGGTAGACAGGGCTGGTGCCTCACCCTAAACCACCAGCCAAGTAATCACCAAGTTCACTGGATTATTCTTCTGCACTGGGTCCGAAGGTTGACCCCTCTGATCCCTCCCTCCCGTGTCCTTTAAAACTGTGTTTTTAGGGCCCATTACATCCTACTATAGACATCTGGGTTCATGTCTAAATTTCCTGCTGAGTCTAAGCCCCTTTTGGCCGGGATGAGTCTGACTCATCATTGTTTTCTGCCACTAAGCCTGGTACAGTGCCTTATTCTGAGAAGGAGCTCGTGAGTTGTCCATTGCATGCATGACCATAGGACACATGTTTTGTCTGCCAACAAGCTTTCACTGGGGGAAACACAGTCCAACCTCATGCAGTTCCCATGGAGGCACTAAGCACAAAAGCCTCAGGGATGACATCCAACCTAGACTGGTCCAATTCCAGTTGTTTATACCCCCAACCCCAATTCATAGTGATTGGTTCAGATGTGGGCAGGTGACCCGAGCAGAGCCAATCAGAATCCTCCCACAAGATTTGGCTCATGGAGTCTGGAAGAGCCTGCCTTCCTTTTGGATCTTGAGCTGTGAAGACATGGCCGAGAGGCTCCCATGGTCCTATTTCTTATTATGTTTGTGAGCCTTTTATGAGAGTCAAGATAGCCACATAAGGTAAGCAAGGGCTGGGTCTGGAGAAAGAAGCAAACAGTTGATGATGTTGTGGGACATTTCAGCCTTGCCCAGAGTCCTTATAGCCCAGACTGCTCAGTTTTAGGACCAGGGATTTTTCTCTTTTCCCACTCAGGTTGGCTTGAATTGGGTTTTTGATCCTCATACCCAAGAGTCTTGGGTCATCAGTGAGAGCACCCTACTTTGAACCCCACCTGGTGGTAGAGGAAATATGGCAAATCTTGGGGAGAACTTGGTGTGATGCAGCCCTTGTGGTCTGCCATAATCTCAGGTTAATTCAAAAACAGGGCACCTGGGGGAAGCCAAGAAATGCTTAGGAGCTTGGAGTCAACGATAAGCAAAATGGCTGGAGAAGAGTGATGAAATTAGCCTCAGCTGTTGGCAGTGAGGGGGTGGCAGGGTAGAGATGGGGAGCATAGGAGGGCTGAAAGGGGCAGGGAGACAGCCTTGACATGCGTGGAAAGTCTAAAAAGACAAAAATTAGCTGGGTGTGTTGGTGAGCACCTGTAATCCCAGCTACTCAGGAGGCTGAGGTATGAGAATCACTTGAACCTGGGAGGTGGAGTTTGTAGCGAGCCAAGATCATGCCACTGCACTCTAGCCTGGGTGACAGAATGATAATCCATGTCAAAAAAAAAAGAAGAAGAAGAAGAAGTGAGGAGAGGCTACTATAACCACAGTGTGTGGTCATTATTAGATATTAGATTAGATATGAATTATTAGATGCATCTGGCATGCAGAAGATATTTAGGAAACCATAGCTATTGCTACTACCCTTAATTTCTGGATTACACAGAGAAGGGATGCTAATTCCCACTCCTTCCCATGCCAATAATTTTGTCTCCTGTTCTGACTGAGAAGGTTGAGGTGTCTGGAATGAGGATTAGCAGATGGTCCCATAAAGAGGGAGTCCTCTGTTTATGGGAGAGTCCCTCCAGTTCTGCATATGTTTGCTGAACATGCATTGATTGTGTGGCACCCCACCTCGCTGCTGATACATTATTTTAAAATCAAACTCTTTGTTTTGGTATTTAGAAGCATATCTTTGATTCTCCGTAAACAGTTATGTAACCACTTTTTTCATAGTAAACCATACATAGTTAAGGGCTACATATTTTCAGTCTAATTAAATAAATTCAATAGATATTTACTAAGTGCCAACTCTGTGCCAAGGCTGGACCAGGCCCTGCAGCTGGAGATGGAAGATGGTGTTTCCTTGAGAAGATTACCATAAAGAAGAGAGACGAGAGTCATCACTACAGCACAGGTGTGTTAAAGGGAGAATAGATAGTTTTCGAGTGTTGTGGAAGCATAGGAAGGAGGAATTAATTCCTCTTGGGGAAACGGAGGAGGAATAGCAGCAAGGCGGATCTGACATGTAAGGGTGTGAACGCCCCCAAGGAGCAGGGGCATTCTAGACACTGTGGGTAAACTTGCTGATGGCCTCCTGTGGCTTCCGCTTGGGCTTGGTGGGGAGGAGAGGAGAAAGTAAGGCTGGAGAGGCAGGTGGGCTGGGAATGCTGAGGCTGGAGCTTGACAGTAAGAAGCCCTGAAGTGTTTTCATCAGGATTTGAGGTGATGGAGTGGCATTCCGGAAAGATCCCTTAGGCAACAGTGGGAAGAATGAAGCAGAGAGAGGCAAATTGGGGCTGAAAGAGTAGCAGGGGCTGTTGAAATAGCCCAGAGGAGCTGCAGTGATGGTCTGAGCCAGGGCAGCAGCAGTGGGGATTTCTCGGGGGCTTTGGACGGAAAATTGACAGGAGGTGGCTGGAGGTCAGACGTGAGGCTCCAGGGCGGTGAGGATGGCTCCCAGGCTTTCCGCTCCAGTGACTTGGGGAACACAGTTGGAATATTGTGAGCGTTTCATTGACTTCACCAGAGGTGTGTGAGCCCTCTGTCTTCTCCTGAGCCTCAAGAAGTCTGGGAGAGGATGAAATAGGGGAGGGAGGGCATGGGAACCAGGCAGGGTAGGAAAAGCCAGGCTGCCTATTGTGGTCAGACCTCACCACTCCCCGATTTCCTGGCAGACACGGAGAACAGGGATACCGGGCTGGGCACAGGAGTGGGGCCTCGACAAGCAAGAGAAGCCCCCTCCAGAAGCAGCCCCGGGAGCCGTCCTCTGGGGAAGCAGATGGTCCAGGAAGCAAGAGGAGGGAACAGGGCCTCATACACAGGTGTCAGAGGATCCTAAGAACATTCTGGACTGGCAGCTTTCTCTGTGGGTTTTCATGGGCTCAGCGGCTGCCTGGGTGGGACGCTGATCCTGGCTCACTTTCAGGCATCGAGGAGACTGACAATCTCCTCGTCTTATCCACGTTCTCCCTCCAAATTCATTAAGTTAAATACACACACACACACACACACACACACACACACACACTAAGACAGTTTCAAATGTGCTAAGCTAGGCAATAGATTTATATATTATAAAGAGATTCTATTCTCTAAGAACTAAAAACAATACTATAAATGCTCCAATTACAACTTACTTTTAAACTTAATGTTTGATGATATCCTTTTGTACTTGTCCTCTCATCGTGCTGGTCTCTGATTTTGTGCCTTTCCTCTGATTTTCCTTCACAGGTGAACACAATCGACCAGCCAAGGTGATTCACACACTTCAGCTTGAAGCTGATCTGCCACTTGTGTCTTCTTGTCTCTATTGAATTAAGTTCCTGAGACCTAATCCTTCCCATCACTAGTATCGGTGCTTTTATTTTTGTTTTCTACTTAGTTGGATAACATAGTGAAGGAAAATGTGCTAATATAATAGAAATAATTGCATTAATAAGCCTGGTAAACAGGCAGAGACAGTGGGAGCCATGGCCAGAGGCAAGCTGCTGGCAGCCAGGCAGTACCACCATACAAAAGCTCACAAATTTCTTTCAAGAAATGCCATACGGCTGGGCATGGTGGCTCATGCCTGTAATCCCAACGCTTCGGGAGGCCTAGATGGGTAGATCACTTGAGGTCAGGAGTTCAAGACCAGCCTGGGCAATATGGTGAAACCCCCCGTCTCTACTAAAAATACAAAAATTAGTCAGGCATGGTGGTGCATGCCTGTAATCCCAGCTACTCAGGAGGCTGAGGCAGAAGAATCGCTTGAACCTAAGAGGCAGAAGTTGCAGTGAGCCGAGATCATGCCACTGCACTCCAGCCTGGGTGACAGAGTGAGAGTCCATCTCAAAAAAAAAAAAAAAAAAGAGAGAGTTCATAATGTCTGCGTGTGAAGGTGTAGGCTATATGACAGCTAAATATATAACAGTGAGGACCATCTGGCTTCAATTTACAGATTTATTTATGTAAAAACTCTCTTCTATTTCTTCACCTTAAAGAAACATGAATAAAATATCCAACGCTCTCACTGGTGCAATTCCTGAGAGATTCCTTTGTCGTATTGGGATCTGTCAATGGGTAGATAAGGAGAAACAAAGGAAGGGATAGAAGTGACACAGAGAGAGAGAGAGAAGGTAAAAAATAAAGGGAGAAGCAGAAAAAATCTTTTTAAAAACCTATAATTAATATACTTTGAATGCTAAGGTATTGCCTTAATGAAATGAGACCAGGAAATTGTGAAAAAACAATAACCAGAGAACAAAAAGGAGCTCTTGGAAATAAAAATAAAGCAGAAAAAAAGGATTTTACAGGGAAAATGGATAAAGGATGAGACATTTAGAATAACGATTTAAGATGTCTAATATCCAATTAATAGAATTTCTAGCAGTGGAATAAAGAAGAGATGGGGAAGGGCAGAAATTAGCTAAGAAATAAATGGATTTTTTCTAGAATTGAGGGAGATGAGTTTCCAGATTGACAGAACCTATTGATTGTCCAGGACAGTGAATGGGAAAGACACACAGTAAGTAATATTGACGCAAAATTTTCCAACAAGAGGGATAGAGAGAAGTTTCTTAGAGCTCCCCATGAAAAAATAAGACAGGTCCCATACAAAGCTTCAGGAATCGGATGGTGTCAGATTTCCCAATTACACAAGGTAAGCTGGAAGACAACGGAGCAGTCCTTTTAAAACACTAAGAAAAAATAATTTCCAACCCAGAATTCAGTACCTTACCAAATAAAAAATGTACCCTTTCTCAGGAAGGCACTGAAGAAGGTGTTCCAGCAAGACAAAGGAGTAAATGTAAAAAGTAGAGGCCACAAGCTCTAGGAAACAGGCTTACAGAAAGTTTTAGTCCCAGAATAATCACTGATTACTATTTTACTTAAATATCATCATGATAATGGAAGGATGAGGGAGAAACTGTAAAGGGGAGTGCAGTGTAACATTTTTAAGTTCTCTTTTGCCATTTGAAGAAGCCATGAGACGATGCCTAAAATTGGTAAGTGATGACATAGCCACATAAGCAAATTATTCAGAAATATACAGGCAAATACCAGAAGCAGCAGCTGGGAATTGATGCTGGTTTGGTTGCCTCTGGTGAGCAGGACTGGGCAGAGAAGGGGCTGGGAGGACAATTGGGAGGTGGTAGGCAGGAAACCAGTTTCTAGTTGTTGCTGTTACATATTCTTTTAATATGAATTGATTTAAAGTACAAAAACTATGCGCACATATTACTTTGATAAAAAATTTTTAAAGAAATTTCTGTGAAAATCAATGAACCAAGTACACCTGTGAGCCATTACTAATATGGTCACCCAAGCATCATCCAAGTGGCGTGGACAGAGTGGGGGGTCATATGTAATTTCTGCCTATCCCGACACCACCCTCCCCCTACACCTTCCTTCCCAACTCCCCACTCCCACCTCTGCACGATGCCCATCCCACCCACTCTCGGGCTGCACCCGGAGGCTCAGCACCCCCTCAGTGCTGGATCTGGCAGGACCACCCCTCCCCCGCCCTGCCTGTGGCTGCTGGAATCCCTGTCGCCCTGGGACTCAGCTGACAGCGGACGGACAATGGTATTTCCCATCAGCCTGGATATCAGGAGCCGGCCTTATCCAGTGGTGTTTTTCTATTAGTCTAACACCCCATTGTCCACTCCTTATCACTAAAATGTTGATGTCATGCCTGGCTTGGAAGTGGTTTCTGCTGCTCGGCCCTGGGACAGCTTCACTTTAATTGGGGGTGTGGGAGGAAGAGGGGTGGAGAAGCCCATTTATCAGAATTCTCATGAGAATTCACCCCGTTCCTCCTTTCAGTCAGGGCCACGGAGGAGGCTTGGTGGGGAGGGTTCCTAGTTGCGATTCCTGGCCTTTCTCTCTTCCCTAAGTAGGTGCACTGGGTCTCAGCCCCACTGGCCACCCTCAGGGCTGAAATATCGAGGTGGGTGCAAGGATGGGGGGACACTTTCATCCCACCATGCTTTGGGCTGGGGATTTCGGGGACCTGCTTTATCCTTTTGGTAGATGGAGAGCTCTGGGTGGGTGGGACACGACTTTTCCTTCTCTGAATCTTCTGCAGCTCCTGACGGCCCCACCAGAGACCGCTCTTAGTAGGAGCTCCATAGATATGTGAGGGGCTAATGCGAATGGCAGCCAGCTGGAAGGTCCAGTCTGAGAACAGATAGAAAATGTGAGGCCCGTCTTCATCTCCATTCTCCTGAACCCCACCGAATTGCATCAGCTCTTAAGGGAAGTCTTAGAAATACACTCTGTGCCTTCCCCATGTGCCCTGTCCTTCTGTCCCTCTCTGATTCTGTTTGTTCATAGTGGAGGTTAGCGCACAGGGAGACAGCATGTATGTCTGATGCACATGCATGTGCGAATGTGTGTGTGTGTTAGAGGTGCAGGTGGTGTACAGCCCCCCAGGGAATCTGGTTAAGAGAGGATGCAGTTCACTCTGGAGTGGGGTAGGCTCGGCTGTGGTTTGCTCAGGCAAATTGCTTCACTTTTCCAAGACCCAGCTTCCTTGTCTGTTAAACAGGTACCACAAGGCAGCTTCCCAGGGGCTTGCAGTGAAGGCTGAAATGAAACGATTGAGGTGCTTAGCATGCTGCCTGGCACATAGTAGGCATGCAGGAAATGGCAGTTATTACTGGTATAGCTTTCTGTGGGCTTTGACCAAAAGCCTAGTCTGGGAACTGGCAAGCACAGCAGAGTGCCATGCTCCTGGCACTCTTCCTTGGAGAGCTGGGACAGGGAGGCTGAGTTCCCCTCTGGCTGGGCCAGCCTGTGTGGAAAAAGCAAGCTTGCTGGGCCTCAAGTTCTTGCCTCAAGTTTAAAAAGCAAATAAGTGCATACCATAAGCATTTGGAGGCTGCGGTTTTCTATGGAGTCAGCATGTATAGACCATGAGTGTATTCTGGAGTGCTCCTGATGGAATGCAATTTGGGACACAGATGGCAAGCGCACAGACGGCAAATGCATCTTGAAGGTGCATGTTGCCTGTGCAAAGTGGCCACCCCACGGTAATCTAATTTAACACACACACAAACTCCGCGAGCAGGTTCTGTTCTCTGCAAGAGGGTGAGAGGCTCAAGACCAGTTCTACGACACATAGAATGTGGCCGTGCTCTCGAGCCAACCAGCTCCAGCCCCCTGCCCCATGTCTTACAGAGGAGCTGCTTACACTGCTGTGGAAGCCGACCCTAGAGTAACGACCAGCACAGCCCCTGAGGGTCAGGGGCCACATGGGAATACATCTCATTTGGTTCTCACCAGACCCTGCGAAACACGTCAGGGAGGAATCATTATGTCTGAGCAGAGGAAGCTATAGGGGCTCACAGAGAGCTAGAATGCAAGCCTAGGCCTTCTGAGTCCAAATCCAGGACTTTTCCATGACTTCAAGTGACAGCAGATAAAGCACTTGACTTTGTCTCTGAAACACACATTCCTGGGAAGAAAAGAGGCCTAAAAAGGAGAGCAGGGTCTGTCTGCTTTGTCACCGTGTTTACTGTGTGATCTTCATTCCTCAGGGTCTTGCCAGGTTCTCGTGAGCACTACAGTCCTTGGGGATCTTGGCCCAGAGCCCAGGACTAAGGTGGCCAGAAGTCCAGGATAGGGGTATACTACCTTGCCCTGGTTCCAGATAGCATGAGACCCGTCTTCTCCTTCCTGATAGGACGCTTCTGGAAATTCCAAAGGTTAAAATCGGGAAACAAGAAGGAGGCAGGAATACTATGTGTGGCCTGGATAGGAAGATATAGTGCTTTTCAGGGGGCAGCTTTAAGCCATGTAAATTCTCTTACCCTAAGGGACTTGAAGGGTTTCCAAAGGTCTGTGGATGGGGTAAAATCCCACCAATGAGCCTTCCATCTGTCCTAACTTAAGGTGCAAATATTTCTGGCAGGCCAACACACAAATTCATGAACACTTCAGCATGAATGAGCAACTCACACGCACTCTTCTGAGAGTGCCGGGTGCAGACCAAAGATGCTGAGGGGAGAACACACAAGGCCCAAGAGGAAGTGGGTATAGAAACAGAAAACAGTTCTTGACAGTTTTCCAGATCTGTCACTTTTTTTTTTTTTGAAGGGTGGAATTTTCTCTCCTGTCAAGTTTATGCCTAGAACACGCGTTCCATCGGTTGGATCCCTGGGTTTAAGGCGGCATTTCCAGGGTGCCTCTTTGCTTAACTAAGCACTTACACTCCTTAAGCTTCAGTGATCTCAGTGTCTGATGTCCAGGGTGTTGGAGGGTCTGGCTGGGTTTCCTGGAAAATTCTTACATACACTGAAGTGCCCTCTCCCTTCCCAGAACAAACAACTTTGCATTATCAGAGCCCCTTGGCTTTACAAAACCCACGTTAGCATACAATGCCCAGCTCCTCTTTTTAATTGTTCCCTTTCTCGTTTCTCCCTCCCTTCTATCCTGTCTTTCACATTTCTATCCTTTCTCCGTTGGGATTTGCAATTTTGTTTGTGAAATAATGACTCACTCCAGTAATCAATGACCTGGACCTAGAGGTCACTGATGTATTCTTCCTTGACTATTCACCTAAATCAGCACCTCCTTCTCAGTTTGTATCTTTCACCAAACCCTTACTAGCATTTGCTATGCTGTGTGATGATTTGTTCATTTCTTGTATCTACCCCCAGATCTAAGCCCCATGGGCAGGGACTGTCACTCTTGTTCCCACCGTATTTCGTGTCTTGGCGTGGTGGCCAGCACACAGATGTGTTTAGCAAACACAGGGTGAATGAATAAATACGAGGATAAAGACCAGTGTGCTCTGCACAGACTAGTGATTGCAGGGAAGATGGACTGCCCTGAGTTTTCCAGGCAGACTTTGACGATGAGAAGTGACAGCGTTTGAATCCAAGTGAGGAGGCCACCCTGGACTCACATCTCAGCTTCGGAGATCGGGAGCCAGAGAGATGTTGGAGACTTTTAAGAGAAGAGCAGGAGCGGAGGGCTCAGGAAGAAAAACCACCTGGGGGGGCCGGACACGGGGAAGGGGAGGGGAGTCGCTCCCGGGTTCTTCCCTGGCTTCATTCGCTGCTTCTGTCTCTGCAGCCCCAGTTAGCGCCTGCCAGGCTCTGTGAGGGAGCGGTGCATGAGCGTGCCATCCTCCTCGGTGACCAGGTTAGAACCCAGGCATGCCGTGTCTGGGCCCTGGGCAGGTAGGCAACACCAGGCAACGTCTCAGGAGGGAAGGTGGTGAGCGGAACGGCATGCAGCCAGCCGGAGAACCTCACAATGAACCACTCTTCACGCTGGAGCCGTGGGCTTCCCAATTCTCCTCCCATAGCAGAGCCGAAGGAGGCCCTGGTCCCCAGGAGGCGGCTGCCCAAGCCTGAGGCTGCCGCCTCAGTCAAAGGGGCTGGAGCTGAGACCCCCAGGCTGTCCTGGGGTGTCAGTGAGGAGCCCAGCCTCCGCCTGAAGCCGCTTTCAGGGAAGGGAAGGAAACAGTCACTTGGTGGAGCTCCTGGTGCCCCAGCCATTCACCCTGCAGCACCTCTGTTCACACCACAAACACCCACGGAGGAAGCCGAGTTCTTTCAACCCACCCGCCATAGCCCCGTTTTTCCGCGGAGGAAGGGACACTGGAGCTGGTTGGGAACTTGCTGGAGAAAGTGGGACGTGCCAGGCTGCTTTCAGGCCCAGCCTCCCAGCCTGGTTCCAGACACGAGGCCCTGGCCCGGACCCTGGGCGGCTGCTCCGGGCCCGCGGTTCTCCCCTCGCCTAGCACTTCCTCTGCGCTTCCTCAGCGTCTTCCTCGTCCCTCCGGCTCCCCTCCCTGGCTCCGGGGGTCTGCCGCTGCAGCCGGCCTCCCCTCTATCTTGTCTCCCCGTTTCCACGGCTATCAGTCATTATCTGGTGCGATCCACCCTGGCCGGGGCACAGGAAGCCGGCCTGCGACGCTCCTCTTTATTCTCCATTCTTTTCCTTCTCCAGAGACAAAAGCAAAAACAGCCTGTTAACAGATCCGCCATTTCCCTTGGCTCCTTGACTCCCATTTCCCACTCTCATTTTTTTTCACAGGCTCCAGTGTTCCATGGTCAGGTCCTCTGGAGCCGCTGCCGCCCGGGCCTGAGGGCCCAGGCCTGTGACTTCCTCCTGGCCTGTCTGTCTGCCCGGGAGCCGGCACCGGCACCCACAGGCCCAAGGCTGTCTCCCTGGCCAAGCCGAAGCCGCCGGCTCCCTCTTATCCTCTGCGAGATCAGCCCAGCCAGTTGGAAGGGGCCGGCCAGCCGTCTGGCTGTCTGAGCCGGGACCGGTTGGCGGGTGCTCTGGCCTTCCTCATTAGCGGGGTCTCCACTGCCCTTCCTCTCGCAGGCTAGGCTGTGGCTCCTATTATAGCTACTGGAGGGTTTTTTAGTCAAAGAGCACCATGCATCCATTTATTATTTTACCATTCACTCAGACGTTCCCTGAGCACTTCCTATGCTGCTGCTGGAGCCCAGGGATCAGCCAACTATGACCTCTGGCCCCAAACGGCAGATCCTCTGTGGAGAGTGAGGAGGTTGCTGGGCTGAATCAAAGTGCTCTCACGCACGGTGGAAGTTGCTACGTGCAAAGAGATGCGGGCAACCAAGTGCTCTGAGGTGCAGAGGAGGCAGAGGCCATGCCAACAAGGAGAGCTTACGGCTCTCAGCCCTTCTCCGTGCCAGGCGCTGGGCTGAGCACTTCACATTGCTGTCTCATTGAATCCTGGAGGTAATCCATGGGGTAGGTACGATGATCATTAGCCCCTATTTCCAGATGAAGAGACTGAAGCTTAGAGTTAAGTGATCCACAGTGAGTACAATGCCTGGATTCATAGCCAGAGGCCCATGTGCTTTGAAGCCCCAGTTCATCATGTTGCCCTCCTACCATCTCTACCCACTCCCCCAGCCCCTTGGGGCTGCAGAGCACGCTGGACAGAGCTGGGGAGGGGGGTGGTGGGCGGGTCTCTGGCTCAAGCTACTTCGTCATATTGCATCTCAGTTTTCCTGTCTCCTAAGCTTGTTGTGGGTTTTAAAGGAACAAAGCCTCTAGTGTGCTCAGCACAGTGACTGGCACAGAATACATGCTCCATAAACGTTAGCCATGTTTATTTTTGTAGTGATTGTCACTACTACAGGAAGGTTATCGGGGAGGTGCTTTGCAGAAGAGTGGCGTAGGAGGCTGATGCACCTCTTGCGTCAATTTTCGCTTTCCTCGTGCATGCACCCTCTCGGGCTGAAGCCGTGCACATCCCAGAGTGTCCTCTGCCATTTCTGTCTCAGGGTCAGCCCGAGTTCTCCCCAGTGCTCACAATCTGTTCATTTCAAGATCATCTGGGCCCTTGAGAAGTCTGAGTCCCTTCTTTTGTGAATCCAGCTTTATTTTTTAAAATTAAAATTGTAATAAAATATACAGAACCTAGCTACAAGTTACCATTGTAACTATTTTTTAAGGATTCAGTTGAGTGGCATTAAGAATATCTACACTGTTATGCAACCATCACCACCATCCATCTCCAGAATTTTTTGCAATATCCTCGACTAAAACTCTACTTCCATAAAACACGGAGTCCCATTTCTCCTCCCCCGCAGCCCCTGGCAACCCCCATTCTACTTCGCATCTCTATGTATTTGACTCCTCTGGGTGCCCCCATATAAACAGAATCATACAATGTTTGTCTCTCTGTGACTGGCTTATTTCACTTAGCATGATGTCCTCAAGGTTCACCCATGTGTCAGAATTTCCTTGTTTTTGAGGCTGAATAATAATCCATTTGATGGATGGACCACATTTTATTTATCCATTCATCTGTCGATGGCCACCTGGGTTGCTTACACATTTTGGCTATTGAGAATAATGCATATATATATATACATACCCAAATGTACCCAATATATCTACTTCAACGTCCACAACTATAATTGGTGGATCAAATGGCAATAATATGTTTAATTTTTTTAATTTTTCTTTTTCCATTGGTACATAATATTTGTACATATTTATGGGGTACATGTGATATTTTGTTACATGCATAGAAGGTGAAACGATCAAGTCAGGGTATTTAGGATATCCATCACCTTCAGTATTTATCATTTCTATGTGTTAGGAACATTTCAAGTCCTCTCTTTTAGCTGTTTTGGAATATACAATACATTGCTTTAACTATAGTTATGCTACTCTGCTATCAACATTAGATCTTCTTTCTTGTATCTAACTGAATGTTTGTACCCATTAACCAGCCTCTCTTTATCACTCCCTTCCAACACACCCTTCCCAGCCTCTCTACATCCATGAGGTCAACATTTTTATCTCCCATGTATGAGTGAGATCCTGCAATATTTGTCTTTCTCTGCCTGGCTTATCTCACTTAATATAGTGACCCCCAGCTCCATTCATGTTGCTGCAAATGACAGGATTTCATTCTTTTAATGATCATGTAATATTCATATATATTTATGTATATATATAACATTTTCTTCATCCATTCATCTGTTGGTGGACACTTAGGTTGACTCCATATGTTTGCTATTCTGACGAGTGCTACAATAAACAGAGGAGTGCAGGTCTTTTATACTAGTGCTAATTTCCTTTCATTTGAATAAAAACCCAGTAGAGGCACTGCTGTATCATATGGTAGTTCTATTTTTAGTTTTTTGAAAACTCTCCATACCATTTTCCACAGGGGCTGTACTAATTTACATTCCCACCAACAGTGTATAAGAGTTCCTTTTCTCCACGTCTTCTCCAGCATCTGCTTTTTTTGTCTTTTTAGTAATAGCCATTCTAACTGAGATGATATTTCATTGTGGTTTTGATTGGCATTTCCCTGATGATTAGTGATGTTGAGTATTTTTTCACATACCTGTTTACCATTTGTTTGTCTTCTTTCGAGAAATGCCTATTCAAATCCTTCGGTCATTTTTAGTGGGATGATTTGATTTTTTTACCGTTGAGTTGTTTAAGTTCCTTATATATTTTGGATATTAGTCCCTTACTGAATGAAGAGTTTGCAAATATTTTCTCCTATTCAACAAGTTTTCTCTTTACTCTGTTGATTGTTTCCTTTGCTGTGCGGAAGCTTTTTAGTTTAATATAGTCTCATTTGTCTACTTTGGTCTTTGTTGCCTATGCTTTTGAGGTCTTAGTCAGAAAATCTTTGCTTAGACCAATATCCTGAAGTGTTTCCCCTATGCTTTTTTTCTACTTTTATAGTTTTGGGTCTTACTTTTAAATCTTTAATTCATCTTCAGTTGCTTTAAGATATAGGGCTCCAGTTTCATTCTTCCATGTGTGGATGTCCCGTTTTCCCAGTATCATTTATTGGAGAGAGGGTCCTTTCCCCAACATATGTTCTTGGTGCTTTAGTCAAAAATCAGTCGGCTATAAATAAGTGGATTTATTTCTGGGTTCTGTATTATATTCCATTGGTCTATGTGTTTGTTTTTACATCAATACCATGCTGTTTTGATTACTATATCCTTGTAATGTATTTTGAGGTCAGATGGTGTGATGCCTCTAGCTTTGTTCTTTTTCCTTAGGACTGCCTTGGTTATTTCCACTCTTTTTTGGTGCCATATGAATTTTAGGATATCTTTTCCATTACTGTGAAAAATGATGTTGGTATTTTGATAGGAATTGCACTGAATCTGTAGATTGCTTTGGGTAGTTTGGTAATTGTAACAATCTTAATTCTTCTGATCCATGAGCATGGGATGTCTTTCCATTTGCTTGTGTCCTCTTTGATTTCTTTCACCAGTGTTTTGTAGTTTTCCTTGTAGAGGCCTTTCACTTCTGTGGTTAAGTTTATTCCTAGCCTTTTCTTTTTGGTAGCTATTGTAAACGGAATTGCCTTCTTGATTTCTTTTTCAGATTGTTTGCTGTTGGCATATAAAAATGCTACTGATTTTTGTGTGTTGATTTTATATCCTGCAATTTTACTGAATTTATTTATCACCTCTAACAGGTTTTTCGTAGAGTCTTTAAGTTTTTCTAGTTATAAGATCTGTGTTTAATTTTTTGATGAACTATTTCATAGCAGTTTTTTGTTTCACAGTAGTTGTATCATTTCACAGTCCTACCAACAGTGCACAAGGTTCCAGTTTCTCCACATCCTTGTCGACACTTGTTATTTTCTGTTTTCCTTGATAACAACTATCCAAATGTGTGTGAAATGGGATCCAGCTGCACTTTAATATTGCTACTGATGAAAGTCTCACAGCCTCCGAAAACCATTTATTCTTTATGGGGCACAAATCTGATTGTTAGAAAGTTCTTATACTGAGTTGAAATCCCCGTGTATCCTTTATTTACAATCCTGGCCTGGCCCTGGGAATCAGCCCATCTAAGTCTGTTTCCTCTTCCTCGGGATGTCCCTTCAGCAGACTGGAGCATCCACTGCCCACGCAGTCAGTGTACAGACCCTGCTTGCTGGTCCCCCTGAGTGCCTGCTGGCCCCACCCCCACCCTGCAAGACACTGGCCATGGGGTCTGGCACATCCATGCTGACTGCCTGCAAGGCAGCTCCTGCCACTGAGTGGGCACAGACACCAACAAGACAGGGGGGTACCACTCCTTTTCTCAGAGAGGGTGAGTTATTGGAGGGAAACTCTGGCTCTCTGAGGAGTTAAATCATCCCTTGACTCAGACAAGAGCCCTTTGCTCCATGGTAGAGCATTACTCATCCCGGCACCCCCGGGACCAGGCTCTGTGTCAGGGGAAAGCATGGCTCCCATTATTCTCGCTCAGAAACTCATAAATCATCCTTATTAGAATTTCAGCTCTTCAAATAGACGTGAAACAGCTGGCCAAAGCTGGGTCTCTGGAGTGCTTCTGGGGAGCAGGAGCGGATGCCTCAGGGGATCAGGGGAGCTGGCTTTTAATCCTCAGATGCCAGGACAACTCTCCCAATGTTGGTCCACTTGAGGCAGAAGGACTGAAGGTCCAGTGTCCCCAGGACTCAAATGACCATGGAAGGGGAACTAGGAGAGTGCAAATGTGGCTGTGGCTGCCATGCTCTCTTTATGGTGGCTGCCTTGCCTCTGGATCAGCACTTGGCCACAGCTTGAGCTCAATATTTCATTAAGCAATGTTGTTGCAAACCTCTGCCCTGAAGTCATGTGGTTCTCTCCCTGTTCCTCACCTTCTTCATCTGTAAAAGGAAAGAATTAGACTGGACAGTCACTAGAGCTGCTTCCAGCTCTACTATTCCATGACTTCCACTCTTGCAGAAGTGCAAAACTCCACGTGGATTGGCCACAGTTGAAATTCCAGCTGGTGCTGAGGTTCATTTGGCCATTTTAATTGGAGCAGTAGGGACCAATATTGACCACACCGGAATTTTTATAAACAGTAAAGATAGCACCAGATTTATAAACAATTTAAGCAATCAACCTGATATGTTTTATTATAGAGGCACAGCCAGATTCACGGACAGATAAGAGCCTTTCTCTGACAGTGCGAGGGCACATGCTTAGTGTCTGGGTAGGAGGATGCTGAATTTCTGACGGGAGATGGAGCTAGCCATCATGCTGACACCATTGCAGGGAGGTTGAAAACAATGCTGCCCCCAGCGTGTCTTATCCATGTGCAGGGTGGCTTAGCTGGTTTGGTTATGGATGAATATTTAAGACCCCCAGATTACGGTCTTACAGCTGCAGATTGACCTTACCACAAATTCTGGTTTGCTGGTCCCTAAGTGGGAGCTGTAGGCCCCCTAATTTCCTAAGGGACGATAATAGCACAAATCCACTTCAAACACTTGATCAATAGCGTCTACCAATGGGCCTGGGAATGTGAGATGATAGAAGGGAAAACTACAAAATTAGGAGCCAGAACGCTTGCATGCTCATTCTATCAGTATCCCTCACCAGCTAGGTGACTGGCAAACACAATGATAGACATGCTGTCCTTCTCTGCCCAGCACCTGCCATGAGGTCCTGGATCACTCATCACATCCCAAGCTTGGCCAGCCATTGGTGTAACAGCCACTGTCTCAGGGGGTGGAGTCAATGATTAGCCAACAGGACCATTAGTGCCCTTCCCTGGGATGAATGATATAGGTTCATTCATTGAACCTCATTCATTCAACCTCACTGTTGGCAGTGGGAAGTTCCTACTGGGGTAGCAAAACTGACAATAGGAGTCTAGAGCTGTCATTAATTTCTTTCTCCTCTGTATGGAGAAAGCTTGCCAGCCATAGAAGGCAATAAGGTCAACAGCCAAAGGGAGTGAGAGCCAGGAGATGATGAGACAGAACAAGCTCTGGAAACCTCCTTTGAGTCCCAGTATCACCCAAGGTCCCAAATATTTCACTGTTACTTATCCTGGTCTGAGTTGGGGTGTGTCCCTTGAAACTAAAGGAGATGTGATGCAAAAGCCCACTTTGCTACTAAGGCCTCGTAAAAATATAGGCAGTGATATAGGTGAGTGCTGAGCTCTTCCAGCTCTGGGATTCGATGTTACCTATGAGAAGTGAGAAGTCATTGTTTAGCTCACTTAAAACACTTCCAATGAAACCCAAAAGCCAGGCTTTTTATTCCCTTTAAAATCTTGATATTGAGTTCGATGGGAGGAAGGGTTGGGAGTTCACAGTCGTTGAGTGCTTGCTATGTGTGAGGAGCTGTAGACATGTTTTCTCATTTACTATTCACCATGGCTCTTTGAGGTAGGTGTCAGCTCTCCATTTGGCAGATGAGAAAACTGAGGCTCCGTGAGGTTTTGCAACTTGCCTAAGGCCCTAGAGTTAGTGAGCACCGGAGAGTTTTTGAATCCAGATCTGTCTGATTCCAGCACACTGTCTCCTCTTCCTTATAGGGGATCAGGTTTTTAGCCACAAACGATCCACTCAGCATTGTTATGTTGGTAAGAGGTGGGTCTGCTGAGGAGTGCTCTGGGCTGATTCTTCTAAGTAGCTTATGCTGTTTGACTAATCCTTACAATCATTGTGCAAGATGTTATCCGCACTTCACAAGTGGCAAGAGCAGAGGCTTAAAGAACCAAAATAACGTGCTCCGCTATGAAATGGTTTCAAAGTCCATGCACACTCTGACACCCCTTGGTGTGCTGGCAGGGCCTGAAGATGCCTGGGATTCTTGATCAGCCCAAGATTCCCCCACCCAAGCCATAGCCATGTCCAACCTCTGGAGGTGAGCCCCGAAAGCCTGGCCTGGGGTGGCGTTTGCACCGCTGGAGCTAGGAGACCTGGAAGACAGCTATAGCCCCACCTTTGGCCACTGCTCTTTCATGCCTCATGACGTTGACAATGGTCAGTCATGTAAGCATAACACCTTAAAAATGCCAAGAAAGGCAGTACTTTGGGAAATATGTCCGGAGAGTCGTAGCATTTCTGTCCCTCATGGCCGAAGGGTTAGAACCACCATGACTGCACAAGGTCCTTGAAATCTTAGAGTGTCCTACGAAAGGTGGCTCCAAATGTCACCCCTTGGGATCTGTGGGCTAAAAGCTCAGTCATCCAACGCCTCTTGGCAGAGCTTCCTGTGGAGCTATCCAAGGTCCTGCAACTGCTTTGACCTGTGCTCTGAATCATCAATCGACTCCATTATTCTACCTTTGTCCTTGGCCTGCAGCCTTTCCTGACTTTAGTCCTCATCACACCTGGCCTGTCACATCACACTGTCCTCTTTCACTTACTTTCTAGGACCTGAGATCACTTGATGCAGTCCACGATGACCTTGAGTCTCACTCTTCAAGCTGGTCAAGGCTTACTCTTAGCTACCACTGTCCCTGCTGATAACAAGCTGACCCGATCCTCCAGCACTGCATGCTCCACCCTTACCTCCTCTCTCAGCCACCTGGCTTGGTGAGTGGTTGTTCCCTGGAATATGGTTGACTTTCAAGAGCCAACCAATTTATTGATCTTGTCCATTCTTCTTTCTTGGTTCCATGACTAGCCATTTATGAAACGTTTCAAAATGAGCTTCGAGCAGGGAGATATTCCTTTTCAATTAGGCTCATGACCCGTGCAGGCCTGGCCTCCAACCCATCATGTCACATCTACCACATGTGTCTTGATACAGCAAGCAGTCTCCTTAAAAACAGCCAGCTAGAAAATGAGCTTCCTTTGAAATGTGCCACCTGCTTGTTCTTTTCTTTTCTTTTCTTTTTCTTTTAAGACAGGGTCTCACTCTGCTGCCCAGGCTGGAGTGCAGTGGCACAGTTATAGCTCAGTGAAGACTTGAGCTCCCAAGCTCAAGCAATCCTCCCACCTCAGCCTCCTGAGTAGCTGGAACCACAGGTGCTTGCCACTATGCGTGGCTATTTTTAAAAAAATTTCTTGCAGAGATAGGATCTCACCACGTTGCTCAGGCTGGTTTTGAACTCCTGGGCTCAAGCAATTCTCCTGCTTTGGCCTCCTAAAGTGCTGGCATAAGCCACCACACCCAGCCTGAAATGCACCACCTTGCTTTCTGATGAGAGCAAGGATTATGGTGTTCCAGTCTCAGCATTGCCCCTGACCAGCCATGTGACCTCAAGCAAGTCATCTAAGCCATGGATCCTTTTATACCGCAGTCATTTATTTACTCTCTCATAAATATTTACTGACCATGTTTCATGCATCAAGCTCTCTGCTAGTGCTGAGGATGCTACAAGAAGACATAGTCTCTATCTCCAAATAACTCACAGTTTAATCCAGGAGTGCAATATGTATATGGTAAAAATAAAAGTAACATGGCAAATTATTACAACAAGAACAAACTGTCAAGAATACACAAAAAATAGAACAATCAGTTCCCTCTGCCTGGAAGGCTTTCTCCCTCAGCCCTTGTGTGACTTGCTCTCCCACGTCTGCAGTTCTTTCGTCAAATGTCTTGTCACCAGAGAGGCTTTCCCTGAGCACCCTATTTGAAATCGCAAGCTCACCTCCATCCTGGAACCCCAAGTTGTTCTCTTCCTGCTTTATTTTCCTTCAAAGCATTTACCACCACCTGGCAAGGAGGGGTACTCTCATCTGTGAAGCAGAGGACTGTGCTAATGATTCCTGCACTGGGTTGGATGACAGCCTCCAAGAAGATATGTTCATGTCCTAAGCCCCAGAACCCATGAATGTGACCTTATTTGGAAAAAGGGCCTTTGCAGATGTAATTAAGTGAGGGATCTTGAGACAAGATCATCCTGTTCTTCCAAGGTGGACTTTAAATCTAATGCCAGGTATCTTTATAACAGACAGAAGAGAAGCAGATGTGGACACAGAGTTCTAGAGAAGCCATGTGAAGACGGAGGCACAGGTTGGAGTGAGGAAGCCACAAGCCAAGAAACACCTGGAACCACCAGAAGCTGGAAAAATCAGGGAAGGAATCTTTGGCCAGTCTTTTCTCAAGGTGTCAGAAGGCCTCAAGGCCCTTGTTTTGACACTCAGGCCTCTGGAATGTGAGAGAGTAAATGTCTGTTGTTTTGAGCCACCCGGTTTGTGATCATTTGTTATGACGGCCACAGGAAACAAATAAAATCTCTCGGTCATCTCTGCAGTTGTCTTCCAGCCAAACAGGCCGAAACCTCAATAATGAGTTAGGACTGGGAATAATCTTGAGCAACACCAACCTTTTCAATGATGCACTAGCTGGATTTGTGGACAAAGACGCAACTTGGGAAGGAAAGCAGGATGCTGGGCGCAGCCGGTCATGTCACATCAGCCACACTAGGGCAGGACGAGAACAGCTTCCTTACTCTTCCCAAGATGAAGAGAAAGACCTAAGATCATCAGGTCCCTGTGGAGAACTGATACCCAACAGCTTTGCCTACAAAATAAAAAAGAGAAAAAAATTAGACTTCCAGCATGGTTTGTAATAGGGAAAATTGGGAAAAAACCCCAAATATCTGTATGCAAATAGTTACATAATCATACCGTATCCTTACTTTATTTTATTTCTATTTGAGATAGGGTTTCACTCTTTCACCCAGGCTGGAATGCAGTGGTGCAATCATAGCTCACTGCAGCCTCGATCACCCAGGCTTAGGTGATCCTCCCACCTCAGCCTCCTGAGTAGCTGGCCCATGCCACCATGCCTGGCTAATTTTTTTTTTAATAGAGACAGGGTTTCACCATGTTCCTCAGGCTGGTCTCAAACTTCTGGGCTCAAGCAACCCTTCTGCCTCAGCCTTCCAAAGTGCTGGGATTACAGGTGTGAGCCACTGTGCCCGGCCAGTATTCTTACTTCCGAAACTCTATGTAAAATTATATTCTCTTTTCCTAAATGCACCCATACATGCATATTCATACATTGAAAAAAACCTCTAAGGAAGCTTCTTCAGAGCAAAAGAAACTATCAACAGAGTAAACACACCATACAGAATAGAAGAAAATGTTTGCAAATTATGTGTCCAACAAAGATCAATATCCAGCATCTACAAGGAACTTAAACAACTCAACAAGCAAAAAACAAATAATTATATTAAGAAGTGGGCAAGAGACATGAACACTTCTCCAAAGAAGATATATGAGCAGCCAAAAAACATATGAAACAATGTTCAACATAACGAATCATCAGAGAAATGCAAATCAAAACCACACTGAGATGCCATTCACAGCAATCAGAATGGCTATTACTAAAAGTCAAAAAGCAACAAACGCTGGTGAGGCTTTGGAGAAAAGGGAACGCTTCTACACTGTTGGTGGGAATACAAAGCAGTTCAGCCACTGTGGAAGGCAGTTTGGAGATTTCTCAAAGAACTTAAAGCAGACCCACCATCCAACCCAGCAATCCCATTACTGGGTATATACCAAGAGAAATGGAAATCGTTCTACCAAAAATTCACATGTACTCATGTGTTCAGCACAGCACTATTCATAATAGCAAAGACATGGAATCAACCTCGGTGCTCATGGTTAGGAAAATGTGGACTGGATAAAAAAATGTGGCACATATACAACATGGAATATTATGCAGCCGTGAAAAAACAAAATCATCTCCTTTGCAGCAAAATGGATGCAGCCAGAGGCCATTATGTTAAGTGTATTAACAGAGGAACAGAAAAACAAATACCACATGTTCTCACTTACAAGTGGGGTCTAAACCTTGGGTACTCATGAACGCAAAGATGAGAGCAATAGACATGGGGGACTATAAGAAGGGGGAGAGAAAGAGGGGAGCAAGGGTTAAAAAATTAGCTATTGGGTACTGTGCTCACCACCTGGGTGACAGGATCAATCATACCCCAAACGCCAGCATCATGCAGTACTGCCTTGTATCAAATCTGCACACACACCCCTTGAATCTAAAATAAAAGTTGAAATTATGTTTTTTAAAAAATTGAGGTTTTCAACAAACCATCTAAAATGAACTTAAGCTACAAAAAAAAAAAAAAGAAAGAAAGGAAAAGAAAACAAAAAGAAAAAAGAAAGAAAGGAAAAGAAAAGAAAAAGAAAAAGGTCTCCAAGGACATGCTCAGCTGAGGGCATAAGTTATTTCTAGGGAGGAGATGGGGACTTTGTAGTGGTCAAAATGAGTTTTTACTTCTGCTACTTTTTTTATTTTATTATTATTATTTTTACAATGACTTGAGCCATTATTTTTTATTAAAAAAAAAAAAAAGAAGAAGAAGAGGTGGGGTGTGGCAGCTCACACCTATAATCCCAGCACTTAGGGAGGCTGAGGCAGAGGGATTACTTGGGGCCAGGAGTTCGAGACCAGCCTGGGCAATATAGCAAGACCCATCTCTACAAAAAATGTTTTAAAAAATTAACTGGGTGTGGTGGCACATGCCTGTGGTCTCAGCTGCTCAGGAGTCTGAGGCTTACTTGGGAGGTTGAGATTGCAGTGAGCTGTGATCATGCCATTGCCCTGTAGCTTGGTTAACAGGGCAAGACCCTGTCTCAAAGAAAAAAAAAAAAAGGAAGAAATACACGCAGGCAAGAGTGTGACGCCGTGATTGCCGTGGCCTCGTGCCAGCCGGGGTGGTGGGGAGGAGGCAGGAGCTGCTTTTTGCTGATGCTCCAGGCTCATAGATGTGGCTTCTGCTGCTTTCTTTCCTCGTCATTTACACGCAAAACCTGCAGATGGACAGAGTCTCGGAACCTAGTGTTCCAAACAAAAGTGCTGTCCTGGCCAAGCAAAGCAAGGAGAGTGTGTCCCTTTATCACCACTCTTGCAGGCAACCTGGGAGCTGACCCCTTTGCAGCCTGGAGGCAGGAGCTGCTGTGATGCCCTCTAGCCTTTGAGGAACAGCCCCCACCCACTCTCCCTTCCAAGGCCGTGAGGTTCAGAGTGGAAGAGTCCAGTTCTGCCTGGATCGGGTACGGTGCTGCCCACGGCAGAGGGCCCCAGAGAGAATGCAGCTGAGTGTGTACTGACCCTGGGCCTCTGGGCTCAAGGGAGGCAGCCTTTCACCCTCCAAGGAACAGGGGCTCAGACAGTCTGAGAACACAGAACACCTGGGGCCAGAGACAGGCTATTGGGAAGGACTGGGGCTATCACACGAGTGAATTCTAAAATTGCGTGTGTGTGCGTGTGTCTATGTGTATGTACACATGTAAATCAGTATTTTTTAGTGCAAAGGATAAAGTGAACTGAGAATATCATAAACACAGGCTCTTTAGGGCTCCTTCAGCGAACAGATAGTCTCATTTGTAACAAACACGTGTTGTTGATTCGCCAAATGATACAATGCTGAAAAATAATGTGCTTTTCTCCAAAAATCCTCCAACTGTTCCCTCATTCCTACTTCTATACATAGGTACATTTCTTAGCAAATGCCGTGTCCTGGAATTCAAAAATCAGGCTAGAACGGTTACAGCCAAGAGGAGCCTCAGGAGGCATGATGATGACATATACTCCAGGGTCATGGAAGAAAAAAAAGGGCATTAGGTGACAACTAAGTATCTGAAAAAATATGGACTTTAGTTTGTAGTAACGTATCAATAATAGTATTGGTGCATTAATTTGACAAGTTTAACATACTAATGTAAGATGTTAACAATGATGGAAACTGCGTGGAGGAATGTGGGAACTCTCTGTACTATCTTTGCAGCTTTTCCATAAATCTAAATCTATGCTAAAATAGAAAGTTTATTAAAAACAATCCGGCTGGCCATTGGGGGCTCCCGCATGTAATCCCAGCATTTTGGGAGGCCAAGGCCGGTAGATTGCTTGAGCCCAGGAATTTGAGACCAACTGGGTAACATGGAACCTTGTCTCTACAAAAAAATACAAAAATTAGCTGAGTGTGGTGGTGTGCACCTGTAGTCCCAGCTACTCAGGAGGCCGAGGAGGGAGGATCGCATGAGCCCACGAGTCCAAGGCTGTGGTGAGCCCTGACCACACCACTGTGTTCCGGCCTGGATGACAGAGTGAGACCCTATCTCAAAACAAACAAACAAACAAACAAAAAACAATTGTGCCTGGCCTGGTTTGATGGACTCCTGTGCCAAATAAGGGTTACAGGTGGGAGGTGGGTGAGTTGAATGAAAAATCAGAAGGCTTGTGATGGCTTCATCTGAAGTCATCTCTGGGAGTGCTTTGCCATAAACATTCTTCTTTCCCTGTTGTCTCAGCTGACCCTTATGCCAACTGCCTGAGATATTATTATCCCATTTACAGATGGAGAAACCAAGTTTGGAGAGTGCTGTCGTTTGAATGTGTCCCCTCCAAAATTCATGCTGAAAGTTAATCCCCACGGTGGCAGTATAAAGGGGTGAGGGCCTCAGGAGGTGATGAGGCTGTGAGGGCTCCTCCCTTATGAATGATTCATGCCTCATCAAGGGGCAGTCCGGGGCCAGCTGAGGCCTTTCCCCCTCCCGCCAGGTGAGAAGGTGCCAGGTGAGCATGCGCCAGGTAAGCTCGCAGCAGGAAGGCGCCACCATGGAAGCAGAGAGCAGCCCTCTCTAGACACCAGTGTCGGCCCCTTCATCTCAGACTTCCGGCCTCCAGAACTGTGAGGAATCCATTTCTCTTCTTTATAAATTACCCAATCTATGGTATTTTGTTACAGCAGCACAAGCAGAGGGAGCAGTTCTGAGCCTCCCACCACCCATTCCACCCACGCAGCTGTGCCTTTTCACAGGCAGTCTCTGCACCCACGGCTCACTTTGCTCTGTGATCCTTCCCCCCTCTCTGCCTGACTGGTGGGCCAAACCTTAATATGCCTTCGAAATTTGCTCCTATTTCACCTCCTCTGAGGAGAATTCCTTGACAGTCCCTCCTAATTCACCAGGCCACACTCTGTATGTCTTCTGAGGCCTGTGCAAATGAATTCTCTCCTCCAGCTTTTCAGATCCTGTATTCAAGCACGCCCTCCTCCAGGGTTTCCTCTTTGAATCCACACTATCCAGCCTAATGCCTAGAGGACAGTGGCTGGGAGATTTGCATTTCTTGAATTGAATTGAAGCTGGCATGAAACCTGCATTAATCAGCTCAGGCTGCCATGACAAAGTCCCACAGACCAGGTGGCTTCAACACCAGCCGTTCATCTTCTCACTGTTCTGGAGGCTAGAAGTCCAAGCTCAAGGTGCCGGCAGGGTTGGTTTCTCCTGAGGCCTCTCCCCTGGGTTTGTGGATGGCCACATTCTTGCTGTGTCCTCACATGGTCATCCCTCTGTGTTTCTGTGGCCTAATCTCCTTTTCTTTTATTATTATTATTTTTGAGACAGAGTCTTGCCGTGTCACCCAGGCTGGAGTGTAGTGGCTTGATCTCAGCTCACTGCGACCTCCAACTCCCAGGTTCAAGCGATTATCCTACCTCAGCCTCCCGAGTAGGTACCACCATGCACAGCTAATTTTTGTATTTTTAGTAGAGATGGGGTTTTACCATGTTGGCCAGGCTGGTCTCGAACACCTGACCTCAGGTGACCTGCCTGCCTTGGCCTTCCAAAATGCTGGAATTGCAGGCTTGAGCCATGAAACCCAGACCCTAATCTCCTTTTTTTTTTTTTTTTTTTTTTTTTTTAAGACAGAGTCTTGCTCTGTCACCCACGCATGCAGTGGAGAGATGTTGGCTCACTGCAACCTCCACCTACCAGGTTCAGGCGATTCTCCTGCCTCAGCCTTCGAGTAGCTGGGATTACAGGCATGCACCACCACATCCAGCTAATTTTTGTGTTTTTAGTAGAGACAGGGTTTCACCATGTTGGCCAGGCTTGTCTTGAACTCCTGACCTCATGTGACCCACCCACCTCGGCCTCCCAAAGTGCTAGGATTACAGGCATGAGCCACCACACCCAGCCAATCTCCTTTCCTTATGAGGACACCAGCCATATTGAATTTGGGCCCACCCACATGACCTCATTTTACTTTACCCCCAAAGACCAAGTACAGTCACATTCTGAGGTCAGGGGCTTAGGGCTTCAGCATGTGAATTTTGAGGGACACAATTCATTCCTTAACAGAGCCCAGGCAGATCATGCTGACTGTAAAGCTCAGGTCAGGCTATAAGGAGGGGTTGGGGGTAGAGAATGTCCCCAAGCCTCCACCATTTAAAAGATGCAGGTGAAATGCAGGCAGCTTCCTGGGCACGTCCAGGCTGGAGACTTGAAGGTGTTGCTGTCTTCCAAGACAAAGGATGTGAGAGTGACTTGTGTTTGGAAACTGATCTGAGGTCGTGAGATGATAAAAGCCATGGAAGAGGCTTTTATTTATCACCACTAATAATGGCTGCAGCCAGAAGAGGATTCTGGGGCCTCTGGTCTGTGCTTGTGTTTTCTGACCTTGACCTCTGACTATTGCGAGCTCAGGGTCTCCGAGCCCTGCTCCCATTGCTCCCGCCCTGGTGCTTCCACCGGGTCCAGCCCACACAGCGAGCAACATCTTCAAGGCCTTGGGATCCAGGGCAGGGGGAGGCCCCGGGATGGAATTTCAGACTAAACTTGCACCACAAGCTACCTTCTCAAGGGCACGGAGATGTCTCAGGCAGCAGCTGCAGCTGCCAGGGAGTGTCAGAAAGTTCTAGTTTGTTGTGCATTGGAGGAGATGGTCCTGAGAAACAGCCCACTCTGGGAAGGGGCCCTTTTCCCGAGAGCCCAACTGTCTAGGAAAGGCACAAGGACACTTGCAGGACCGAGGCAGCCGGCAACATTTCATAACTGCTGGTTTTGTGCCATCAACTTTGCTACTTTGGGAATAGGGTTTGTTTTGTCAGGCGGTGGCCATTTATCAAGCGTGTGGCAAATACCATCTGCATAGTGCTGTAAAGTCTACAGGGTCGCCCCTCATACCACTGCATCTGATCTGCACGGTGGGAAAGAGTGGGGAAGATGCTGTTGTTCACGTGCCCATCTTGCTGATGAAGGAACTGAACTTAGCAAGGTGGGATGACTTGCTCAGCCCAAGGTGGCAGGACAAGCCCTCTGGCATCTGAGAACTCAGCTGGTCCCCTGGCAGCCTTGAGAGGAAGGTCTGGAGCTTTTCATTTCTCAAGTGAAGCTGGTGGTCAGACGTTACATCAGCGCCCAACATCACACAACTGTTTGGAGGCAGAGTTGACTTCAACTAACTCTCCCGAAATCAGATCTGGAGTACTTCTTCCTCCATCATGCCACCATACCTGAGATGGGGGTGCGGGTAGGTTTGGGACCAAGACTTGCCCTCAATGTGCTTCCAATCTAGCTGTTTGAAAGACTGGTGGGCAGGCAGGGTGGGGAGTACAGATGGGGACCTATACACGGGCTTGAGGATGGGGTCACCTGCCCCCTGCCCTGGGTGCCATGGCTCCTCAACGATCTAGGAAACGTGCCGGCAGCAGCACTTGGGCCCACAAACATGGGAAGACCTGGGCTGTCACCAACAACTTCCATGGGTGGTGACCAGTCCAGAGGGGAAGCGCAATGCCACAGAAAAAGAGCATGGGTTTGGGAGTCAGAAAGGTCTGAGGGCAAATGCTGATGCTGCCTCGGATGGACTGCATGACCTTATGCAAGTCAATTAATTTCTCTGAGCCTCAGTTTCTCCACCTGTAAAGTGAAAGCAATAATGCCTGCTTGGTGGGACCGCATTGAAGATTAAATGAGATAATGTATGTCAATTTTCCATCACTGTACCTGTAGCACAGCAGATGCTAAATAAATATCAGCTACTCCTGTTATGATTATCCTGGCGCGGCTGAGTCCCTGGCGCAGGTAGAGGCTGGGAAGAGTTGATAACATGTCCTGCTGTCTCTGGACAAGCCTCAGGCTGACCCATGTGCCTCCCTGCACACCTGTCCTCCCCACATGCCAGAGGCTGGGCAAGCTTTTGAATCACTAGCTGTGGAGTCTTGGGCAAGTTATTTTCCCTCTCAAAGTCTTTCTTTCCTCATCTACAAAGTGGGGATAATAGAAATACTTTCCTCACAGCACAGTGAGAATCACATGAGGCCATGCAGGTAAAGACTCAACATGGAGAAGGCTTCCAGCATGTATGAGTGGTTGCTAACACCACCACCACCACCACCACCATCATCATCATCATCATCACCACCATCTCAAGTGGTCTTCAGTGGTCAGTGTCTGGAGAGCCACGTCGAATGGATTGAGGGCTTTGTCTGGGTTCAGCACAGGGAGTGGCATCCTTGATTAGTGGTGTGTGCACCATTATTGATTCACTAGTGGATCAGGAGCATAGAACCCATGAATTTTCCCTCCCTAAAGTAGATGACCTCTGAGATCCCATTAGTCTAAAATTGGTCTCTTCTCTACTTGGGGTCTTGGTTGCCTTCTCCATGCATGACGACTTTGGGCTGACTGATCCTTGAATTTCTTTGTAGCTCCTTAATTCGAGGACTCTGAGACTCCATGCCTTGGCTGAGCTGAACATTACCCGAAATGCCTCTCTCCAGTGAGCTGGCTCCAGCCAGGAACAGAAAGGAAGCCAGCTCCTGCCTCTTGGGGTCCTCTGGGAAGCAGCTCCCAGCTCAGCAGGCAGCTCCTGATTGTAGGCAGGGCTCCCCTGAGCCTGCACACACAACCCTTCCTGGGGGAGAGCCCTTGGCGCACATCCGGGGTCCCAGCCTGGAGTGAGACTCAGCCAAGCCTCTTTGCTGTGCTTCTCACTCGGAAGCAGCAAGGGTCTAGGGAGCTTTATCTATTCCAGGGCCGGCTGCTGAGCCCACCAGCGTGTCCATAAGATGGGCTTCAGAGCTGTCCAGACCTAAGGAGCAATGGACCTTGACCACTAAAAGGGCCTGTGAAAGACCCTTGGTCATCTTCCCAGAGAAGAGAAGCATTGAGAACGAAGCGTGGTGTGGAGGGTGAACATCGGCCGTGCCCCGCTCTGCTGGCTGCGCAGATTCTCGTAACATAATGAGAAGGAAGGCACGGAGTTTGCTGTCTAGGAGGCACAAGCTGCTTTTAATTTCATTTCTAGAATTTTTAAAATGCCTCTTTTCTCCATCTTGAATATATACTGCAGGAGGGGGGATTTCCTTCATCCTGTTTACCAGGGTGTTACTCAGACCTAATAGTTAATATTCATTAACTTAATGGAACAATCATGATGCCACAGGGTGAGGATGGAAGCGATACGGTGCTGAGAGGACCTCGGAGAAGCTAAAACCAGACAGGCCACGATCAAACTGGGTTTTGAAAGATGCATAGGATTTTATCAGGGAGCGATGAGAACAGAAGTGTTTGTTTGTTTTCTTCAGTTAGATTTAAGGATAAACATTCTGTTGATGAAACCTGTAAGACCTGTAAATAAGTTATGGTGGGAGGCGAAGCTGTGAGCCGTGGAGAAATTGGAATCAGTGTCTCGAGGTTGCCACGAGGAAGGGAACTGACAAACATTAGCAGCTTGCCTGTCTGTGCCTGGTGCTGTGCCAGGTACTCACAGGCATTCACACTTGTCAACCATCCCATGACAGGCATGGACAAACTCGGGTGCAGGCTTGGAGGACCCCAGGAACTTGCTTTGGGTCTCAGAGCTCCTCCAGCTGCAGCTGGCCCTCCTCCAAGACATGGGATCCAGCTGCGCTAACCACCGGGTTACATGAAGCAAATGGCCCTCAGAATCAGAGCCTTCTGCTAAAGCTCTGGGCCCCAAGGCCAGAGCTGAAAAACAAGCTCCAAGGCTTTTGACATTTTTTACAAAAGTCTTTGAGCCTGTGGCCTTTCTGCTTCACTTTCTCCCAATCCGCCCCATCCCTCCCGTTGTCCTCCCTTCTAGTCCGAGGTCTCGGAACACTCAGAAGCTCTGAGAGGAGGCTGGAGAAGCCCCATCCATCAGCAGCCTTGAAAGGCCCAGGCAGGGTGGAGCAGCCTGGCTGTTCCAGAGAAGAGCAGCCGAGGCCCAAAGCCCTGAGGTCCCCAGGCCATTTCCCTGTCGGGGTGGGAATGGAAAGGAAGAGAGGGGCTGAGGAGGAGGGAAGATAAGCCTGCGGTCATTTGTCTTTTTAATTGGCTCAAATGCTGGGAGGAGAGCTGCCTCGTTATCCTGGCTCCGGGCTGGCCGGGGTCCAAGCACCAGGCTGCGAGCTGCGCAGTGTGGGGCTGCCCCCACTGCCCTCGTCCTGGAGGGGCAGCCATGGGAGGAAGGTTCCGGGAGACAGGCGGGAGGCAGCAGCACGTGGTCAGGGCGGCTCTTGCTTCTCCGGCATCTCAGAAATTTAAAACAGTAATCCCAGGACTGAAATAGATGTGTTTGAAAGCATCTGTGGCATCTGGAGGCCGCTTCTAATGTATTCCTGCACTTGAGGAAGAGCTGGTCCAGCAGCTAGGCCGAGAGGGGTCCTGGGGAGACACGTTTTAGAACTTTCCTTTAGAAGCGACCATACTGGTTCTGTGAAAGTACCCAGGGCGACAGTAACCCCTCCAACTTCACAGCTGTTTGTAATCAACGATGCCCTGTAGTGTCTATTGTCCCATTTGGATCTCTGAAACCATCAGGGAGGAAGGACAGCTCCTTCCCTGTGTTACCGACCGAGGACACAGCAGCCCTGCGAGGCTGTGATGTGCTCAGGGACACCACATTGCAGCTGCGACACAGGCCCCGGTCTCCTAATCTGCGTGGGCTGACCAACAAGGAGGTCCGCTCCGCAGAGGAGACTCAGGTGGATGCTCGCTGTGGCGGTCCCCAGCGAGGGTTGTTGGCACAGCTTCTAAGGGACAGACAGCCTAGTTCAAGGTCCTACTCAGAGTACATCTCAGCCTGCAAGCCATTAGAGGGGAGGAAGTTCGCTTCGGATGCAGGGAGAGACTTCCAGGAGCAGGACTGGCCCAGGGAGAGAGCGATGAGGGCAGGGAGGAGGGGAAGATGGGTGGGCCCTGTCAGTGTTGGGATTCAGGCAACAAGAAAGTATGTTCAGCTGGGCCTAATAGGTGTTTATGGGGAAAGGACCTTGGTAAGCAGAAGGCTGCCTTTAATCCCTGGTCCGGCAAGTTCCTCGACGGAGATTCCGCTCCATCATGAAAACAGAAATCCCTTGCTCAAGACTTTCAGGCCCAAAGCGCACAATTTAAATCTCTGAAGCTGAAGCCAAGAAAGACCCCTTGACTTTGCTTCCTGAAAGCTCCCAGGCCCTGTGAGGAGACTCTCAGCTCGGAATCCTCACATGGGAGAGCTGTAACTTCTCACCGGCCGGGCGGCGCTGGCCTGGTCCCCCTGGCCCCGTAGTTCAGCCTCCCGTCACTGGACGCTGGACGTACCTTCTACTCCCTGCCCGCCTCCCTCACCCCAGCCACCTGGAATTTCCCCAAGGTTTCTCCACAAGGTTCAGCTCAAATGCCCCGTCCTGCCTGTGGGAGCTGATGCTTTGAAATGCTTCCTGCATTCCCCCACCTAACCTCACCCTCCTGGGGATGGAGGCAGGTGGCAGGCAGGATGGAGGGGATGTGGCCCCCGGGAGCGGCGGGCGAGGCAGCATCCTGGAGGGTGGTGTGGTGGGCAGGTGGAGGGGAATCGGGGCCACAGGGCCTCAGTCCTGCCTCCCTCGTGGAGCTATTGGAGAGATCCCCTCTCAGGATGACCCTTGAGCCAGCACGCAGAAGCCACGTCAGAGAAAAGTTGGAGGCAGGGCAGGGTGACTGCAGAGAGGCCTGCGTGGATCTGGGGCATGGAAAGGACCCAGGGCAGGGAGTGAGCCGAGGTCAGCTTTGAGAGTGTGCTAAGGAGGTGGCCCAGGCTGAAGCTAAGGGTGAAGTGACCCACAGGGGGTTGCCCTAGCCGGGACTGAACTGGAGTCAGACTCCTAGCAAAGCTGAGGTGGGCCCGCATCACCAGGGTGGAGCATCAGGCTGTGATGGAACCGAGGGCTCACTACCAGTTCACCAGCCCCAGCCCAGCCCAGGAATTGGACCCGACTCACCTGATTTCACTAGCCCCCACCCGGCCCAGGAGCTGGATCCAACTCATCTGATTTCACCTTCGTGGTCCTTGAGCCAGGGCTGGGCCTCCCAGGTGCAAACCAGTACAGAGCCAGGGAACCTGGAGGGTTCCAGCCCCACTGTGCCTTCTCCCAGACACAATGCGCCCCTCCAAGCTCCTCTCCTGTCACCAGCCCAGCCTGGGAGCTGCCCTGTGGGACATTGGACGGCTCCTGCTCCCCGACGCTGTGGCTGGGTTTGGCCTATGCTGGAAACTTGTCCATGTCAGGCAAAGCTGTGTGAGGGTTAAGTGGCAGTAGAAGGGTATGGATGGGTGTTGAGGAGAGAACGAGTGGCCTGGATTTCAGTCCTGGTTTTAGCCCTGTTTGCTTTCAGATCAATGCCCTTACTCCCTCTGAACAGGCCCACACAGGTCCCCACTTACTCTACAACTTTCTGGTCCCTGGACTCCAGTGACTGGGGCTCCTCTCATCTCCTCTGGCCCCAGGCTGGTGTCCTTCTGCCCCTGCTCATCTCCAAGGGCCCCCCTGCCCTTTGCTTGGCATCTCAGCCCTTGTGTCGCCTGGGTAAGCTGTTCCTCCATTTACAGCCCCACTGTCTTAACCTCGGAATAGATACCTCTTCCTGGTTGGACGCTGCCTCTTCCTGGTTGGACGCTGACTGCTGCATTTCCCAAGGACAGTCATGCCGACACCCATGTCACAGCCGAGAGGAACGGAAACTCCCAGGAGTGAAGTGACCTGTCCAAGGCCACCCAGCCAGTATGTGGAGATGCAGGGATTTGAACCTGGGTCTGCTGGAGTCTGCGGCCCAAATGCTTTCTTCCCCACAGCTGCCGGCAAGGCCACCGCAGCCACTTCACACTTGTGTGGTTCACAAAGTGCTCTGACATCCGCTGTCTGTTTGCTCCTTGTTGACCCTTGAGAGAGGGACTGGGCTGGGATTCGCATTCCACGTTTTACCCATGAGACCTAGAGCTACTGGCTGACTTTCCCCAGGTAAGCGATCACACTAAGGAGACCAAATTCTGCTTCGGTACTGAATGGGATACTCCATGCCTTCACACTGGCTGTTCCCACCTCCTGGAATGCTGTTCCTGCCAATCTCCAATCTCTACCTATGTTTTTAAAAAAATTACTATTATGGTGAAATAAAAATAACATGGAATTTATCATTTTCACCTTGTTCAACTACAGTTTCATGGCATTAAGTGATATACAGTTCAGGGGCATTAAGTAATAGAGTTCAGGGGCATTACTTCACACTGTTGTGCAACCATCACCACCGTCCATTTCCAGAACTTTTCCATCTTCCCTAACTGAAATTCTGTACCCATGAAACACTAACTTCCCATTCCCTTTTCTCCCAGCCCTGGCATCCCCCGTTCTACTTCCGTCTCTATGAATTTGACCCCTCTAGGGACCTCCTATAAGTAGAATCATGCAGCATTTGTCATTTCGTGGCTGGCTTATTTCACTTAGCATGATGTCCTCGAGGTTCACCCAGCGTTGTAGCACGCGTCGGAATTTTATTCCTCTCTAAAGCTGAGGACTATTTCACTGCATGGATAGACCACATTTTGCTTATCCATTTATGGGTCTATGACCACTTGGGCTGTTTCCACTTTTCTAAATCTACCCATCTTTTAAGGCCCAGTGCAAATGTCACCTCCTCCACGCAGCTGCACTGCACAGGGTTGCTGAGCACATCCAGGAATGGAGGGATGGTGTCACCAGGGGGCTTGCATTGAGGTCACAGCCCTTCTCCCACCCCAGCATTCGTAGGTGGCTTGAACAGGAGAGAAAGCAAAGGTCACATGGTGCTCAAAGTCTTTGCCGATTTGGAGCCTGCTGTCACATTCCTGGCACTGAAATTCCCCTGTTGGAAATAACAGAAAGAATCAGACCGATAGAGTGACCTTTTCTTTCAAGAAGGAAATGTCTGTGTTAAGTTCAAGTCAGATTCTCGACTGGGCTGGAGGCCACTGGAAGGCAATGATTGGGCCTCTTGCCCCCAGTGCAGCCCCACCTCAGCCTCTATTTCTTCGGACACAGAGGATGACTGAGCTTGATGCTCCTGGGAGCTCACCTGGGTGGCTCAGGGTGGGAGAATTGTAACCTGGTTTCTCCTGCAGTGGATGTCTGCGTGGCCCACGCCTGTCCACGGCCTCAGAGCCTCTCCATCTACTACAGGATGAGGCAGTGGGGGTCAGTTCCTGGGAATGAGGAATCAACACAGGAAAGAAAATGAAAGGAGGCAGGGAAGGAGGCCACAAGCAGCCAGGAGTGCGAGACTTTCTGAAATTTTGCAGGATTGCTCTAGAGGCTTAGTGATTTTTTATTTGCTTTTTAAAAAATACACTTTGGCTTTTGCCTGTACATCACCGATCCACGTCCAGTGTTGAGGGTCTTGAGCATCCCTTCTTCTCCCTCCTCATGGTGAAGTGAAGGGAACAGAATCGCAGTGCTGGGCGCTGGGAGGAGCCAGGGCCCCCCACGGCTGCTGTGCGGGCTGTGGGGTATGCAAGGTCATTACGGTAATCCTCCAGCAGGTGGCGGTAATGGGTCTTGGGGAAAAGCACCTTTTTCTAGTTCAGCAACACGCCCAGCCGGGGTTCGTGGTGGCTTGGGGTAAAGTGAGGGGTGTGGCTTAGACGTTACCTAACTTTACTTCAGCATTTGACGCTGTGGAGTATGACCTGCCCCTGGGTTAGCGGCTACTCCACACGAGATCTGTAGAGGCGGGTCATACTTGCGCTGCTCTGAGCCAGTGCGGGCAGATAAGTGTGAGTCCAACACAGAAAGAGCTCTATAGGAACCACAGTGCCAGAGATTTATGACAATGAGGTGCCCATCACGAGAAGTATTGAAGCTGAGGCAGATGATTATTTGTTAGTGATACTGTAGAAAGTCCTAAAACATTAGGTGGGGTTGGGTTGGACAGACTTTCAGGTTCCCTTCCAACCCATAGAGCCTACACAGCTATTTTACTAAGAGGAAAATGACGTCAAGCTCTTGAGCTCACTGAGGAAAGGAATGTGCCTTTTTTTTTTTTTTTTCCATTATGGAATTTCGCTCTTGTTGCCTGAGGTGGAGAGCAATGGTGTGATCTCGGCTCACTGCCACCTCCGCCCCCTGGGTTCAAGCGATTCTCTTGCCTCAGCCTCCGGAGTAGCTGGGATTACAGGTGTGCGCCACCATGCCTGGCTAATTTTTTGTATTCTTAGTAGAGAGGGGGTTTCACTGTGTTGGCCAGGCTGGTCTTGAACTCCTAACCTCAGGTGATGCACCCACCTTGGCCTCCCAAACAGCTGGGATTACAGGTGTGAGCCACTGCTCCCAGCCGGAATGTGCCTTCTTTGGCATCTCCTGTCCCTAGCGGCACATATGGTAATGATGTTAATACATATAATGGGCTTTATTGAACAAGTGGGGGACAGAGAACTGGGATCAGAGCTGTAATCTGCTTAGCCAAATGACTTCTGGGGCCCCATCTCGCCTTGCAGATGGTTCCCCAATCTGGGCTGCCATCTTGAAACTCTGGATGTGCATCAAAGAGCCCCCATCTCCAACACCGGCCTTCTACCTCCAGGGGCAGAGGATTGGTCAGGGCAGCAGCCCCCAGTCTCTCTTTTGTCCTTCCGGTCTCCCTCAGGAGACGGAGTATGAAAGGAATGACATTGCCACTCTGCAATGGTCTGGACAGCTGGCCTAAATCCAGTAGAGGACTCTGAGTGTCCTAAAAATACCAGTCCCCGCCCCAGTGCTCTACCCCAGCCCCCACCCCCAGAAATCCCTGACAGTAACCATGTGCTGCCTCCACGTCACTCAGAGAAACCTTGGCAAATGTCAGCCGCAGTCGCTTGTAATCTTCAGGGAGGTGAGACGGTGCCAGAAGTGGCCGGTTTCTTTATCCACATCGCCCAGATATAAACAATATGGGGAAATAATGACAGGGAGATCCTTGTAGGCCAGCCTCCTGACAACATTTCTCCCTGAGTGAAGTCCCTCCCAAAGCACAGGCCGTAATGGCCCCGGGGGGTGGCAGCTAGTTACCTTATCTCCTGGAGGCAAAAGCGCCTCCGTGAAAGACATTTTTGGTGCCGCGTTCGGGATGTCTCAGTAATCCTCTCATTTATGTACGCAGACAAGGAGATCAAAGCCCCTGGGGATGCATAAAACATGTCAAGCCAGGGAGTTTTACATCCATTAGAGCTGACAAATGCTTTGTCCAGCTGATGGGGTGGCCAGATAGCCACCCTGAGGACTGGAGGGCTGCGAGGAGGTGGCCTGGCTGGGAGACACTGGCTGTATGGATGCAGGCACAGAGAAGGCCAGGGAGTGGCGGGGGCTGAGAGGAGAGTGAGAGCTGGGCCCCCGGCCTCCATCAGCACCCTTACGTCTTTGATATGGACAATTGTTGTTTTCTCAAATTTTTTTTTTTTTTTTAGACAGAGTCTCGCTCTGTCGCCCAGGCTGGAGTGCACTGGTACGATCTCGGCTCACTGCAAGCTACGCCTCCCAGGTTCAAGCGATTCTCCTGCCTCAGCCTCCCAAGTAGCTGGCAAAAGCCTCAAGGCCCTTCTTTGTAGACATCCTGGAATCACCTCTGACAGACAGAAAGGAGGCATGGAACAGGAATGAGAAAGCCTGAGAGAAAGGAAGGTAGAGAAAAGGAATGAGAATGCCTGAGAGAAAGGAGGGTAGAGAAAAGGAATGAGAAAAAAGCAGGCAAGAAAAGAAACTGAATATCATCAATATTCTCCTTTGAAAGTCACAGGATTGTAGAATTCACCCGCAGCCTGGCCTGTCGCCATCATGGTTGCTATAGGGTGGCCCAATTCTTCCGGGACCAGGCAGGAGTGTGCTCCCCGGATCCCGCTGGGGGGAGATCCATACACAGAGGAGCAAAGTGTCCCTGAGGCGGCCAGGAGCTCTCCTGATCCCGGGAAGGCAGAGACCATTGTTCATCCCCAAATAAGGGGAGTGTTTAAGTGAGAATGTTGGGGTGTATGTGTGTGTGTGCGCACACACGCATGGGGGGTGGGGGTGCGCCACCCAGGAGCCATGCCTGCTGCTTATCCTGGGAGCAGGAGCACAGACAGCACCTCTCATAGGTCCAAGAGCCTGCAATGTGAGTCAGTGATATTCCTGTAGTTTCATAACTTGAGTGCATTCCCGTGGATCCTCACGGCGACTGCAGGGCCTCATTGGATAGTCATATCTGGCTTCATGTTGCAAGTCTCACTTGCAAATGGCAAGTGCGTGGAAGTCTGTTGAATGGCCAGGGAAACCTTGCCTTCAGTTCTGTAAGCTGTCCCGCCCGGCGCCGTGAGCACAGCATGGTTGCTGTAGAGGTCATTGGGCCTCACAGTGGCTTGGGCTCTCGGCTCCTCTGTTGCTGTGTCCCTCAGTGTCCCAGTACAGGGTCCATGGTACTGTTTCTAGAACCAGAAGCTCAGTCAGCGAGTCCTCCGTCTTCGTCACGTGAAAGAGCCTTGCAGGCCGGATCCATCCGTCTCTCCTGGTGGGCCCGTTTCAACCTTAAAGCTAAGGAATTGATGATGTGGGGAGTGCCTTCATATGGATGGGTTCATTTGGAGCTAGTCACACGCTTCCCTGTGGAAACAATGGAATGCTTCCAAATCCAAAAATGTCCCAAACCCATTTCCTAAAACGCCATCTATTTCCAGCAAAAAATACATTCTGTTGCAAACTTGTATGTAATTTAAATCAGCAGTTCCCCAACCTTTTTGGCACCAGGGACCAGTTTTGTGGAAGCCAATTTTTCCACAGACTGGGGAGAAGGGATGGTTTCGGGATGATTCCAGCACTTTACACTTATTGCGCACTTTACTTCTGTTATTATTACATTGTGATATGTAATGAAATAATTATACAACCCACCATGATGTAGAAACAGTGGGAGCCCTGAGCTTGTTTTCCTGTAACTAGACAGTCCCATCTGGGGGTGATGGGAGACAGTGACAGATCATCAGGCATTAGATTATCATAAGGAGCATGCAACCCAGATCCCTTGCACGCACAGTTCACAATAGGGGCTTTCAGCAACACAGCTGCTTCTTGCTCCTATGAGAATCTAATCCCATCGCTGATCTGACAGGAGGCGGAGCTCAGGCAGTAAAGCATGTGATAGGGAGAGCTACAAATACAGATGAAGCCTCACTCACTCACCTGCCGCTCACCTCCTGCTGCGTGACCCAACTGGCCACAGAATGGTACCAGTCCGTGGCCCAGGGGTTGGGAACCTTTAATTTAAATAAAGTAAAACAATTTGATGAAGCTATCATTTCCTTTCCCCAAATACTAGTTCCTGAGGAAAATTTAATTTAATCAAAAGAATGCAGAGATACCTACAGAGACGTTTGCATTCATCCAAGGGCGCTTCCAAGAACCTGCAGGTGCTGTACTGTGAAGATGGATTGCTTTTTGTTTGTTTGTTTGCTTTTGAGATGGAGTCTTGCTCTGTCACCCAGGCTGAAGCGCAGTGTTGCCATCTTGGCTCACTGCAACCTCTGCCTCCTGGGTTCAAGTAATTCTCCTGCCTCAGCCTCCAAATACCTGGGACTACAGGTGTGCACCACCACACCTGGCTAATTTTTGTATATTTAGTAGAGATGGGGTTTCATCATGTTCTCCAGGCTGGTCTCAAACTCCTGACCTCAAGTGATCCACTCACCTCGGCCTCCCAAAGTGCTGGGATTACAGGCCGGAGCCACTGTGCCTGGTGTTGCTTGCTTTTTTTTTGGTTTTTTATTTATTTATTTATTTATTTATTATTATTATACTTGAAGTTTCAGGGTACATGTGCACATTGTGCAGGTTAGTAACATACGTACACATGTGCCATGCAGGTGTCCTGCACCCACTAACTCGTCATCTAGCATTAGGTATATCTCCCAATGCTATCCCTCCCCCTCCCCCCACCCCACAACAGTCCCCAGAGTGTGATGTTCCCCTTCCTGTGTCCATGTGATCTCATTGTTCAATTCCCACCTATGAGTGAGAATATGCGGTGTTTGGTTTTTTGTTCTTGCGATAGTTTACTGAGAATGATGGTTTCCAATTTCATCCATGTCCCTACAAAGGACATGAACTCATCATTTTTTATGGCTGCATAGTATTCCACAGTGTATATACCACCATTAATGCTTCATGTGGCATTAAGAAAATGCCACATTTTCTTAATCCAGTCTGTTGCTTGTTTTTTTTACACTGCTCCACTTCAAACAGAATACATTTTCCTTTCATTAATACAGACCCTTCACATTTATGATTGAGGTCATTAAAAAATCTCCCTCTACTCCAAAACAAAATGATGAAAAAAGCAAGAGAAAGCAAGGTAGGGTCGGGGGAGCCCTTCTCTGAGACAACTGGGTGAGAGCTCAGGGGAGACACAGGAGTAAGAGAGAATGCCCATATGGGAGCAAAGGTCTGATCTGAAGTTCACTGTGTTTTTTTGTTTGTTTGTTTTTGAGATGGAGTCTCGCTTTGTCACTCAGACTGGAGTGCAGTGGTGCAATCTTGGTTCACTGCAACCTCTGCCTCCCAGGTTCAGGTGATTCTCCTGCCTCAGCCTCCCGTGTAGCTGGGATTACAGGCAAGTGCCACTATACCCAGCTAGTTTTTTGTGTTTTTAGTAGAGACAGGGTTTCACTGTGTTGGCCAGGCTTGTCTTGAACTGCTGATGTCAAGTGATCTGCCCATCTGGCAGTGTCATGTAGAGTGACAGTAAGTGACAATTACACACTTAGAACCTCCATTGATACTGCATTGTCTTTAGGATGGAGTCTAAACTCCCAAAGGTGGTGGGTTCCTTGATCTCTCCCCAGTCTTCTCTGGCCTCTCCTCTTCACATTCTTTTAATGTGCGCCCTTCCTTGTAGCCTCTTTTAGCTCACGTTTCTGAGCCCTTGCATGAGCTTCTTCTTAGAATGTCCCTCTCCCAGCATCAGCTTGGCAAGACCCTCTACTTGCTCTCAAAGCTCAGCTCAAGCACCATGTCCTATCGGAAGCCTTCCCTGAGTGTCTGGCCTGGGAGGCAGGTGACTTCCTGTGTCCTTCCCTCCATTCCAACTCTTATCCAATTGTTAGGTTGCATTACACAGCCCCTGCTAAACCAGTTGCCCATGGCATCCCCTAGACACTGAGTTTCTGGTGGGCATAGACCATGTCTCACCCATCTCTGTATTCCTAGTGCCGGACAGCACAGCCAGTCTCAGTGAATGAGCACAGTTTAATGAATCATTGAATAATTCATGTGCATTCGAATGATGTACTTAAGTGCTTCCCAGATATGCCCCCAAGAAATTCCATTTCCACAGAATGATAGATATTGGCGGACAAGTGTTTTTTGTACAAAATTAATTTGGGGAAATGCTAGATGAAGCAAATAAAACAGATGTCTTTATTGCAGTGTTTTAAAAATCTTTTACTATGCTAACATGTATTAATATCTAAGGGGCAGATATAAATTTAAGCATTTCCCAAACTCATTTGATCACTGCCATCTTTTCTCTTTGTAAAGAAGTCCATCTTTACATAGAGTTCTACGGTGCACGCTTTTGGGAAATTTCTTTATCAGTTCTCCTATGAAGCACGCTTGCTGGAAGACAGCAGCGGGATGGCACTTGGGAGAATGTCATCATGGCCATGGCGATGTATGTTCTGCTTGCATATTTAATTAGCCATGCATCTGCTGCGCTTACATTGCCTTCTTATACTAATCATACTAGTTATTCATAATCTCTAAGATGTGTGGGAAACTCACTGAACCTCAAGCGAGGCCTTCTCTTAGGCAGGGATTCTCTTCTTTCTGGTTAGCAGATTGGATTCATTTTCCTAATTTGTGAGTTTTGCATTATTTGTTAATATTTTCCCTCTGTGCTCTTTTGCTGTACAATTATTTCTCTGGGTTTTCCATGAGACTCGGCAGTCACTAACTGGCCTCCTTTGCTTTTTAGGAACACACTCAGCAGGGAAAGCTCCCGAGTGGCCGCTCATGCAGCCTGACCCTGGAGCATCTGCAGGTAGCCTCACAGACTCCAGGAATCCCTGCAACTTGGGAAGGGGACCTCCCAAGGTCACATAACCCATCTCCTGCCTCCAGGAGTGGTCCCCTTACTACCGTTAACATAGTGCCTGGGCTGACAGTCTTTGAGAGGTGGCTGAGTCCCACTCTCATCACTTCCCTCACCCTAGCCCTGGTGGCAGACCCCATCTGCTCTCAGAGCTCCCTCTCCCATTTCTCATGGGGAAAGAATTGGACCGTGGATGTGGGAGGTTTCAACCACAGTGAAAGAAACCGGGATTACTCATGGAGGAATGTCCCATCAATCACAGAGCATTAAAAACACGACCCAGAGGGATTTAAAAAGCACAGACACTGATTGTCTGCTACATTTATTCCTGAGGGAGGACGATGAACAACATGACTCCTCAAGGTCTCTGCAACTTGGGGCATCAGAGCTGAGTCTGCTCTGTGATGGCGATGGGGAAGGGAAGACAGTGGGTGGGGTAGGAGGTAGAAATAAGGTCAAGCAGGGGTTTCCACTTGACCTTCTCAATTCATTCCCTCCTCAAACATCTGCTGAGCACCTACCGTGTGCCAGGCACCGCCTCGGACCCAGGGGACTCAGCTGCAAGTGACATGCCAGCTCTCTCCAGGCATCCACATGGCTGTCCCAGAGTCCAAAACAAAAATAACTTGTTCAGTGAACACTTTTGAGGGCTACTAATTTGCCAAGTTAGGCACCAACTTTCATTTTTTTAAAGTTCTGTTTTATTGTGATAAAATACACCTAAAATTTACCACCTCAACCATTTTTATGTGTACACTTCTGTGGCATTAAGAACATTCACATTGTTGTATCATCACTGCCATCCATCTCCAGAACTTTTCCATCTTTCCATACTGAAGCTCTGCACCCGTTAAACACTAACTTCCCATTCCCCTTCCCCCAGACCCTGGCAACCTCGACTTTGTCTTTGGATTTGACTCCTCTAGGGACCTTCTATAAGTGGAATCATGCAGTATTTGTCCTTTTGTGGCTGGCTTATTTTACTTAGCATAACGTCCTCAAGGTTCATCCATGTTGTAGCACAGGTCAGAATTTCCTTCCTTCTTTTGTTTTGTTTGTTTTTTGAGACAGAGTTTCACTCTTTTTGTCCAGACTGGAGTGCAATGGCATGATCTCGGCTCACTGCAACCTCCGCCTCCAGTGTTCAAGGGTTCTCCTGCCTCAGCCCCCTGAGTAGCTGGGATTACATGTGCCTGCCACCACGCCCGGCTGATTTTGTATTTTTAGTAGATACAGGGTTTCACCACATTGGCCAAGCTAGTCTCAAACTCCTGACCTCAAGTGATCTGCCCACCTCAGCCTCCCAAAGTGCTGGGATTACAGGCATGAGACACTGCACCCAGCCCCAATTTCCTTCCTTTTTGAGGTTAAATAATATTCCACCACATGGATAGACCATGTTTTGCTTATTCATTCATCTGCCAATGCACACTTGGGTTGTGATATGGTTTGGCTGTGTCCCCACCCAAATCTCATCTTGATTTGTAGCTCCCATAATCCCCACATGTCATGGGTGACCCAGTGGGAGGTAATTGAATCGTGGGGGGGCAGGTTTTTTCCATACTTTTCTCATGATAGTGAATAAGTCTCTCAAGATCTGATCATTTTATAAAGGGGAGTTCCCCTGCACACTCTCTTGCCTGCTGCCATGTAAGATGTGCCTTTGCTACACCTTCACCTTCTGCTGTGATTGTGAGGCCTCCCCAGCCACGTGGAACTGTGAGTCCATTAAACCTATTTTTTTTAAATAAATGACCTAGTCTCAGATATGTCTTTATTAGCAGCTTGAGAACGGACTAATACAGATTGCTTCTACATTTGGCTATTGTGAGTCATGCTGCTATGAACATGGGTGTACAACCAACATTAATTTTACTTTAACATTTACAATAGCTGCAGGCACTCATCACTTCTAGGGGGAGGAGGAGGCATCCCTGAATTGCATGTCACGTGTCAGCAAAGGGGCCCAACTATATAAGTGCTTTGTGGCTGTAGCCTTGTGCTAGTAGATCTGAGAGACAGGGAATGGAAAGTGAGAGACCCAGGTGAGACTTGCAAGTTCACGGAGTAGAGAGGTGACATGTGAAGGACATGTGAAGCACAAAGTGAACCGATCTCGGGCTCTCCTCCCACCTCACTTGGTGAGGCCAGGTGAGCATGTTTTAAAAAGTGAGCTGATGGGGCAGGTAGGAGCCTCCCCTGTTTCCTTCCTTCCTGCAGAGACTGTCCCATAAGTGGACAGCCAGGCTAATGAAAGGCAAACCTCAGGGTCTCATCCCGTTTCTGAATTCTGCAAACTCGCTAGACTAGCCGTGGTGAGTATGTGAAACCCAGCTTCTGATCGCTCAGTGGGAGACTTTCCAGACCCCTCATGTTGCCATCCTAGCATCTCTGGTCACCTCTGTTTGCTGCTTACTCTAGAATGTGTGTGCAGAGGAAAAGAAATGGCAGCAAATATCGATCCTGCAGTGGAGATTCTTATGAGCAGTTCTGACCAAGAAGAGGAGATCAAAACCTCCTCCACACATCCAGATGGGTTGCCTCCTCCTTCTATGGGCCTGGAGGCAGGAGCATGGGCATTAGTCCAGGGTGAGTCTGATCCAGATTAAGTAGGGGAATCACCTACCTACGCCTTTAAAACAATGCAAATAACTAGTGAGAACTTTTTAAATTCATGAAGCATTTTCTTGTATTTCATCTCATTTGTGTGAGGTTGGTGGAGCAGGTGTTATTTTTCCAATGCCCACATGAAGACCGGGACACAGGCTCAGGGCAGTTGAGTGCCTGCTCCACAGTCACACGGCTGGTGAAATGCAACCTGGGCTCTTTAACTAAGGCCTGTTTCATTGAAATTGAATGTTTGTGTCCCCCTATAATTTACACATTGAATTCTGAATTCATATGGGGCCTTTGGGAGGTGATGAGGATATGAGGGTGGAGCCCTCACAAATGGGATTACTGCCCTTATAAAAGGGAACCCAATGTGCTCTCTTGCCTTCTTTCTGGCAGTTGAGGGCACAGCCAGAAGTCAGCAGTGTGCAGCCACCAAAACATGCCAGCAGCTGACCTCAGACTTCTAGCTTCAGAGCTGCAGGAAATAAATTTCCATGGCTCATAAGCTGTGTAGCCTCTGGCACTTCATTATAGCAGTCCATACTGATTGACCCACCCGGAGTCCTTCATAATGTAGAGGACTGGACTGAGGACTGGACCAGCCCAGTTCAACAGCAGTCTTTCAGCTTCAAAGTTCTGGGACACCATTGTGACACTCTCCTCACTGGCAGATGCCACAGGCTGGACTGCCCCTGTGGCTCATCCTAGGGACCTTAGCATCTGGAAAAACACTATCAGAGAGGGCAAAACTTCTGGGTGCTCACTAGTATTGAGTGCTTCTCTGTGCCTGGGCACTGCATTGTGCACTGTGCAACTAACTGAATGCTCATGACCGTTCCAGGCCATGGTAGGGAGGTAGGAGGATTATTCTCTGTTTGTAGAAGAGAAGACTAAGGTTTATAGAGGTTCCATGAAATTCAAAGGACAATATGGGAGCATGCCAGGAGTAAGTAGAAAGCCAGATGGGTAGCGTTCAGAGAACATCCCTGAACATGCCACATGCACAAGGTGTGTTAACACACCTGTGAGGCCCTGGGTCCTTGGATCAGGCCCTCCTAGGCTGGGATGTTGCCATTCTCAGCCAAGCCTGAGGCTCCCAGCCCAGGGAGACATGCCCAGCTCATCCAGATTGGCTGCGGATGCCTGGTGTTTACACCATCTTCACTGAGGTGACAGCCCCGAGCTTCCAACACAGCCCCTCCCAGCAGTGGGGAGAGTGGACATACCGGACCAGCTGCTGGCCCCAGGCTGACCCCCCTGACCCCAAAGCTGTCCCAGGGAGACAGTTATGCGGTGGGCCCAGACCACCAACGATGCAGCCAGACAAGGTGGAGTTGAAGCAAAGGGGGAGCCAGGGGGAAGGACCCCTCAGGCTTGGTCCATTCTTGGCTCCACACAGGTGTGTACTGAATGCCCACTGCTTGAGTGGACGGCAACCAAAACACTGGCCAACCTCGACTGAACACTTCACAAACACCATCTCGAGTGTCCTCACCACAGCCCAGCGGGGTGGGCCTGTTACTAACCAGATTGTGCAGCTGTGGAAACTGAGGCACAGCAGAGAGGGTCAGCCACATGCCTGAGGTTACTATGCCCTGGGGAGGGGCAGAGCCAGGACCTGCATCCAGGCGTGGCTGCATCCAGGGACCCCTGGAGCCCTGCCTCACTCCACTGCCCGGGATGGGAGCCCACTGAAATTCCCACTGGCGCCTTTCCAGCTGCATCTGCGGTGGGAATGCTGGTGTGACACAGGCACTCAGAACACCGAGGGGGAAGAGGGTGGAGTGTTTCATGGTCAGTGGGTACAGGGCCCACCACCCATCCCACCCCAGCCCCGCCCCACTTACGTGGCTTCCTCGACAGAACGCAGCTGTCGCCTGAGGGCTCGTCCAGCCACGTGGGAGGGAACTTGTCCAAGACCACAAATGGCCTTCCCAGGGTGGGGTGGCGGTGGTTGTAGTAACTCCTGAGTTCCCACCCTTGTCCCAGGAAGGCTGGGCACAATTGCAGTTCAGCTCAAGAAACAAAGCATAGCATCCTTAGCTGCACAGAGGTCATTTCCATCAGCCCCCTGCCTCCATCCACAGGCCCGGCCTTTCTGATGAAGGCCTGTCTCATACTGCAAGAAAAGGGCAAGTCATGCATTCTGTGGGCTTTTCCCCCCAAACACTGTTAGGGTGAACTGTATGAAATTGCTAATATTCAATGATTTTTGATCTACAGAATTGCAGTTTTATATGGTCCAACCTCATACTTGAGAGGTCCACATTGGCCCAACAGAATTTGCTGGGAAGCCCTGATTAGAACCCTTAAATCCTACAGTATGCCAAGTCCTTTCTCACGTGGCTGACTCTGTCCCTGCAAAGTGCTCTCCAGGGCCAGCTGTGCTGGGAGCAGCTGGGCCCACCCTGTTGGCAAACCTTGCCAATGGGGGAACGCAGGAAGGACGCTGGACTGGAGGTCAAAAGCCTTGTGACCTGGAGCAATTCACGCAACTTCCATGAGCCTTGGTTTCCTCATCTGTACCTTCCCACAGCATTATCATGCCATCCGGTGAAAGGATCTAAGTGAAGTGTCTCCCTCCAGGCCTGCACTCAGTGCCGGGTAAGTCTGTGGGGAGTGAGTTGGAATCACCGAGAACCCAGTTCAGCTCAGAAAGTCTCCATGAAGATGCACGGCCAGAACAGAACACTTCGGGATCAGCCACCCCTACCCCAGCTCCACTGCTGGGCCCTAGAGATGCCTAGGCCACTGCCAGACACTGTGGTGGCCATGTTCACCTCTCTCCATCCGACGCTTGGCCTGCTCCATCTCTTCTGCCCGTCTGCCTGGCTATTATTTTGCCAGAGGCCCTACACACTTGTTCAGGCTTGCTGGGTTGAGGGTGCTCTGGACTTGGAAGATTGCTCCCCTCAACTCTAGTCCTATTCCTCTTGGACAGACCCCTACAGCCCACCCAGCCCTCTGAAACCCCACTTCTTATAACACACCCACACTTCTACAGCACTTCCCATAACCACCCCCGTCATGGTACCATAGCCACCCGCCTTCATGACACCCCACTCCCCGTGACCCACCCACCCCAGGACACACTCACTCCTGGGGAACACACCCATCCATCCATCTTTGCATCTTTCCTGGCCTCCCGGCGAGGGGTCCCACCACTTTTACCTGCCCTGGGAAATGATCCAGGCAGAATGGAGCAGCGTCTCCACCGGCCTCTGAGAGAACCAAGAAAGTGTTGACGTTTCCCCCAGTCAGTTCCTCTAAGTCTTGATTATTGTCTCCAAGAGTTAGGGGACATTGGATGAGAGCTTTCTAAGTGCCCGGTCCTGCCCTAGGTATTCACCATAACCCTAGGAGATAAAACTGTTATAATTTTCATAAAAGAAACCTGAGGCACAGAGAATTTCAGTAACTTGCCAGAAATCACAGAGGTTGAGCCCAGGCAGAGACCAGTCTGCACACCTCCAGCTCTGAGGGTCTAAGGGTTCTTTCTGTATTGAGGCCTGGAACAGCTTCCTGCAGTCATTAATGGCATCAGAGCCCGGAGGGAGCTAGGAACAGATGCTCAGTCTCTGAGGAGACTTCTCCACAGATCGGAGATTCCTGCTAAGTCCAGTAAGGGATTTTATCCAGAATTCTCCAAAGCTCCCAAAATCTCAGACTTCAGGTGAGCCTGGACTCACAGACTAGACTCTTGCAAAGGTGAAGATTTGGAAAGTAAGGCTGTCCTGCTACTTTCAGGGGGTACTAAGGAGCTCAGGAGAGATTAACAGAGTGTTGTCAGGGAATTGCTTTAAAAGAGATTAGTGGTAAGCTCATCCAGTAGGTTTCTGGAGGTTCTTGGAAGCCTTTACAAGGTTTTTCTTCCCTACTCAGGTGAAATATATTTCTCCATTTGCATTGGTTTGGCGAATTCTATTTCCTCAAAGAGTGTGCCAGAGAAACTCCACGTTGCTTTTTCAGAGTTATAGACAAAGTTGGAAGAGACCTAACAGGGCTTCTAACCTTTCCTGTTAATGCTGAGGAAGCCAGGGTCCAGAGGTTGACCCTGATGCTGATGACGACAGTACCCGGTTCCTAACACTGGGGCCGGCTGGGTTCGAGGTGCTTGGTCTACATGACAATAGTGCTCGGTTCCTGGCACTGGGGCCAACTGGGTTTGAGGTGCTTGGTTTCCATGAGGACAGTGCCCAGTTGCTGGCACTGGGGCCAGTTGGGTTCTAGGTGCTTGGTTTCCATGACAACAGTGCCCAGTTCCTGGCACTCGGGCCAGCTGGGTTCGAGGTGCTTGGTTTTCATGTACTTGGTATCACAGGGCTTGGCATACATTTGACATCTCCCTTACTCCCATTGGGACTTCTCCTGTACCTGCTTTACAGATGAGAAAAGTGAGGCTGGGAAACCGCACAGCTGAGCTCCAGAGGCCGTGGGCCCTGCCAGGGCTCTGACTCCATGAAGGGCTCTTTCCACCTGACCCACTGCCGGGAAAGCCGGGAAGACTCCCATTCTCTGTTACTGGGCTCAAGTTAGTGATGCCTTTGTGAGCACCACGTCTCACCACCCGCAATGGAGAGGGTCCCTCGCTCACTGCCAAGGATAAGGGGGCAGAGTGTGTCACCACTTATCATGAGGGACACTGTGGGAGAGCCAGGGTGGCACTAACTAGGTTCACCGGGACCCCTGCTTTCCGGGCAGAAGACTCTGCAGTGACCTGTTACTGTGTTTGCAGTCACAGCACAAACCTGGGTTCTGGTGACCTGGTCCTGGTTCTGCTGTGTATCTTCTGGTGACCTGGGTTACTTACTATCTCTGAGTGTTTCCCCATCTCTGAAGTTAGTTAGGATTGTGTAAAGATGAAAAGGAGCCAGGCACGGTGACTCACGCCTGTAATCCTAGCACTTTGGGAGGCCGAAGTCAGTGGATTACCTGAGGTCAGGAGTTCGAGACCATCCTGGCCAACATGGTGAAACCCTGTCTCTACTAAGAATACAAAAATTAGCCGGGCATGGTGGTGAGTGCCTGTAATCCCACCTACTCAGGAGGCTGAGGCAGGAGAATCACTTGAACCCGGGAGGTGGAGGTTACAGTGAGCTGAGATTGCGCCACTGCACTCCAGCTTGGGCAACAAGACCGAAACCCTGTCTTAAAAAAAAAAAAAAAAAAAAAAAAAGATGAAAAGGAACAAAAAGAACATCCCTTGCCAGGCACAGTGGTTGGCCCTAGTAGGCAGCCATCAATGCCAGGCGCCGTGACTGTTATTGTAGGAAGTGGGGGTTCTGAAGAATGCCCTCCTTGGGATGTCATAGCCATGGAGTTGTCCCTAGTGGCCAGAAGTCCCCTCCCCCAAATTAGGATGCTGGCCTGGGTGGAGGGGAGGGGCCAGTCCTCTCGGCTGGTGGGTGCACGGCCTGGACCCCCCAGCAGCCTCTCTGGCACAGGGACAGGGACGATAAGCGGTGATGGACTGTTCTGAGGGCTCCGCGGCGGGCACAGGGAAGGCAGTGTGGTGTGGGGTGGCCTCCCCACTGATAACCTGGGGGAGGGCGCTATCGGGAGAGGAAGTGGGCAGGGAAGGGGCTGGAGGGGGCCGCTAGAGCCCCAGGGCGGGACCCAACCCCAGGGGTCACGTCATCCATTCTCTGCCACCAGGCACAATTGCACCGAACCATCCATCACTGCCTGCCGGCCTGGCTTTTTTCTTCTCCGAATGCATTAATGCACTCTCACTACAGAAGACTCCAGCAATGCGGGTAAAATGCCAGCGCCCTTCCTTATCCCTCTGCGCTGACAGCCCCAGCCGCTCCCTCCTCGGAGGTCACGGGGCTCTCTTTGGTTGGTATCACTGGGATCCCTTTGCTGCATGTTTACACAAATATGCATGTGTGTGATGAACATAAAATTGTGTGTGTGTGTGTGTGTGTGTACATCATGCTGCATGTATGTGTTTTTCTGCACCCTTTCCCCTCACTTGATAGTCTTGGCCATGTGTCAAAATCAGAACCTATGGATGTGCCCATTCATTTTTTTAAGTTTTTTTTTTTTTTTTTTAATATTTTCTGCAGAGACAGGGTCTTGCTATGTTTTCCAGGGGATGGCCTCAAACTCCTGGCTTCAAGAGACCCTCCTGCCTTGGCCTCTCAAAGTGCTGGGATTATAGGCATGAGCCACCATCCCTGGCATGCCCATTCATTTTAATGGCAGAATAGTAGTTAATAAAATAATTATGCCCTTCTAGCTGGCCCTTCGGACAATTAAACAAGGAAAAAAAATTGTGCCCCACTTCTTTCAGCTACCCTCTTGTACCATTAAGTTGTTCCCATTGTAATTACAAACAAGTTGCAGTAAAGAATATCGTATGTTTATCTTTGGGAATAAGGGCATATCTTACCGTAGGATAGTTTTCTACAAATGCAGTAGCTTCATCAGTGTGTGTATGCGTCAACATTTTGGATGCCAAAAATGCTTCCCCAAAAGGCTTTATCAAATTACACGGCCATTAAACTTTATGAGAGCAACAGTTTTCCATATCTTTACCAGTATTATTGGATATAAGCAGTATTGCCATTTTGCCACCTGATGGTAAAAGTATCTGGCACTACTATTTCAACTGCATTTTTCCATGGACTGGTGTGGCTGGGCACTGTTTGCTTTATTTATTAGCTGTTCTAATCCTCTTTCTGTGCAGTGCCCATTCTTATCGTTGGCTCATTTGTCTTTGGGTTGTTTAGGAACAGGAAGAACTTCTTCAGTTTTCTTTGCAGTAATCCTTCGTTATACAGGCACTGCAAATATTATCTTCCTGCCTGACACTTGCTTTAACTTTGTTCACAACGTCCTTCGTCAGGTTTCCCTCTGCAGGATTAGCAACAATGCTATCCTCTGTTTCTAAGGGTTTAATCCACATTTTTTTTTTTCGCTGACATCCAGTAAAAATACTAACAACTTCCTTCTGTTGTATACCTAACTGTGCCAGGCATTCTGCTGAGCACTGGAGAGGCACCGTCTCGTCCACTCTGGGCAAGGCTGCTGCTTAGCAAATGTGCTTGACAAGTGAGGAAACAGGCTTAGGGAGGTGACTGCTTGCAGAAGGCCATGTGGCTGGGCAGGACTTGAGCCCACATCCAACTGGCCCCAGAGCCTTGACCACTGTGCTTCTCTTCCTTTCAACCTCAGCTGGCTTTTCTCCCAGCTCAAATCATCCTTGCCTGAGCCCTGACTGAGTGTGTAGTTTTGGATTAAGATGTTACCAGGTATGGGATATGGACAAAGAATAAGATAGTGACTTGTCCCCATTCCTTTGCGTATTTGACAAATATCCTTTGAGAGCACTTTCTTAATCTCAGGGGTGATGTGTGGGTGGAGTTGGGCCAAGTGTTTAATGCTTGGGGCTAGAAATGAGTAAGCTGAGGCCATCAGCCATTACATGGGAGCCTTGGAGATAAGCAAGAAATAACACAACCTAGGAATGATGCTGCTGATGAAATGCTTGCACAATTCCACAACTGTCACCTTCCTAGACACCCTGGTTTGGTTAGTTAGACTTGTAGGCACACCCACCACGGGCACAGGTACACATGTGCATGCACACACCCCACCCTGCTCCAGCCTCCAAGGCGCCGGGCATGTACTGTATCTGCTCTTTGGAGAGCCGAGGGCATGTAGCCCAGCCCTGCCTGTGCAAGACCAGGTCCTACTGGTCATGAGGAAAGGCCACTCAGTCCAGAGCAGTGAGCAGGAGGCTAATTTTAACCAAGAGCAGTGGAGTGACCTTGGCACAGAAAAGAAGGCACCAACAGAGATGCCCCTAGATGGACCCCTAGCCCTTCCAGAGATGTCAGGCTGAGACTGGAGTGTTCTCCTTGCCCTCCTGCCTGTCCTTCCTCCCAGGCAAGGCTGTCAGCTCTAGGCAGCAGTCCCTCTTCACCTCATCAGTCCTCAGTAATCAGCCTTCAACCCCCCTGGGGCTGGCTCCCATCAGCCCCTGTCAGCCTCTGCAGCCCACAGGGGCCTGGTGGCCCAGGGGCCAAGCTGCTGATTGGAAATGGAGGAGGATGGGACCAGACTGGGAAGGGAGACCAGGGGACTGGCAGACCAGGCTCCTAGGTGCCCCCAGGGAAGGTGCTGTCTGGCCTGGGCCTCTGCTGTCAAGGGTGTATGGGGAAAGGGAGTGTGCATATATTGACATCCTGCTGTGTGCACCCCATTGTGGCCAAAGCTTTGCGTACATTATCTTAGTTCATCCCCAGCTTCCCTTTGAGACAGGTATGCTTATGTCCATTTTAAAGGTAATGAAACTGAGGCTTAGAGAGGTTACAAAATTTGCCAAGAATCCCATAACTGATAGCAGGCAGAACCAAGAGGTGAAGTAAGCCCTGCCTGACTCCTCCAAAGCCTGCTCTTCTACGACATGACCTGCAACTGGCAAGGAGGCCAGGCCAGAGGGGTGTGGGCGGGGCACAAGCCTGGCGGCGCCTGGGGCCAGCTCCAGCTCTGGCTCTTGCTCACTGTGTGACCTGCAGCCTCAGAGCCTTGTTCCCCGCCCCTCCCGAGAAGCTCTGGCTGGAGGCGGCTCTGCTGAGGCCTGGCAGGAGGCCAGGCTGACCTGGGCTTGTGTCCCAGCTGCGTGGGCTTGGCAGATGGCCTCAATTTTTGGATCCTCCATTTTTTCATCTACAAAATGGGACCAGTAACGATCTACTCCTAAGGGCGGTCGTGCTGGCTTAATGGGACCATGCACCTGCCGTGTGAGCATAGTCCCCAGCACATCACACAGCTCGGTGGTGTGACCGGCAGGGGAGCTGACATCAGCATCTGTGTCTGTGAGCGTGGGGAGGCCTTTGCTTCTGTCAAACAGGGTGCATGGCAGAGCTCCCTGGGAGTGGGGCTCTGCTATCTCCGCAGGGTCAAGTGAAAGCCTGAGAGGCCACGAAGTCCCCACGGTGCCAGTTGGAAATTTTCTGTGTGCACCCACAAATTTTAACATCTCCCTGTGCTCTCCTGAATACTCGCCCAGGGCTATTTTTTTGGTCTCCGACTGATGTCAGGTGGAGCTGCCTCTCTCTGAATCATCAGTAGAGCACCTGGCCTCCTGCACGGGGACTGGCCAATTCACCCCTCCAGGGGCTGCCATACTGCAATGAGAATGCGGATCCATTAAGCCTGGTGGCCCCATCCGCACCAGATGTTTCTCTTCCTGGAATCTTTTCCACCAGGCTTTCACGAACCTTCCTGTCATCCTCTCAGCAGTTTGCTTAACCTTATTAAAAGGTTTGCCCCCTGAGGGCCACTGGACAGGCCCCATGGGTTATGTCTGCCTTGTTCCTCAAGTGCTCAAGAGCACGTTTAATCTCACTATCCTTTGGGGCCCCTCAAGTGCTGGCCATGGAGCTGAGCTCAGGATTCAAGGACTGCCCCCCATCATTTCTAGGGATGTGATGTGGGTGACAGGCTCAGCATCTCTGCCTTTCTTCTGTCCAGACTGAACAGAATGAAGATGCCACACCTTCAAGAGGCTGCTGTGAGGAGCCCCCGAGGCAAGGCACGGGAAACCCCTTTGTAAAATGTGGAGTGCGGTGGCTATGCCATTCTGGAAGAAAGGCTGCGAGCAGTGGGTCCCTGCTCTGCCATTTATCAGCTGTGTGGCCTTGGGCCAGTTACTTACCCTCTCTGGGCCCTAGCTTCCTCCTCTGTAAAATAAGGATCAGACACCTACCTCTTGGGATTGCTCGAGTCATCAGCACTTTACACTCGATACACGGTGACTGAGTATGAAGGTCTCTTTAGCTGTCTAAAGATTCTAAGAATGGTATGAAGTTTCAACCTTTAAGTCGGGTGACTCTGCAATCCCAGCGATGTTGTGGAGAGTGCCCACAGCCCAGGTCAGGGGCCCGGTGCTTCTGCTTTCCCTGATCTGCCCGTGGGTCGTAGTGGCGCTGCCTTCTGCTCTCTGTCCTTGCCACCTGAGACTGAGTGCCTGGAGCTAGGCATGGTTCTTGCCTGCTTTGCCTGAGATGCTGTGTGTCCAGGCAGTCTTTGTGAACATTTTGGGGTGGGGGTCTGAGCACGTGCCCACCAGGATGCAGACCCGCCTGGAGATGTCTGGTGAGGATATCGACCAACTGCCCCTTGACCCTGAGGCAGCACAGGGCAGACCTGCCCAGGGGAAGAAAGAAAAAGGTTCTTTCCCAAGAACAGAGCCAGGGGCTCTTCCAGAGGGAAGGACTCCTGCCCCCAGCGTGAGCGGGCTCCTCCCAGCCAGGCCCTGAAGCGAACATCCCTGAACCCCTAAAACGCGTGGGGGCATTTCAAAGAGGGCTGAGGTGCCATGGGGACCAAAGTTAAAAACATGCAGTTATTGCTCTTAAAACAATACCACAAGCCTCACACCCACTAGGATGGCAACTATTTCAAGCAACAGAGAATAACAGAGGAGGCAGAGAAACTGGAAGCTGTGAACAGCTGATGGGAATGCGGAATGGCGCAGCCGATGGGAAAAGCAGCGTGCGGCTCCTCAAAACATTCAACCTAAAGTTGCCATCTGGTCCAGCAGGTTCATGGAGACATTTGCACACCAGGCTCACAGCAGCATTATTCCCAACAGCCAAAAGGTGAAAACGACCCAAGTGTCCATCGACTGACGAATGGATACGCAAAACGTGATGTATCCATAAAGGGGAGTCTTATTCAGCCTTAAAAAGGCAGGAAACTCTGACATGTTACAACATAGATGAACCTTGAAGACACTATGCTAAGAGCAATGACCCAGTCACAAAAGGACAAATACTGCACGATTCTTGAGGTCCCTAGAGAATCAAATTCTTACAGACAGAAAGTAGAGTGTGGGTTGCCAGGCTGGGGGCGGGAAGGAATGGGGCGTTAGCATTTAATGGAGACAGAGTTTCAGTTTGGGAAGATGAGAAAGTCCTGGAGATGATGGTGTGGCACCTACACAGCAGTGTGAATGTACCACTGCATGGAACACTCAGCAAATGCCTATGCTTGCAAATTTTATGTTATGTGTATGTATTTTACTACCTTAAAAAAAAAAAAAAACAAACGACATCATGAGTCCTGGGGAAACTCGAGTCCTGGTTTTTTAGTATCTAATGGAATAAGTGGTGGAAACTTTTATAAAATATTTCATTAAAGGCGGTTTTATCTTTGGAGGAAATCCGGATTTTCATACGTGAATTTGCTTAAGACTGCTCTACTGGTGTTCCAGCTTACCTTTGGGTCTTTCTTATTTGTAGATGGCACATTTATTCACACCAAATATTCTTGATTTTGAAACTAATCAATGAGTCACAAGAATACATGGATACCTACCACATGGCAGGTAGAGTGAAAGAAACAAAAGCAGAAATAACACATATGTTTATGTGTTATGGTTCAAGGGCTGAACTGTATCTCCTCTTCTCCACATTCCTATATTGAAACCCTAACCCAACTGCCTCAGAATGTGATGGTATTTGGAGATAGGCTTTTTAAAAATCGATGAGTAAAGTGAGGTCGTATGGGTGGGCCCTAGTCCAATATAACTGGTATTCTTGAAGAGGCAACGAGGACATAGACACACACAGAGGGACGACCACATGAGGACACAGGGAGAAGGTGGCCATCTATGAGCCCAGGAGAGAGACCTCAGGAGAAACCGACCCTGCACGCAGCTTAATCTGAGGCTTCCAGCCTCCAGAACTGTGAGGCAATCAACTTTTAAGTTTTCAGCCACTCGCCTGTGGTATTTGTTCCAGTAGTCCTAGGAAACGAATACACTATTCCATTTCCAAAATACTCCTTAAATCCTTAAAGCAACCCTGCAAGGAGGCCTCACTGCCCTCTGTTTATAGACAAGGAAATCAGGGTTCAGAAGAATGGAGTCACTCACTCAAAGTCACACAGCCGGAGAGTGCCAGGCTGCCTAGGTCCTTGGCTTCTGACCCCGTGTGCTCTTTTGGAAGTTCTGCCCCGAGGGTGGGAAGAGCGTGAAAGTACAGGAGTCCCCCTTATCCACAGGGAATACATTCCAAGACCCCCAAACTATCTAGATGCTCTGAACTGCAGATAGTACCGAACCTTGTATACACTGTTTTTCCTATACACACATCTCTATGATGCAGTTTAATTTATGAATTAGGCACAGTAAGAGATTAACAACAATAACTAAGAATAAAATAGAAAATTATAACAATATACTAGAATAAAAGTTCTGTGAATGTGGCCTCCCTCTCTCTCTCTTTCTCAAAATATCTTATTGCATGTAATATTTTGGGACCGCAGTTGACCGCTGGTAACTGAAACCTTAGATAAGGGGCCACTACTGTAGACAAAACAGATCACAGCAGCAAAGAGAGAACAAAGCTCTGAACCGCAGAGCTAGAAGCCCGAGGCAGGGGAGGTATGGCAGAGGCCAGGGAAGCCCGGCTAAGGGGGCTTAGCTGGGATCGGGGTCTCTGGAGGCCCTTCTTTGGGGGTTATTATAGCCCTAACGAGAGCTAACATTTCTGAGCATTTAGCATAAGACAGGCACTCTGGTAAATGCTTCCTGTGAGCTGCTTTGTGCAAACCTCGCAGCAAGCCTACAATGCAGGTGTCAGCATTGTGCCCATTGCACAGATGAGGAAACCGAGGCTCAGAGAAATGAAGCAAAGTCTCCGAGGTCAAACATCCGGGGAGAGGAAGTGCCTGATTTTGAAAGGTCTGTCTGACTCAGAGACCCTGCTGTTGCTCACTTCACAGCAACGCTGAGGGTGTGTCCTGGCTCTGGAATGGAGGAATGGAGGCAAAGGGAAAGGCACCAGCTCCTTCACAGGCAAGGAGAGGTCTGGGGTTCCCAGACCTGGGCTGCCCCCTTCACCAGAGCTCTGGGTGTCGGGACAACAATCATATGCCCCGGATGGCTCAGGCATGGGCCCCCCGGCAATGTCCTCATATGTGCAGTTTTATGGTTGGGAGAAGGCCGACTCCAGGCCATGAAATACCCTCCCTCCCACAAGGAAGGCAAAGCCCTAGAGCAGGAAATGAGGCTTTCGTCCATTCATGCACTCTCTGCCTCCTCTCTCCATCTCTCTTCCCCCCCACACTCTCACATTTCACTTTCTGGCTGAGAATTGACTGAGCTCCTCATCCTTAATAGACATGTTTATGTCCCGAACAAGAACACACCAGGATACAGGTTCAGCTCCGGGCACCATTCGGGCAAGTGCGACCCCTCGTGGAGAAACTCTCCCTCATCCTTCAAGATCTCCAGCCTCACCTTTCCCAGGAAAACCAAGCCGGAGGAGAGGTGGGTGTCCTTGCCTGAGAACGTGCCTCTGAGAATGTGCTGGTCTTCTGGGTTTCTTTTCTAATTTCCGCAGGTTGCCACTTGCATACCAGAGCTGGAAAAAGCCACAGGCATCTGCTGGTCGTGGAGTTTCAGGACCTGAACATCAGCCTGGCCCCCAGGTACTTGGAGCCAGGCCCGCTGGGATGGAGCACTTCCGACCTCACACAGCCCTGCCCAGGGGTTCCCAATCCGGGATCGACATTAGCACCAGCTGGGGATGTTTAAAGTATGCTGAGGCCCTGGATAAAGTATGCTCACCCGGAACCCTGGCACTGGCACTTTTTAATGTGCCTCCCCCCACTCCAACCCCATTCTACCCAAGGTGACCCTAGTGAGTAGCCAGGGCTGAGAACTGCTGGTCCAAGCTGGAAATGCTTGCACAGGAATCACTCAGGGTGCTTCTAAAAGAGGACGTTTCCGGATCCAGACTTCAACCCACTGAATCAGAATCTCCGTGGGAGACGGAGAGGCTTTCGGCCTGCATTTTATTTTATTATTTATTATTACTTTTGTTTTTTGAGACTGAGTTTCATGCTTGTCGCCCAGGCTGGAGTAAAATGGCACGATCTTAGCTCACTGCAACCTCTGCCTCCCAGGTTCAAGCGATTCTCCTGCCTCAGCCTCCCGAGTAGCTGGGATTACAGGCACCTGCCACCACGCCCAGCTAATTTTTGTATTTTTAGTAGAGACGGGTTTCACCATGTTGGCCAGGATGGTCTCAAACTCCTGACCTCAGGTGATCCACCCGCCTTGGCCTCCCAAAGTGCTGGGATTACAGGCATGAACCACCGCGCCCAGCCTGCATTTTAAAACAAAAACTTGAGGTGACGTTGGCAAAGCACTGGGTGACTCATGTTTAGGGAATGACAGTGGGGTCCAGGGAGGTGAGGAGACAGTCTCAAGCCTTGCAACTCGAGGATAGCTCCCGAGTCATGGCAGCCACTTCAGAGGGGCTGCAGGGGCCGGGGAGGTGGTGTCCTGGCATATGGTCCCTGCTCATGAGGTGAAGGAAGGGCTCATTCCTCATCCCGTGATCTTAGCTCCCTCCTCAGCCCCACCCCACAGGAGCCCCAGCAGGTCAGCTTGGCCCTCCCATTCATGAGTCCCAGTGGCCCCCACTAGCAGGAGCCCCCACTGACCTTGTTGTCCCACGCTCCTGTTTACCCCCCACCAGCCACGTCCCCTGGCACCAGGTTCTTGGCCAGGCAGTTTCCTCCTTCCAGCACCCCGGTGTGACCAGGTCCTGGGGGAGATCAGAGGCCCCACAATTTCTGGAGCCCCACTGTATGGGACAGAGTTCCACCTCTAGGTTCCTCCACCTCCAGCATCCTGGAGCAGCTGGGGACACCTGTCCCTCTGGGCTCCTCAGCGAGGCCCCAGGTCTGCCCCCCCCCAGACCTCCTTAAAGTGCTGTGCTCCCATCCAGTGCTTGCCCACGGTCAGTGGGGGCTGTGAGGGCCAAGAACTGGCTGAGAGGAGCCTGGTGGCATGGAGTCTGTCCGTTTCATCATCTGCAGAAACAGCTTCGTGGTAGTAATGGTGATGCACCCACCCCAGGCTGCTGGAGAATCCACACACTGTAGGTGATCACGCTATGTGAACCGCATCCTTCCTGGCTGGTGGCTGTCCTCACCCAGCACCCCTGCAGCGACTGCCCCCTTTCTGGGGGTTCTCCCACCAAGTCCCCACTCTAATCCTCTGCTGCCCAGACCTGCAGTTTCCCCCACCTACGCCCCCATCCTACCGCTTAAGAGGGGTGTGTGTGAGCACTTTCTGCCTCAGTTTCCACCTCTGTACTGCGGGTGGGTATAGTCCTACCTCGGGGTGTTCTCACAGTCAGAGGAGTCAACACTGACAAGCTGGGTGGCAAGGGTTCAAGGGGAAGGAAGCGGGTGCACAGGTGGAGCCAGGGGGCTTTCAAGTGGGGGACCCAGAACGGTAGGTACAAGTCTCTGCACTTTCCTCTACACCTACGGCATGTACAACAGGCAGCGAGAACCTGGATGCAAAAGGTGGGCTTCGGTTAATGATATTTTATCAGTATTGGCTCATCAGTGATAACAAATGCACCACCATTGCACGATGTTAGTAATAGGGGAAATGGGCGAGATATGGAGACTGTCTACTTAATTCCCACTTTTTTTTTCTGTAAACCTAACTGCTAAAAAAAAAATCGGTCTATTAAAAACAAAACAAAAACATGCCAAGTGAAGAGCCTCCATGTAGTGGGAGCCGCCGACGTTCCTCGCTTTTACGCCCCATCGTCACCCGATCCTTGTTTATGCACCTGGCCTGGGGACTCGGAGCCTCTGGAGCTGGGCTCGCGTCCTAGCCGTCCCCAAAGCGCCGGCCCACAGCGTCAGCCCCTGGCTTTTCCCCGCCCAGAGCTCCCGGCGCGGGCCCGAGCCACGGATTTATGAGGCCACAGCGCCCCCTGCGGGCCCCGCTCAACCGCCGGGAGCCCAGACCACGCGGGACTCCCTGGCTGCGCCACGCCTGCGCCCCGTGCTCGTCCTGCACGCGATGTCCAGCTTGTCACAGGTAACGACACGGAACAGCTCGAACGCTCGTGACTTTATTGCAGAAAAGCCCCGCAGTGCTGGAGCGCAGCCTAGGCTGGGGCTGCCCCTGCTGGCGTCCGCGGGACCCAGTCTGGCTTCTGTAGCGGGGCAGGGCGGGGTCCACGCAGGGCGCAGAGGCGGGGACGCGGCCAGCACGGGGGGTGCCCAGCACGGGGGCCTTACTTGATGACAGTCGCTTACCAGTCCTGAACACCTTACTGGGGCTTAGTACTCCGGATGACCGTGCGAGGTCACTGTTACAGCCCTCTACAAATGAAGCGGCACAGAGAGGCCGCGTAACTCGCCCGGGGGTGCAGTCGGTGAAGGAGTCCGTCCGGGGACCCCCTGCGAAGCTGCCTCTGCCCACTGGATTCCGGGTCTGAGAAAAGGGCACAGGCGACACCCCGCCTTCGCGGCCCGTCTGGGATGGCACGGAAGTCGGGGTCGTCCGCGCAGAGGTGGGCACGGGGCGCAGGCGGGCGCGGCCGGCTAGGGCTGCAGCTCGTACTGCCGCTCGGTGGCCGTGTAGAAGTCCTCCAGCACCGACTGCAGGAACTCGAAGGTGGGCCGCTCCTCGGGCCGGCTGCGCCAGCACTCGGCGATGACGCCGCGGTACAGCTCGGGCGGGCAGGTGTCGGGGCGCGGCATGCGGTAGCCGCGCTCCAGGTTGCGGATGACCTCGGGGTTGCTCATCCCTGCGGCAGAGGAGACCGCAAGCGGGGGTGAGGGGCTGGGGTCCTCGGTGGGTGGGGGGCCCTGAGCGTCCCGCGGGGCACAGTGGGCCCAGGCAAGGGACAGCAGTGCCCACAGTCCCAGACCACTTCTCCAGCCTCGTGCGTTGCCTGGCTGCCCGGTCTCTAAACAGCCCTTTATTTACTTTTTATTGCCTGGGGAATGCCTAGAAATGAGGCTGTAGATTTTCTCCTGAGTACGGGGCAGGTCCTCTGAAGATGGGACCCTCCCTCTCTTGATTACCTGTGACCACCAGGGGCACAGCCAAGCCCATCACTCATGGGCAGCTGCCAGGTGCACACAGCAGCAGGTGACCCGGAGCCTGCCCACCTGTGGGGGCCAAGTGGCTGGAGCCCTTCGACTGGGGCTGGGGGCTGTCGTCCACGATTCTGGCCACACAGGAAGGGGCTTTGGGGAATCCACTATGGGTGCAAAGCCAAGGTAGGCACAACCTGTCCTCAACTGAGAACAAGCCACTGGGAGTAAACTTGAGTTCGGATGTGCCCTTTGTCTTGATTTCAGTTTGAGGGACTCATTTGACCTCTGCTGGAGGAAGGAGACACAGCCCTGTGGCCCAGAGCAATAGTGATGCAGGGGGCAGAGCTCCACCCCAGATGCCATGCCTGGGTCTCCGTCTTCGCTCTGGGACTCACTCTGAAAAGAACAGGGCAGCCACAGGCACCAAGCACAGGCGACCTGCCATCAGGGCCGGCCGGGAAAGCAGGGAGCCGCGAGCTGCGGGGTGAGCCACCTACCTGGGTATGGCACCCGCCCATAAGTGACAACTTCCATCAGGAGGACTCCAAACGACCACACGTCTGCTTTGATGGTGAAGACCCCGAAGTGGATGGCTTCCGGGGCTGTCCACTTGATGGGGAACTTGGCCCCTGTGGGAAAAGCCATGCAAGCTTTGGGAGGCCACGGCCGGTGGCCCCTACCCTCCATCCTCACCCCTACCCCTGCTCCTGCTGTCCTTCCATCAAGCCCCCACTGCGGGGCCTCACAGGGCGGGGCGGCCAGGCATGGCGGGGGAGCCACTACCGCACACCAGGACACATGACCAGGTGAGTGCAGACACGACATCAGCAGCACAGAAAGACGATATGGACACCAATACCACACAGTCACCCACTTTGGTTCTTTAAAAAGAGAGCGATGGCCTCAATGGGCAGCCACCACGTTTCCACCTGGGATGGAAGGGGCCTGTTTCACCTTACAGGGGCCTTGTTTAATTTAAAAGACATGGCCTGGGCAAGCCATTTAAACCTGCGGGCGCCTCCGTTAGTCCCTTCCTGCAAAATGGAAATGGTGACACTTGTACCTCCGAGGGCCGCTATGAGGAAGAACTCACATCCGGCTGCCCTGTGAAGCACCTCAATGGCTGCAGCCCCGGCCAGCATTTGGAGCAGACCTCAGGGCTTGGCACTTCACAGCCTCCCCTGGCCTCCATTTCTCGGTCTCCCCAGCCAGCCTGAAGTTCCCGAGAGAACAAGCCATATCCTGTCTGCTTGTCATCTGACTCATAGGCTCAGCAGACACTGCTTGCTAGCTTGATAAATATATGTGACCCCTTCAGATTCTCTTGTGACGTAGATTTCCACCTCAGTTATATGCACAGAGTAAAACAGTGCTCCGTGGACACCCTAATACAGGTTGGTTTGCTGATCGCACATGAGAGCTGTGTTTCCCACAGTGTGCTCTGTGAAAGCCTAATTCCATGGAAGGTTAATAGGGACTATATAAAAATAGTATTTGGGCATGGCTTACACCTGTCATCCCAGCGCTTTGGGAGGTCAAGGCAGGCAGATCACCTAAATTCAGGAGTTCGAGACCAGCCTGGCCAACATGGTGAAACCCCATCTCTACTAAACATACAAAAATTAGCCAGGTGTAGTGGCACACGCCTGTAATCCCAACTACTTGGGAGGCTGAGGCAGAAGAATTGCTTGAACCCAGGAGGCGGAGGTTGCAGTGAGCCAAGATTGTGCCACTGCACTCCAGCCTGGGTGACAGAGACTCCATCTCAAAAAAAAAAAAAATAGTATTTGGAGCTCAAATTAGTTTGGGAGGCACTAGGTGAGGCAAACATAAACTGTTTCTTTGCTGCAGGACTTCTCAGTGCCTTTAATATGTTGATGTGCACTGGGAATCTCCAAGACAGGGAGTAGGGTGGACTGCTGTTTCTCCAAACCTACCTTATCCTAAAGCTGTTCCTCCATGGGAGGTCTCAGGGCACTACCATTCTGCTGAACACATTTGGGTAAATGAAGGAAATGCTGATCTAGAGCTGTAGAAACCGTATAGCCCTCAGGTGTCTTCCCTCAGGGCTGTGCTGGGAGAAGTTAAAGGCGGCTTTGAGGAGCTGGGAAAGATAAGGCCCTAGGTTTCCCTTGTGGTTAGGGGCTGTGCTTACCCTCTTGGGCCGTGTATTCACTGTCGATGATTCGAGCCAAGCCAAAATCAGCAATTTTGCAGCACAAGGCCTCAGACACCAGGATGTTGGCCGCCCGCAGGTCGCGGTGGATGGAATTCATGCGCTCAATGTATGCCATCCCTTCAGCAATCTGAGGGAACAGGCACATGGTGAAGGACAGCCTGGGGGCCTCCACGCCAAGACCGAGCCCACACTGTGTCCCCCGCACAGCCCCTGTGGGCTGCTGGGGAAGGAGCTGTTTCTTGGATGGAGTAGAAAGGTGACTGTGTTGCTCCTCAGCCGAATAAACTCCTCTCCTAGAAGCCCAGAACAGCAACGCAGCAACGTGGGCATCAGAGACACAGGGGCTACCTGTGCCCCTCCCCCTCCTCGTTCTCGCTCCACACAGCTGTGTCCAAGGGTCTGCAGAGATGGAAGATAGAAGAACACAGGCAGGAGAAAAGGAGAGGGAGGGAGAAGAGAAGAAATGGTAAGGAAGGAGGGGGAGGGGGAGCAGGAGGCAAGGACAGGCAGCTCTCACTGGCTGGCTGGAAGCACAGCTCCTGGAGCTGGAGGCCCTCGGGAAGTCGCTGACCTCTAGCAAGCTGCTTAACCTCCCCGAGGGGCCACAGTCCTGACATGGAACATGAGGGATGTGGTCTCCAGGGCAGGGGGTTGAGGCAAGCATTAGACGAGGTTGATTTGTGACCAAGAACCTCACCCAGCGCCTGCCCCGTGGGGGCACCCAGGGAGCACTGGCAGATCCAGGTGGACAGAGGCTGTGAAGAAGAAGAGACTTGTCTCTCCTCCCCTGATCACCAGCCTGGGCCAGGGATAGCAGCTGGTGCTACTTGGCACCTTTTAGCTGAGGAAACTAAGGCTTTATTCACCCAATCAATGGACGAAGAAACTGAGGCAGAAAGCAGAGACCCCATTTACCTCTTCAGACATGCGACTTCAAGAAGCCAGCACTAGAATTGATTCCACTTCTCCTTATGCTTGCATTTTGTTGGTTTATCTATGAATCCATCCATCTATCCATGCATCCATCCATCCATGCATCCATCCATCCACCCACCCATCCATCCATCAACACATCCATGCATCCATCCATGTATCCATCCATCCATCCATCTATGCATCCTTCCATGTATCCATCCATCCATGGATCCATCCATCCATCCACCCACCCACCCACCCATCCATCCATCCACCCATTCATCCATCCATGCATGCATCCATCCATCCATCCATCCATCCATCCATCCATGCATCCATCCATCCACCCACCCACCCACCCACCCACCCACCCACGCATCCACCCATCCATGCATCCATCCATCCCCTTGCTACACCATGCAATCAATACTCATTTACTAATATGGGACTGTGGGGAATATAAAACTGAGTACTAAATATATCTGGGCAGCATCTAACAGTACTCGTTCTGATAACTAATATTTATTGAACAGTACCAGAAATATATTTTAAAAAATGTTGAGTAGGGCCCAGATCTGCTTTCAAGAAGAAGCTGCCCAGATCTGCTGAGCAAGAACAGTGCTTCCGGGAACACCTGAGCTAAGGGCTCTCTGGCAGTTTCTTGTCCAGGGAAACCTTCATAGAAATGACATTACGCTTGAGCCATGGATGATGATAAGGATTCTGCCAGGTGGGAAGTGTTCAAGGCTTCCTGGGCAGAGGAGGTAGAGGGGTGGCGAGGCATGGGGCATGGGAACCGGTGGCATCTGGCTGCAAAGTGGGGCCCGAGGGATTGTGATTGCAGGGTTCCTGTGGGGTTGGCCAGATCTGGCCTTGGAAGAAAGGTCTGGCGAGACTTTGCATGGCTTCCTATGGAGTAAGAAAAGAAGAGCCCAGAAGGGCCGGGTGTGTGTCTGCTCATGTGTGTGTAAGTTTGCGTGTTTGTGTGTGTGTTTGTGTGTGTGAGTTTGTGAGTTTGTGTAAATGTGTTTGTGTGAGTTTGTGTTTGAGTCTGAGTCTGTGTATTTGTGTGTCTGTGTGAGTTTGTGTGTGTGAGTCTGTGTGTCTGTGTGTGTGTCTGTCTGTGTGTGAGTTTGCGTGTCTGTGTGAGTCTGTGTATGTGTTTGTGTTTGTCCGTGTGTGTGTGAGTCTGTGTTTTTATGTGTGTGAGAGTGTGTGTGTGTACATGTGTGCTTAGAGAGCCATTGGCATGGTCAGCATGTGGTTAGAGGCTGCCCTTCTGGGAAGTTCTGATTTTCTGGCTCCTCACCCCCGATTCTGTGGCTACATCCAGGTATTAAACTCCGATGGCTTTTCACATCCTTTGCCCCTGGGTCACACGAGATTTCCCAAGGGGGTGTAGTGGGGATTGAATAGGAGACAGCGGAGGGTGAGAGAAGGAAGGGGAAAGGAAGCAGCAGCAGTGGGCAGGCTTATCACTGCCCTGGGGTTTGAAGCCGGTTACCAGCACTCATTTTCCAAAACCAGCCTGCCCAGATGGCTGTCTGCCCACCTCAGCGGAAAAAGGCGTTGTGGCATCAGTTCCTGCAGCGGCGCTACTGGGTAAGGCTGGGCGAGGGGCGAGGTGGGAGGGCTGATGTGGGCGGTGGGTGGGAGCGTTTCCTCTCGGTGGCAGCTGTATGTGTGTGTGTATGTGTACGCACGTGTGTGCCTCACAGGCTGACCACAGACCAAAACTTTTCTGCTGAGAGTTCCAGTTTTAACAGGGCCACCAGATGTGCTTCCTGCCAGCTAGAGCTCTCGGCTAAAACCCTCCTCTCCACTCTGCTCTTCACCCCATGGAGTCCAGAAAGTTCTGCATGTGAACGTGAGGGACACTGAGGACCAGTCCTGGGTAGCCAAGGAGGTCCAGCACTCGCAATTCCCTGGTGGCAGAAGGTGGGGCTGTCCTCCAGGGCTCAGAGAAGTCATGTCCCTGGCATCTGTGTGTAGCTCAGGCCTGCCCATCAGCCTGGGGTCGACGCCAGGGCTGTGCAAAGGCTGAGGGCCCCTGGGATGGGAAGTCCTACAGGAGATGTTTGTGGGCACCATCTAAGGAAGAGATGAGGTCACAACAGAACACACTTGCCTGCCGGGTTCAATGGAACTCTTGCTAACTCTGTGTGTTTCCCATGACATTCATTCGCCCTCTCTTCCTTCGGAACAGAATAGCCTCATTCCAACACAGCAGCCCGGGTCTAAGGCTCCATTCCCTGGGCTCCCTCACAGCTGCGTGGGGCAGGAGGCACAGTGGCCAGGGTTTGCAAGTCCAAGTGCAGTGGGTGACCTTGGGGATATCTGCCTAGAGGAAGGTGGCCTTCAGTACCCCCTGACTTCTCCTGCTGGCTGAGAGGATGGGGTGGTAAGGCACGAGCAGCCATTGTGGGCAGCAGGTGGCACATGCCGCCCTTTCTCTGCACCTGGTACTTCACCAACCTGCGCCGACATGTCAATCAGCCTTGGGAGTGACAATCTGCTCCCTTCATCTGTCTTCAGGAAATCCAGCAGGCATCCTAAGAAAAGAGAAGTTGCAAGTGCCCTTCTGCAAAGTGACCCGCCCCTGGTGGTGCCAGCCTCTCTCTGGTGTGAGTGGCTCCCCATGGGCGCGGGAAGTGGGAGTTTGCACCCTCAGATCTCTCGGTGCATCAGGAAGGATCTACCTACTGCTGCCGAGTGCCTTCCACTTTACAAAATGCCAGTCTCAGCACCCCGGGAGGCAGCCAATATACCAGCAGTTGCCCAGAAGTTAGGTTTCAGCCAGGTGCAGGGACCTGTCTGAAGTCACCCAGCCGGGAGCTGGGAGTGGGACCCCAGTTCTGACTCGAAGTTTCATGCCCCTTCTTGTCTTTCCCCCCGTGTTGGCCTCGCTCCCTTGATCCCTGCTGGCAGACACCCTCTGCCTCTGAGGACCAGGCATCAGCAAGAAAGCACCAGAATGGAGAGAACTGTCCCCCAGGTTTGGTGCAGGGGACAAATGCAGCTCCCCCTGGAATCAGAAAGCTGGGAGGGATGGATGCTTGCCCTAGGGGCAGGCTAGAGGCACCCCCAGCACAGCCTCCGACCGGGGGCCCCTTGGTGACAGTTGTTAGGGAGCTATATCAACATGGGCATGTTAGGATCCTATAGGAGCAGTGTGCGGTCAGGGTCATAGGAGGGTGAGAAAGTGGCATGAGAACTTGGCCACGCCGTGGACCTCAGAGGCCATCAAGCCCAACCTCTCTGGCCATCCTTGTAAAATATTCACACAGTTGTAAATGGTTGCATGACCAGGAGGCAGGAGACCTGGATCTAGTACTGTCCCTGCATGCCTGGCCTGGTGTTCGTCTGACTTTGCAATGCTCTGTCCCTCCCAGCAGGCATCAAAGAGTGCTAGGCACAGAAGATGCACTCCAGAAATGCTGTCTGAACTGCTCCTGGGCTGAGAACATGGCTCTGTCAGAACCACTTCACCCTCCTGTTTCTCACCCTCCCTCTGTCCCTCCCCCTCCCTCCATCCCTCCCTGTCCCCACACCGTGCCATGCCCTAGATCTGCAGGACCCCCTGGCCTGGTGAACCCACCGCAGCGGACCCTCCTCCTCCTGCTAAGCCCGGCCCTCCCGCCTCGCTCTGAGGATGCGGCTCTGCGGGGGGCACCACCTCTGGCCATGTACTCGGTGACAATGTAGATGGGCTCCTTGGTGACCACTGCGTAGAGTCGGACCAGCCGCTCGTGCTGCAGAGCCTTCATCACGTTGGCCTCACCCAGAAAGGCTTCTGGAGACATGGTTCCCTCCTTCAGCGTCTTAATGGCCACCTTCATGTTGTTTTTGTAGTAACCTGAGCCCGGGGGAGTGAAGAAGCCAATCAGAAGACAGAGAGCTTGCTCGGAGGTGATCCCTTAACCAAAATCGGGGTAAGTGCCCAGGTGCCACCCCATTCCAGGTGCCAGAGCTGGAACATGCAGTTCCGGAGGCCATGGTTGTGTGGTGCCTACCTTGCGTTCCAGGTCCCTTCTATATGGGGCCTCAGGCAGTGGAGGAATGTACCCTGCCTGGGGGGCATTTCACCTATTTGCCCCACACCCTGGGCCTGTGTCCTTCTGTCCTGCACGGAACCTGTGTCCTTCCCCCACCCCTCCCCTACATAATGAGTCTCTTCTATCACACAATAACTCCTTGGTGGAAATAAGCACACAGCCTGGGGTACACTGGGCAGGAGGATGACGCATGGGGGTCTCCTTCCCTCCTTCTGAAGCCCCATGGCGATCCTGTCCCACTCCTTAAACTATCTGTATCTCCACACTCTCCCTGTACTCCATGAAGTCCCCTGAAGGGCAAAAGACAACTCTACTTGCTTTTCTAGAGGACATGGGCCTTGGCAGGGACCTGGGTACAGCTCCTGCCAAAAGCACCGTGGGCATCAGCCCCAGGTAAGGGAGCACTCATGGACCAGCCCCAGGTAAGGGAGGACTCATGGACCAATCCAGGGATAAAACGGAACACGAGTTTTATATCCTGGTGGGCGGGGGGGGGAAGGGGGCAGGTGTCAGCAGCGATGGAAATGTGAGGACACCAGGCCTGGAGCTTCAGTGACTTGGCCAAAGTCCCACGGCTGCCCTCGGTGTGCACTCAGGCTCTGGAACATCATGGCTCATCACGTTTAACCTCCTGTTTCCATCTGGGTGATGAAAAGCTAAGGGGAGTTAACGCGCCGCTGCAGCTCATTGTCAAAGCCAGCTTCAGGCAGAGAACGAAGGAGGGAGCGACTTCGGGGCTGGGTGAGCTGGATTCTGTTCCTGCTCTGCCACCACCATAAGCGGTCCCAGCTGTTACAACGCGGCTCTGCACCTCCACTTCCTCCTCTGTAAAATGAGTGTCCTCGCCTCTGTCCTCGCTCCCTCTCAAGACTTCTGGGGGAGGGATGACACGCTATGAAAATGCTGAACCTGGACTCAGGATGCGGCGCAGGTGGAATGGGGGGAGAAATGCTCCCACGTGTGCACACACTCACCCATCCAGACTTCGCCGAATTGTCCAGACCCGAGTTTCCTGACCAGCCTGAGAGACTGCCGGGGGATCTCCCATTCATCCTGGGCCCAGGGATTCTGCGGGGCCGGGCGCACACAGGGCAGGGTCAGCCTCTGGCATAGACCATCCCCCTTCTCTGCATTAGGGAAGAAAAGACAGGGCTGGGGGTTACCAGAGCAGCCAGGCTCTACCTTGGGAGCTGTATCATTCCTAGCTGGCCCTCCACTCCCCAGCCACCCCACCCCCTGCATGGGTGTGTGCACACGCCTGCACATGCACACACACTCAACTCTTTCTCTTCGTTTGCGCAAAGCAGGGCATGCTATCTCTAAAATCGACCTGCTCACTCTAAGACTGAAAATGCTTGCTACTCTCTAAGGGGTTCCCTGCTGAGCCAGGAGAGGGAATTAGGGCCACCAATTCCCGGTGCTCAGAGTTGCTACCTCCTTAGGCCTAACTTTGGGATAATCTTTCCATCCCCCAAGGTGGCACCAATGACTCACACAATTGGGAATCTTAGCGAGAGATCCAGGGGCTCTTGGCACAAGTCCCTGCCCCCATTGCACGCCCCCTCTTACTAGAATAGTGCTGCACCAGGGCCTGGAGCGAGGGGAAGGTGATCCGGGGGGAGATGTAGTAGCCCCCTTCATCCAGGCAGCGGATCTTATAGTGCTTGATCAGCTCCCCCTGGGTGGTGACATCCTTCACAGACAGGGAGAAGGCACCTGGAGGGTTCATGAAGACACACACGAGAAGTAAGGCACAAAGACAAAAAACGGGACTGGGATTTGGGCCTCATTTTAAAGCTTTGAAAAAAGTTCCCCAATTCTGTTCTTCATTATCAGCACTCCCTCCACAAGTTTCCTTTCCCTGCATCTCAACCTCCATGCTTTTGGAAGCCTCCCCTGTAAGTTCCATCTGACTCTGACCTTGGCATCCCCCCACTATCCTGCAAAACTCAGCCAGGGAATCACAGAGCCCTGCGGCAGGCAGCACAGTTTCTCAGCAATCATGTAGGTCCCCACTTGGGCATCTGGTCACTCGGGGACCCTTTGTCATGGACTATTGAGAAATCTAGTCTCGTTGGAGTGACTAGGGGCTTTATTTTCTGGCTAAAGAGGGTATCTCTTACTCCTACAAGCAGATAGCCATTCACAGCTGCAAGTACCCATGTCCATGGCGGACACCGTAATAAGCTATGCCCAGGGGCTCTGTTCAAAGTCATTTGCTGCCTGTTACATACACCTGTTATTTTGTCTTCTAGGTTAATGTTTTCCCGCAGGCAAGTGGTAGCAGATGTCAAGGGTTAAGGACAATTTAGGAGGTAAGAATTTCCAGGTAAGAAACGCTTTTCCATGAACTTGATGTTTTTATAAAATGCGTCTGTCCAGCTACTTGGGTACCATGACCTTACCCCGCCCCTTACCCATTATTTGGGAGATGAGGACGCTGGGGCCCAGCAGAGTTCGCGGCAGGCTGGGGGGCTCCCGGTTCCCCGAGTCCGCGCCTACCTCGAGCAGTACCACGCCTCCCCGCCAGGGGTCAGGCACGGACCCCTCGTTCTCGTTGTGGACGCTTGGTTTTCCGCGGTCCTGTTTGACTTAAGGCTCTTTCCTCTCCTGTCAGTTCCCCTGCCTCAACCCCCTTCCATCCTCCAGTTTCCCTCAGCCAATGTGCCTCTCTCATCACCTACTTGCAAAAGGACACCCAGAGGCGTACGCCATGCTGTTGCCACAGCCCCTCCACACCCCCACCCCAGCCTCAGCCCAGAGGCTGCAAACTGTCTCCCCGACCCTGCCCGGGTGCAGCTGTGCCCCCAGTCTCTAAGGAACCCGAGCCTGGCCTTAGGGAGTTCATTCATCAAGGGCTTTTCTCTCCATTTTGTAGGCTGCACTTGTGTCGGGTGCCTCGGGCGATGAGCCCAGGAGCCCGCTCTCCACGCAGTGACGCTTCCCAAGCTGGTGCTTTAGACCCCTCACTTGCCTGGCTGCTCTGAGGCCCCGTCCCTGATGGCTTCTGACAATTTGGTGTCCTTTGTAAAGACGACCTCAGATCCTATCAGCTTCAGTTTCACAAAACCTGGATCCCCTGCCTCTGTGGTATGTCTGGACTGCCCTGGGCAGGCAGGGCCTGGCTCTGAGATGAAGATTTCTCAGCACTGAAGGACCGCCTGCCTTTGAGCTGTGAAACTAGTCTATCCTCACATAGACACCAGTAAACTGAGGCTTGAGAGGCTCAAGGACACCCCGGAGGCCACGAAGGGTAGAACTCACTCCCCTGCTTCCATCCCTGTCTTGCATTCACTGCTGTGGCTCGGAGAAGCAGAGGGGTCTTGCTTTGGAGTTGTGTGTGTGTGTGCATATGTACGTGTAAGGTGTGTACATGTGTTGCACACGTGTTCATTGCATCTGTGCATATGTGCACATGTATATGTGTGCGTGTGTGTGTATATGTGCATGCGTGGACATGTGTATGTGTTTGCATGTGTATGTGTGCACACATGCCTGTGTATGCACATGTGTGTATATGTGTGCATTTGTGCATATGTGCATGTGTGTTCATGTGTGCATGTGTATGTGCGTGTGGTGGTGATGATGGTTGAACAGTCCTGCAGCCCTGGTCCCATATGGCCTATTCCCAGCTTGGACTGGCTTCCTGGGGTGGACATGGACAGGAAAAGATGCCAGACTCATAGAGAACCCCTTCTTCCTCCACACCAGATTGGGCAGGGGGTGGGGAGGCTTTCACCTTAGCAATAGGCAATGGTTGAAATATCATTTCCAGGGTGACATGACATGATGTTTGGGATTTACTTCGAAAGAACAGGGGTGGAGCGGGAGATACAGATGAAACAAGACTGGCTCAGTTGATAATTGTTGAAGCTGGCTGTTGGGTACCAGGGGTTCCACTAAACTATTTTCTCTACTTCTGTGTATGTTTGAAATGTCCTGGAACAACAATAAAACACTTATGTCATCTCCAGTGATTCCCAAATTATTTCTTGTACAGAGGTGCTCTGCCACAAAAATGAAATAGTGACAATATCCAATATGAATATAAATATAAAATGCATATATCTATGTGTATGTATATGTATGTATATGCATTCATTGGCATATTCCAAGAAATCCTGCACAGAGCACCCCAGCTTTCCAATGCACCCTTCCTGCTCCCCAACCTGGTCCTGCCCCTTTGTGGGGCACCAAGGCCTCATGATGTCCCCAGAGAATCACAGGGTGCTATGACAGCTTTTCATACTCTGGGTTTCCACTCTGGCTGCTGTTCTTGAGCCACAGATGGAACCAATGGACAGCCCAAGGGTGCTCCCACCAGGTGACAACTCTGTCCATTCTCATCGCCCCAACCACAGGGAACCAGACTCATATTCCAGACACTCTCTCTCCCTTTCCTCCTCTGATGTCACTGTCACCATCTCCTCTCCAGTTAAAATTGGCTACAAGGCTGTACCTGGTCCCTGTGGACAGCTTCCTGATGAGCAAAGCATTCTTCATACTGCCTGGGAAGCCCCTGGGTCACCCTAGCTTGCCACGTTGTAGAGCTTGGGAAGCCTCTCAGCCTCTTAGATGATGTGGTCACTGGTGCTTTGGGCTCTGATGCTTACTGTTGGCCCCCAGCAAGTCACTTCCTGTTTCAGGGACTCCCTTTCCTCATCTGTCAAGTGGATTAGTATCTTACAGACGAAAAGCTAGTGGCCAGTGAGCACCAGGGACCATAATAGGGTTCGGTGCAACACATGCATTAACAGCCCCAAACTGGAAACAACTCAATGCCCACAACATGAGAATGGCTAACTTGACTCTGGAATGGTCACACCCGGGATTCTGTATAGCAATGAACATGAACAGGCTCACCATCCTCAACCACATGAATGAATCTGTTACTGGTTGAATCATGTGCGCTCCCAATTCATATGTTAAAGTCCTAACCCTCGGTCCTGAGAATGTGGCTATATGTGGAGACAGAGCCTTTAAAGGGGTGATTAAGTTAAAATGAGGTCATATGGGTGGGCCCTAATCCAAATTGACAGGTGTCCTTACAAGAAGAGATTAGGACACAGACATGCATGGAGGGACGGCCACGTGAGGACACAGAGAAGACGGCCATCGGCAAGCCAAGGAGAGAGCTCCCGGGAGGAGCCAACGCTGCTGACACTTTGGTCGTGGACTTCCAGCCTCCAGAGCTGTGAGATAATAAGCTTCTGTGGTGGAAGCCACCCAGTCTGTGCCACTTTGTTACGGCAGCCCAGGAAACTAACATAGAATCCCACAAACACTGCTGAGTGACAGAAGCAAGACACACAGAAACAAAAACAGTGATTCTATCTACATCAAGCTGAAAAAACAGACAAGACATGGTGGCGAAACCACAGAGAAGAGCAAGGAAGGATTTCCATCCAAGTCAGGACAGCAGGTAGCTCTTGAGGGTGGGGGTTGAATCAGGAAGGAGCCCAAGTGGGGGAGTGAGGGGGCTCCTGGTGGTCTGGGATGCTCTTTCTCTTGGCTGTCATTACACAGGGATTTGTTTATTATTACCCTATATGATTTAGAATTACACATTCATACTTCATGCAAGCTTTATATGTGTTTTATATTTTACACCAAAAAAATTAAGAAGGAAAGAAAGCCAAATGACAGAGAAAGAGAGAAAACCCCTGAGGGTGATGGCAGCTGTTTTGCTCAGTCAGTGGATTTGAACTCATGAGTGTCTAGACTGGCATGGGCTCCCCTCAATTACCACCCTCTTCTCTTACATCACGGCACAGGCCACTTCCTAACATATGCTACCTGCAGCCTCTGGCTGAGATGATCTTGAAGGATTCTTTGAGCTCCCCCTAATCCTTGATTCCAAAGAGGCTGGTGGTTAAGGGCTCAGGGTTCCCCCTTCCCTGGCCCCCACTGGCCTCGGTGTTCCTGCTGACTGGGCAGCAGGGCCAGTCTGGCGTGGGACCACCCCTGTCCACCCGGCTTCCTGTGCCCAGGTGGTTTCCAGCCGGGACAGGGAGGACTGTGTGGACAGCCCCCATGTCAACTCCCGGGCAGGGCCTGAATTGGGAGGGACACAAGCCCGGAAGCTGCTGGTTCTCCTGGCAGTCACCCCTTCCCCTCTCACTCCAGGGCCAGGCCTCTGGAGGCGCCTTCCCGGGAGGAGCAGGGCAAGGAAGGCAGGCAAAGCCACCAAGCCTACCTTTGTTGGTTTCACTCTCTCTGATAAGAAAGGAGCCGGCCTTGTTGATTGGAGCAAGAAGCTGCCTCTCAGCCTCCTTCCGACCCTGTGATCTAAAGAACCACCTGGAAAACGGCAGGAACAGGTGAAACTCAGAGCGACCCTGCTCCTCGGAGTATTCCCACACAGCCTCCCTCCTGCACTGCCTGTCCCCAAGAAATAAAAATCTAGCATTTCTGGTCCCAGTCGGCCCTGAGCTGCTGCTCCTCACACCGTGATGGAGTCAGTGCCCTCTGCCCCGCTGCCCTTCCAGTTCCGCTTCCTGTCAGCCCTGGACTCACTGTTTTCCTAGAACGAAACAAGAACACTAGTTGGTTGACCTTTGTTAATTTTGCTTTGGAAAAATGCCCCTGATCACTCTCTCCAAAGCACAGCTGCGTATCACAGGCACGTGCCTCCTCCTTGCAGTCTGAGATCTGAATTAGGCAAACTGCCGAGACTCTCTGAGCAGGGACCCCAGTATGTCCCCTTCGGTATGGGGTTGTTCTGTGCAGGACAGCCCCACGGTTCCCCACACTGTTCCAGGGAAAGAAGCGGGGCCCACAGTGTCCAGAGAAGACTCGTTGCTGGGCCTCAGTCCTCAGGCAGAGCTAGTCCCTGTGAGCAGATTCGTGGGGGCTCTGGCTGGCCGAGTCCGAAATTCCCAGTGCCATGGGGACATGGGAGAAGATGGGGGCTGGGGGATTAGAAGATTGGGAGTATTAATCAGTTCTGAACAACGCCACCCTCCTGGGAGCCCCCGAGGGCTGAGCCCTGAGTCCTGCCCATGGAGGCTGTAGGGGAGGGGATGCTGGTCATAGTGCCTCCCTGGTAGCCTTCGAGGCCATCAGACACTGGGGCCGGTTCCATCCAGGGGAGCCAGGAGAAGGACCGCTCTTGTTTAGCTGGGAAGAGCGGCTTGCTCAGTGTCACACAGCAGTCTGAATGTCGTCTGGAGCCAGCAGAGAGGCCTTTCCCAGCAGAGCTCATTTCCTGTCCCCTCTTTGCTAGTGCCTGCAGGCTCCCTGGTCAGTCCCACTCTGGCCCTGCCCTGCCTAACAGCCCAGGGAGCAGAAACAGTGACTGCATCTTGGCTCGAGGGGGGTTCCCGTGCCCACCTACCTTTCCATTTCCAGGCTCTCCACTCGGGCCACAAAGTTACTGGGCACATAGCCTTCTCTTCCTGTGACGAGTGACCTGGCCAGCCACCAGTCTCCAGTTCTAATGGGAGCAGGGGAAACAGAGATGAGATCATGGCCCCTGTAGGCCCGTCACTGGGCAGCTCTCAGGCCTCCTCAAAGTCATCTCTCCCTGGAGGGCAGAGAATCCGCAGGGGTAGAGAGTACGGCAGGCAGGAAGGGGCTTGTGCCCACTGCTCAGTGGTACAGTGGCTATCCGGGCAAGTTCTAGGGGGAAGAGCTTATCTACACAGCCTGACCAGCCAAGAGGGCACAAGGATCCAGCCAGCAGCCTTCCTCTTGATGAATGGGACGTGTTCAGAGCTTGGTGAGGGACTGGGGACAGGCTTGAGAAAAACACGGTTGGCGTGGACTGTATAGAATCAGCAGTCAGGACCTTCGTGAGCTTGGCTCAGGGCCTTTGGAGAACTTCAAGAACCAAATCAGACCCTCAGAGCTCCACAGGACAAGCCTGGCCACTGAGAGAGAGCTGACCTAGAAGGAGTTTCTGAGAAGGACATGGGAAATGAGCTAAAGCGGGATTGGTGTGTGTCATCAGTGTGGGCTCCTGTCTTGAAAAGGAGACAAATATGGACACAACTGGCTTAAATGCAAGGCTTTCACGGAACAGCCAGACCAGCCTGCATAAAGGACAAGGTCCACATGCCCAAAAGAGTCAGGAGGGCTGCATGGAGGCGGTGGCATGGAACGTGGACTTTGAAGGATGAGCAGGAGGTTGTGAATGGAAATTACTTCACCGGAAAGATTTTGGAGAGGAAGACAAAAGGGCCAAGTTCAAGAAAATGCTGGGGCCAGGGCTGGGGGCAGGGCGATGGAGAAGACTTCCAGGGTCAGCCATGGAGGATGTGGTGGGTGGAGAAAGGAGAGATGTGGGGGAGGGGGGTCCTGCAGGGACAGGGGATGGTGTCCTGGAACCTCACCCCTTCAGGACCTGTAGCTTCTCCCCCTTCAGCATCTGCAGGTCCCGATCATTCATAGCGGTGTAGTCATACAGAGCCACCACGAAATGCTTGTCTAAAATGAACAAGGGAGAGATGACCACCACTCAGGCCCACAAGCGGGAAGGTGGGGCTGGGGTGAGCCTGGCTACCAAGGAGGACAGGCTTCTGCTTGCCCACGATGGAAATGATGTTCTCACCCAGCACAGGCCCCCACCCCCAGCCCTGTGACCCCACCAGGGATGGGCTGCCCCCCAGAGCCCATCCTGTCCTCCGTTGTGGACCCACTAAGAAGCCCTATGACCTGGACAAGGCGTGTGTGAGGAAGCTGATGGCCAGAGGTCAGCCACAGGGAGGCAGCCACTGCCGGGCTGCTGGTGGCCTCAGGCCCACATTCGGACATAGTGCTGGGAGCCCTCATCTTCTTATTCTACACCTGCCCTCGGAGGCCCATAAGCCTCCTCTTATCCTTTTCCTCCTCTGCCCCGCCTGCCTCTATCCCCAGTAGGGGTGGTCTTGCCACGTGGCAGCTGGAGCCCTGGCCTCTCCACTGTCTGTGCCCAGAGCCCCAGCCACACTGTCTATGGCTGCCAGTGACCCTGCCGGGCCCCCCACCTTGCTGGCGGGCCCTGGATGGAAGGCAGGAAGAGGGCTCAGGAGCTTGGAGCACCATCTTCAAGTGAGCCCTGCTGTGACGCAGGCTCTCTGCACAGCTCTGGGAGCCACAGGACCCACCTGATGAAGGTCACCTGGAGAGCACTTAGCTTCCCCGGGTGGGGTGGCTCCGCTCTGTCACTGAGCTGAGTGTTGTGACCTCGGGCTGGTCACCTCTTCTCAGCAGGAAAGCGAGGGTCAGAATGGGTGACAGTGGTTCCCTGAAGTTTTAAGATTCAGGTTCTGCTCACAAGTGTGACAGATTCTGAGCTTTTCCAGGGAAGGGGTCGCATCTACCTGTTGTCACCCCTTCGCCATTCCTGGGACAGAGCTGGGCTCTGTGTGCTGAATGCCCAGTACACATCATATGAGCAGGTTAATGGGTGGGGCCCGGCTGGCCGAGGCATCCCTTCCCCATGCTGTGTGGACATGGATGATGAGGAGGCTGCGGGAAGTCACTTTGAAGGAGGCCACCCTCTTGGGAGTCCCCAGGGGTGGAGCCTCTGGCCCAGAAAGGCTGAGCTCATTCCCTACAGTACCCAGCAGGCCAGCCCACCAGAGCAGAAGTGGAGTCTAGGGGCCACGCACAGTGGCTCACGCCTGTAATCCCAGCACTTTGAGAGGCTGAGGCGGGCAGATCACCTGAGGTCAGGAGTTTAAGACCAATCTGGCCAACATGGTGAAACCCCCTCACTAGTAAAAACATAAAAATTAGCCCGGTGTGGTTGTGTGCACCTGTAATCCCAGCTACTTGGGAGGCTGAGGCAGGAGAATCTCTTGAACCCGGGAGGTGGAGGTTGCAGTGAGCTGAGGTTGGGTCACTGCACTGCAGCCTGGGTGACAAGAGCGAGACTCTGTCTCAAAAAAAACCAAGTGGAGTCTGGGGACCAGGTAGGGGCGTGGGTGGTTAGGTGGTCAGCAGCGGGACTCTCGAAGTGACTGGGAGCGGGAAACAAGAAGGTGCCCTCCACATAGAGCGGACAGGGGCTGGAGGCAAGGGCCTGGAGCCACTGGCCCAGCCCTTTGCGTTTGAGAGTTAGCATATTTTAAAACTTGGGTTTGATGATGCTGTGTGTCTTCCCTGGGACTCTTGTTTTTGTTCTTGTTTACAGTTTGTAAAGTCTTTCATGTTTTAAAAGTCCCACCCAGGCTCAGGCATACTGAAGAAACTTGTTCTTGGTTCCTGAAGAGACGCCCCAAGAGGCACAGAGCCGGGGCCTCTCTCAGCTTCCCCGTTTTCTCTTCTCCAGCCCTCAAGCTGCTCCTGACTCAACCTTTTTCCAACTCCACAAAGCTGCCACCTAGGGGAGAGGGCTGTGGAGCCTCAGCTTCCCAAACCACCCTTCTTACCTTCATCCAGGTGTTCATCGGGCGGTGGAGGAGTAAGGTGGTTGAAGACAACCTTGGGTAGAAAACACACACTTGAGTTATTTCAGTCCCTGCTGCGTGGGTGGGGCCTGGGGGTTGAGACTGCTGAGCCGGGCAGCCAGGGTATCTCCAGGGACCTACTGAAGGAGGAGAGGCAGCTGCCTGTGGGGGCTGCTCAGGGACATTCTGTACCCAGGGACCAGCACTACCCTCAGACAGACCCCCGCCCTCTGCTGCCTTTGCCCTGACCGCGCTGGGGGATGCCCCAATGTGGATATGAGACAGCTGTGGACAATGAGGGAAAGCCCAACCACTTGGGCTTAACATCCTGGCTCTACCATTACAAGATCAAACTGCAAACGGGTATTTGTTGACAAGAAAAAATATTTAAAAAGCATATTTCCCCAAAACTCGACAAACATATTTGTAGGTATATATCCTGTAGAGAAACTTCTGTGTATGTGTACAAGAGTGTACAAGGGAATGTGTACAAGAGGGCTCCTAGCAAAAATCATAATACATAAACAATTTTTTTTTGAGATGGAGTCTCGCTCTGTTGCCCAGGCTGGAGTGCAGTGGCGTAATCTCGGATCACTGCAACCTCCGCCTCCTCAGTTCAAGCAATTCTCGTGCCTCAGCCTCCCAAGTAGCTGAGATTACAGGTGCCCGCCATCACGCCCAGCTAATTTTTGTATTTTTAGTAGATACAGGTTTTCGCCATGTTGGCCAGGCTGATCTTGAACTCCTGGCCTCAAGTGATCCTCCCACCTCGGCCTCCCAAAGTGCTGGGATTACAGGCGTGAGCCATCATGCCCGACCGATACATAAACAATTTTAAAACGTGGAACTAACCCTCATGACAGAAGAATAAACAAATTACAGTATACTCAGGCAATAAAATTAATGAGCAACAGCCACGTGCATCAACGTCGATATGTTTCACATGCGTAACACGGAGCCACAACCCCAGTCTCAGAAGCATATGCGCTGTTTGATGTAGTTGATTTAAAGTTTACAACATGAATAATGAAACTAAATATCGTTTAGGGGTAATACATATGTGATAATATTAAAAAGCAAAGCTAAGGAATGATAAACAGATTCTGGGTATTGGGGCCTGGGGTGAAGGGTACAAACAGGGGAGGGAGGAGGGAGATTCAAAGGAACGAGTCTCTTTCTTGTCTGAAGTTGGGAGGTGGCTATACAAGTGTGCGTTTTGGTGTATTCTTTCAACCTGACATATGTTACAAATATTCTTTTCTTAATTCCATATTTATTGAACACAATTTTGAAGTAGCATTTTGCAAAATGATGTGCATGTATGTTTCTCTTAAAAATAGGAACACATGAAATGAACACACGGAAGAAGGGTCTCGAGGCAACTCTGGTGACTCTACATAGTGGAATAATGAGTAATTATAATTTTTTCCATATACATATTATGTGACTCTTTTAAGTGAAAAAAATTCCAGGTGCTACTACTTATTATCATATAATTTTGGGGAAATTACTCAATCAGTCTAAGTCCAAGTTTCCCCATTTGATCAATTATTTATTCAATAAACATCTTGTGGTTGTGCGCTGAGACTGGCGCTAAACTGGGACACAGATAGGTAAGATGCCTGGGTTCATCTAGGAAGTGGGATTAGTAATCCCCGTCTCCCCATCAGGTCCCTGTTAGGATAAAGAGATGACCACGTGGACATGTGGACAGCACAGGAGAGGGGGTCGCGGCAAGGCTCCCAACTGCCCCAAACCAAAAGGGGGTCACTGGTCAGGGAGTGGAGAGAGCACAAAGAATCATCTAAAAATGTATCTTCAGGCCCGGCACGGATGCTCAAACCTGTAATCCCACCACTTTGGGAGGCCAAGGCAGGTGGATCACCTGAGGTCAGGAGTTCAAGACCAATCTAGCCAACATGGTGAAACTCTGTCTCTACTAAAAATGTAAAAATTAGCCAGGTGTGGTGGCATGTGTGCCTGTGATTCCAGCTACTCAGAAGGCTGAGGTACGAGAATCACTTGAATCCAGGAGGCAGAGGTTGCAGTGAGCCAAGGTCCCACCACTGCACTCCAGCCTGGGCAGCAGAGCGAGACTCTGTCTCAAAAAAAAAAAAAAATGCATCTTCAGACATGCTGTAGCCATCAAAAGGAGCTAAGTGTTTTATAAACAAATCAAACTGCATGACTAGGAAAATGCATTCCCCAGCAATAAGACCTTTTCACTTGAAATTTCACTTTTTTTTTCCTTTGGAAAGTTTTCCTCATTTAAAATGCCCATGGGATTCCAGGAAAACTTAAGAGCCTGCTCGGGAGGTGAGGACAGGCACCCTCCTGTTTCATGATGCTTATCCCAGGAAAGCAGGCTCTTTGGAATGCCAGCAGCAATGCCACATAGGGGACAAGGGTCTCCAGGAGCTGCTGGGGAGAAGAGAGGTAGTAGCTGCAGCTAGATACCCGGATCCTTCCTTACGACACCCTCTCCCCAAGCTGACCTTTTTACATTTCTTTTTCTTTTCAAGGCTGCCCTCGAGAAATGAGCTCTGGCTAAGAATTATTGGGAGCTAACCAGGCCGGGTCCTGTGCGTGTTATATTGCATGGCACACCTGCTTATACATTGCAGATCGTTACATCCCTATCAGGAAGGCACTTTTGCTATACCCATTTTACAAACTTGGACATTAAGGCATAGGAGAAGTAAGTAATCTGCTCTTGGTGGGGGTGGGCAATCACTCACCAGGGGCGGCAGTGGCGGGGCGTCCTTGTCTTGGGCGCTGACCTTCAGGGGGCTCCATTGGCCCTTGTCCTTCTCTTTGATCGGCTTTTCCTTGTCCGGCTTTTTGCTACTTACCAGCCCCATCCTGTCGGAGACACACAGCAGACAGAGGACATGAGAGAGCGGGGCCTCAGATCCTCTGCACAGAGGGGATCCCTGGCCCCTTCCGGGAGGCTGGTTAGAAAGGTGGGGTGGAAGTGGGTGCAGCAAAGACCTCAAAGTCAGAACGTGGGTAGAAGCGGGTGGGTGAGCTAAATGGGTGTCCATCTTTTTTCGGGGGCCCATACAGCAGAAAGCACTGCATTTAGGACACAGAAATCCTCTGGCTGGAGATAACCGCTGGAAACCACTGGGGTGGATCCAGGTCCTCAGGTGACAGGAGCCTGAGCGGGAGGCCACGTGGTGTTCTAGAAAGAGCCCACCAATGTGTCTGGGGCTCTGGGTTTAGTTTTCATTTTGTCTCTGGCTGTGTCACTTGGGAAAGTGACATTTTCTCTCCGACCCATTAGCTCTTTGGTAAACAGCAGGGGCTTTGTTAGAAGATGACTAACGTTCTCTCCCTCTCAGATTTTTGGGTGAGACACTATATACATTTAGGACAGATTGATAGCACAGGCATCGAGGCCTAGCTGTGGCCTCACAGTAATATCAGGGGTCTCCTTAAAGGGGGGAAGATGTGGTCAGGTTTTTTTCTTTGGTAAAGAATTTTAGGATGGCAGATGTGGGACAGGCCCTTTTGACACCATCAACACCACCATGTTGTCACCATCCTCATTCCAGGGGCTGCTATTTATATGTTAAGGAGTTTGCTCAGGGTCAAACAACTGGCCCGTGAGAGCCAGCTCTGGAGTCCAGTCTGACCTGAGACCACTGCACTCCTGCACTTACATCGGGCTCTTCCTTGAGATGCAGACATCATAGAGAGGAAGCACCCAAGTCCCCACGCGTGTCAGAAGGGCGTGTTGTTAGTGGTGATTTCCTTTGGATGTACACACCATATTTCATCAATTCTAAGATGGACCTTTTTTCACTTTTCAATATCTCTGAACTGGGAGGTGTCTCACAATGGAGGATGCTTTGCAGTATAACTAGTAGCAGCATTTTTTTTCTCTTTTAGTGATACATAATTAAATGCTAGCCTTCCTATCAGTGGCGTCTTCGATTAAGTGAAACACAGTCATGCATTTCTTCCAGAGAGCTGAAAGCACATTCCTCATGTCATTGCTCCTCAAACCCACCTTGAAAAAGAAAACACTATAACAAATTTCGATATAGGACAGCAAGCCACAGAAGCGAAAAATTCACAAGTATGTTTTTTCAAGTATGCCTTACATACAGAACACATAATAATTCACAGTTTTAAAGACCAACACTTTTTATATCTAAGTATTTCTTTATGTGAGCTCAGATCAGCTTTACCACTAAGTGAATTATAGTGCCAGGGTTACAAGTATCACTTCAGTTTTCAGAGATTTAGGGTTTCAGAAGTTTGGATAAGAGATTATGGGTTTGGCTGGGCACGGTGGCTCACACCTGTAATCCCAGCACTTTGGAAGGCCGAGGCGGGCAGATCCCTTGAGGTCAGGAGTTCGAGACCAGCCTGGCTAACACAGTGAATCTCCATCTCTAGTAAAAATACAAAAATTAGCCAGGTGTGGTGGTGCAGGCCTGTAATCCCAGCTACTCAGGAGGCTGAGGCAAAAGAATCACTTGAACCCAGGAGGCGGAGGTTGTAGTGAGCCAAGATCATGCCATTGCACTCCAGCCTGGGCAACAGAGTGAGACTCCATCTCGAAAAAAAAAAAAAAGAGAGAGAGACGATGGGTTTGTATTGCGGCTGGCTACTGAATTTTAGCAGGTGCCTATACAATATCGATCAATATGATGTATGTTCACCTTTAATTTGTCAATGTAATAAATTATGTTGGTAAATTTTCTGTTATTGAAACATCTGTACATTCCTGGAAAAATACTATTTGATTACAGCATATTAGTCTATTTGGCACATGGATGGATTCTTATTTGCTAATTATTTTGTTTTGAGACAGTGTCTCACTCTGTTGCCTACGCTGGAGTCCCACGACCTAATCTTGGCTCACTGCAACCTCTGCCTCCCAAGGCTAAGGTGATCCTCCCACCTCAGCCTCTCGAGTAGCTGGGATGACAGGCATGTGCTACCATGCCCTACTAAATTTTTTATTTTTTGGTAGAGACAGGGTTTTGCCATGTCATGCAGGCTGGTCTCAAACTCCAGAGCTCAAGTGACCTGCCCATCTCAGCCTCCCAAAGTACTGGGATTGCAGGTGTCAGCCATCACACTCGGCCCTATTTGCTAATATTTTATTTAGAATGAGAATCTGTATTCCCAAGGGAGATTTGTCTATGAGGCATTAGCATTAAGGTGCGCTGGCTTTGTAACAGATATTGAGGAGCTCTCTTTTTTTTTTTTTTCTATCTTCTTGAGTGGTTTCATAACAGTGGGGTTATCTGTTCCTCACAGGCTAAATAGAACTCAGTTGTGAAGCCATCTGTGTCTGGGGCCCTTTCAAATAGTAAATCTTTAAAGACATTTCCAATTTCTTCTATAGGAATGATCTATTCCCATTTTTTCTCCTCTTTGTGCCATTTTGATGATTTATATGGTTTATAGATCTTTAATTTCATCTACATTTTCCAATCTGTTGCCATAGTTTTATGTAGCATTGTCTTGTAATTATTATACTCTGTTCTCTTTTTTGATTGTGATGTTTTTCTTGTTCCTAATATAAATGGAATGTTCTTTTAATTAAAATTATAATTTGTAATTGCATAAAATCATCTGAAGCTTTACATGACTAAATTAAGTCTTAACCTAGCTTTATAATTATGAAATAGAAGATTGTAATCAAAACCGCATGAAATTGGAATAATAAAAGTAGACAACAATCATCAGAGCAGAATAAAAAACATACAAACAGATTTTGGTAAATACAGGAATCGCGTATGTGAAAAAGATAGCATTTTAATTCAGTAGAAAGTGGATAGTTTATTTTAATAAATGGTATTAGGAAAATGACTATTTACCTTAAGGAAAATACAATTGAACCCCTACCTCACATGATATTAAAAAATAAATTCTAGGTGTATGACTGAAAAAAATAAAAAACAAAAATGTAATTAAAAGAAATGTAAGAAACTGTGTATATAACCCAGAGTTTGGAGACAACTACTAACAAAGATAAAATACCCAGAAGCGAAGAGAGAACAAAAAAAGTACAAATTCATAAACATTAAAAATATTAGATGGTATAAGAAACTACTCATGAAGTTCGTAGATAAGCAATAGATTGGGTAAGAGATTGCAAAGCATCAGATAAATGTGTATTCATAATATATACAAAGCTCATAAACTTTTGACAGGAAGTATATTGCAGCATATAATTCATTCAATAGAAAAATGTGTAAAGATAAGAAATAGGAAGTTAGTGCAACACAAACCCAAATAGTAAAATGTTTGTTATAATTATTGTTTCATTTGTTCCTTCACGCTCCATTTCTAGGATTAATCTTCTGTGAGAGCTGGAATCTTTGTTTTATTCATTGCTGAATCCAAATTGCTAAACCAATGTCTGGCACAGAGTGTGGGCTTAATAAATATTTATTAGACAAAACATGAAATATTATTGGAAGAAGCAATCTTTTAAATTCTTTTAAAGGGCAATCTTTTAAATTCTGTTAAAATAAAAAAGCACACATACCTTTTGATTTTCAGTCCCACTCTGGACTATCTCAGGTTAATAAAACATCATTATATAGACACATGTGAGAGATGAAAATGTTTGTTGTAGTAATAGTTGGAAAAACAATCCCCTCCCCCGAAAAAAAATCCCAAACAGAAAACAACAATGTAACTGCCCAGCAATTGAAGACTTGTTGAATAAATCTACACTCTATAAATCTCTCATACAACTACTAAAAAAAATGTGCTGGATCTTCACCAGTGAGGTCAAGAGGAATTTCGGTACCATGTTGTTACACGAGAAAAGTAAGACCCAAAGAGGTGCATGAGGGAATCCCATATTTGCAAACACCAAATGAAAAGAAACCTCTATTCAGGCGTGTAGATATGTTTGCATATTACACAGAAAGAGGCTGGGGAGGATGAACACCAAGTTGTTTACTGTGGTTATTGTTAGAGGAAGGGAGAGTACAAAACAGAGGTGTGGTGTAAGGCAAAACAAAACAAAAAAAAAACCAGCGGACTTAAAAAACGGTGTGTGTGCTAATGCAAAGCAGGTCCCACCAAAGTATTTTCTAAATGGATTTTGGATTATAAGACTTCATGTGACTTTGACTTTCTTTCTTTTAATTGTATATATTTCTTAAATTCTTTAATACTAAGCATATATTATTGATACAAGCAGAAAAATAAAAGGAGGATTTGAGTGATTTGCCCAGCAACAGAGGAGCATAAGGCCTGGAGCCAGGGCCAGCCTGCAGTTCTTGACAATGACCGTTAAGTGGCCAGCCAGGGCTGCCTGAACCTCAGGCCTTTCGTGGCCTCTCTCAGCCTCCCTGACTCAACGAAGGGCCAGTGGTCAGCAGCTCCTAGTATATTCCCCAGACTTGGACTCATACTTCCGCATCTGCCCAGGTGACCAGCCCTCTTGTCTTTCTTAGTCTGGCCAGCCATATTGCCATTGACTTTAAGCTTCCTGGCAAACACCTGTGTCCACTGAGACAACATAATTGAACATTGGTTGTTCAATTTATTGAACAAAGAACCGGACAGAAAGTAAAATTCCTAAGATTAAATGACCCACTACTTACACTTCTGTCCTTTGACTCCTTAGCAGTGTGTGTGCAGATGATTTTCCATGGGTCTCATGAGTACCTCAGGTCTCTATGGGTCCCCCTACTCCAGTGGCTTTGACTGGAGACCTGGGTTCCTCAAGAGGCCATGGGACAACCAGGGCTGTCACTGGTGCTCGGGCTGCACCCAGCAGTTTCAGGTTGGGTGAAGCCAGGAAGTGCAGAAGTCCAGACAGAGGCAAAACGCATCACACACTGGCTGGGGCTCCAGATGGCTTTGCTGCATTGTGGGAAGGGTGTGAGTCTGTGTATGTTTGTGAGAGAGTGGGAGAGGAAGCATACACACTTATGTGCACTTGTGTGTGTGTGAGAGCGAGAGCATGCGTGTGAATACACATGTGTGTATGTGCTTGAATATGTGTGTGTATATATGTGTGTGTGTGTCTATGTGTGCACGTGTATATGCATGTGTGAGAGAGCATGCATGTGCACCGTGTGCATGTGTGTCTAGTCGGGGGAGTCAGCAAGAGGAGGGGAAGTGGGAAAGGGGAGTTGTTTGTTTATTTGAAACCAGCTAGGCCCTCTAATGCAGACTTTCACCAGAGCAGGGCAGTCAATGTTTGCTTTGGGAGATGCTCAAAGCCTGAAACACAGCTTCAGTCAAACAAGGGGTGTGGTGGAGGCATCAACTAAAAATAGAGAAACTAGAAACCCCTTATTTGCACTTGGCTAGCATGACATGGTTGAAAAGCACTTGACGGATAACGAGTTTTTCTTTTTTTCTAATACATGTTAGCCTTGATAAATTGGTTACAGTTATCCTCATTTTACCACTGAAGAAGGCGAGGCGAGGTGGCTTGGTAAGGTCATGCTGAAGGTGGCAGAGCTGGCAGCTGGAGGGTGTTACTGTCTCCAGGGCTGCTTGAGCCCTCTGCACAAAACAGGTGCACCTGTGGCCCTGCCTGAGGCTCTGTGTCCCTTGGAGGGGACAGTTCAGATTCCCTATCATCTCCCCTGTGGCAAAATAGTTTTGCTATTTTGTATCTGGAAGCCTTGCCATGTTATGTGCTGGAGGCTTTGCCTTTCTGATTTGACCTGCCAGACATAGGTGGGTAGCATCCAGGTAGAACAGGGGTACCTACTGGCAAAGCTGGGACTCACCCTGGGTGTCGCGATCACAATGCCATGCTAGCTGCCGGCATGAGATCCCATATGGAGCATCTCACCAACATCCAGAATTCCAAATTCTCCCAGTACAAACCACCAATGCTATACTCATCTTGTAAATGAAGAAAGTACGGTGATTGGCCTATGGCTCTGAATTAAAGAAGGGGCCAAAGAATTTGAGTTAAAATTCATGTTTCATGTCTCAACTCAGGACAACACCACTGAAATGAGGCTTCCTCACCTTTGCCCTAATACTGACCTCTCCACATGTGAACCTGAAACAGCCCCGATAACAGTTCCTAGCAACGAGGTTCTTCTATTCATTCAGCCACAGACATTCAGTTGCTGTCAACCATGAACTATGTCAGGCATAGCGGAAGGTACAGGCATGAAACAAGGATGGAGCCCACTCTCACAGGAAAATAAGGAGGAAAGGCATGCACCCGATTCCATCAGTTCAGAGTGGGCATGATTCTGTACCAAAGAGAGGCCTGGGTAAAGTGTTTTGTGAGCTCAGCAAAAAGAAATTACTTCCACCTGGGAGAAAACGCTAGCCAGACCTGAGAAGGATGGCTACAACAGATTTTTTTAGATGAAAACTATTTTTTATGAAACCTTCCAAAATATACTAAAGTCAAGAATATTGGCCAGGCACAGTGGTTCATGCCTGTAATCCCAGCACTTGCGAGGTTGAGGTGGGAGATCATTTGAGGTCAGGGGTTTGAGACCAACCTGGCCAACATGGTGAAACCCCGTCTCTACCACAAATACAAAAATTAGCCAGGCACGTGCCTATAAAAATTAGCCAGGCGCATGCCTGTAATCCCAGCTACTTGGGAGGTTGAGGTGGGAGAATCGCTTGAAACCAGGAGGTGGAGGTTGCAGTGAGCCAAGATCCTGCCACTGCACTCCAGCCTAGTTGACAGAGTGAGACTGTCTCAAAAAAATAAATAAAATAATAATATTAATAATAATAGAACTCTTCTACACTCATCACCCACATTCAATAATTATCTTTAAAATTGTTTTCTGGGTTGCAGTATTTTACATCATATCGTTTTATTTCCTCTAAATGAATGAAACTTGGAAACAACATGAAATCAATGTAGTGAAGCAAGTCATTTCACCACCCCATATTTTGCATTTGTTTCTAAAGCATGGAGACATTTGCTCACATAACCCCAATGTTACTTCATCACATCTAACAAAACTAGCAATATTTCCATGGTATCATCTAACCATCCAGCCATTGAACCCAATTCATAATCACATTTTAACAATTGACTTAAAAATAGCTTCTTGCTTAGTTTGTCCTACTCAGGATTCAAACAAGGTTCGTATATAACTCAACGTCTTAGGTTTCCTTTAAACAGGAGTCCCTTCTGCTCTGACTTTGGTTAGTTTCAAGCCTTTGATTTGTAAAGGCCAGTCCTATAGAATGTTCTCCATTTTGGATTTTGCGTCCTTGTGATGGTTCATCACTTGCTCTTCCCTCTCGTCCTTCTTACACATAGAGTTACCTCTGTAGGCTCCATTAGATTCAAGCTCAGCCCCTCTTGGTAGAGATGCTGTCGAGGAGGTGATCTGTGCTCCATGTTGCATCCTACCAGGAGGCTCACAGTGTTTACCTGCACCATTTTAGTGATGCTAAGATAGGTCGAGGCTCAGGCATCCCTATTCCTCCATTGACAAGTTCCTCACCGACATTTAAAAGTCCCATTAGTGGTTACAAAATGGGCGTGCTCTGATTCCATCAGTCCTTCCACACTTGTTAGTTGGGAGTTGAAAGAGCAAAGGATGAGAAACTGGGAACACTAGAAAAAAATACCAGGCACACTCCCAACAGGGTTGGGTAGTATTTCAGAAATAGGTGTTTTTCCAAACACATGAAGATAGAAAACACGTTCAGAAAACAAAGCTTTTCCATTGCTGGATTGTAGAGTGTGTGCTACAGTCATTCACAGCTAATGCTTTGTGCAATATATCCCTTCCTTTCCTTTCCTTCCTTCCCTTCCCTTTTCCTTCTCTTTCTTTCTTTCTTTCTTTCTTTCTTTCTTTCTTTCTTTCTTTCTTTCTTTCTTTCTTTCTTCTTTCTTTCTTTCCTTTCCTTCTTTTCTTTTTCTTTCTTTCTCTCTCTTTCTTTCTTTCTTTCCTTCTTTCTTTCTTTCTTTCATTCATCTGTCTGTCTCTTGTCACCCAGACTGGAGTGCAGAGGCGTGATCATGGCTCACTGCAGCCTTGAACTCCTGGGCTCAAGTGATCCTCCCACCTCAACCTCCCGAGTAGCTAGGACCACAGGCACGTGCTGCCATGCCTGGCTAATTTTTTAAACAATTTTATGTAGAGGTGGGATTTCATCATGTTGCCCAGGCTGGTCTTGAATGCCTGGACTCAAGCAATCCTCCCACTTCAGCCTCCCAAAGTTCTGGGTTGGATACAGGCATGAGCCGCTGCATCTGGCCTCCTTGTGCAATACTTTTAAATGCCAGCAGAATCTTTTCCCAGCACTAGCACAGAGCCTGATGGTGAGAGGCTGCTCTGTAACACCTGGCTGGGTGTGTAAGGGCCTTGGGCACGTGTGGCCCCTGCAAAAGGCTGACCTAGCAATGCCAACCTGTGACTTTTAGGTACTTCGGCACAGTTAGGAGGAGAAATTATGTGGCCATTTCAATTTTTTAAAGTGAAAAGATCTTTTGTGGAAATTCACCTCCCCCCATTGTGGTAAAATTGATAGAAAAGATTTTCAGGTGGTAAAAAGTTTGAGGGTGCTGAGCAGACCTTCAGGAAGGAAGGAAGAAGGCATTTTTATAAAGCTGTGTTAAGTCAAAGACAGACACTTGTTTATCGAGTCACCTACATTTGATTCTGCTAACAGAGAAGCTTGAAATTCATTAGGTAATTCTGGGGACGGATAAAATTCCTTTATGTGAGTGAATTTTTTTGGGGGGGGAACACCATGTAAATTTATGTTTTAAAAAACTCTCACAGTAGTGATTATTAAAATATGTTAGCAATATGCCAAAATGTTAATCCAACTACAGTTGTGTCTTGTATTGATGAGACTATGGGCCTTAACCTATTTTTCAATTTTTAACTTTTTGCATTGTTTGCATTTTGAAAAATTAAATGAGAAATCAAATCATGGGTCATTACTTCCCAATGGAGTCAGTTATGATTCTTTGGCACAATAGTTCTGAAACCTCAGTTTGTATTTTAACCAGCAGGGGAGTTTGCAGACTCCCAACCCCAGCCCCAGCAGTGCTGGTATCTGCATTTTTAAAAAATGCCCCCAGTGATGCTGATGCAGGCAGGTCATGAGCTCCACTTCATGGAGACCCTTTCTTCAATTGGCCGAGCTTCTGGATCATGACTTGTGACAAGGATTGAAAGGCAGGCCCGCCAACACGGGGCATTCCCTCCTTTGAGTCTCCCATAAATAATGCCTGCAGTTTTACTGCCAGTGATCCTCTTGTCTCTCCATGAAATGAATTATTTCTGTCCTCCATACAAACATTTCTTACATATTAGTATATTTCTGCATAGCTTTTTGACAGAGGGAAATAACTTCCCTTTTTATAATAACTCACACCTCTGTGGTACTTTCCAGCCTGCAAAGCATTTTCCCACATGAGCCTCATGAGGACCCTGTAAACTAGATAGATCCTCCCCCTCCCCATCTCCCTCCCTCTCCCCCTCCGTCTCCTCCACCTCCCCTTCCCCCTCCTCCTACTCCTCTCCTCCTCCTTCTCCTCCTCCTCCTCCTCCTCCGGCAGACAGGGAAGAAACTGAAGCACAGAAGAGAGATTTGAGCCACATCTCTGACTTCAAACCCTTGGTCTTTCCCACGGAGGTTCACACGTATCTTACCCAGATACACATCTGGTCACGACTTGAACCTCTCTTAAAAGGCCCTGGACATCATTCAATCCTTTGGAGCTGTTTCTCCAATGTTTCCTTGGCAGAACCCAGAGGTGGAATGTGTAAGAAGGGAGCGTGCAGTGAGAAGCACCTCCATCGGGTTTGAGGGTGCAGGAGAACATTTAGACTGAAAGGTTCTCTTTTATGCTTTCAAACATGAGATTGGAAAATGTTAAAGAAAGAAAAAGAAAAGAAAAGGTCTCAGGCCTTTAACATGCTTGGGTTGATTGTAATTACTGAGTGGATCTAGAGACACAGATGTCCTGCTAGAGAGGCAGAGATTTAAAATTAACTCATAAAACGGTTGCAGGATTTGCCTATCACATAAAACATGAATACTAATGATGCTGGCACAGTGCCTAGTACACCTTCTGACTCAAGGCTGGGCATTTTACTGCATGCTTTTCATGTATTATATGTAGCCCTGACAGCAGACATATACCTTCCCATTTTACAGATGAAGAAACTCAGGCTCCTTGAGGCTTAAGGTCTTGCTGAAGGTACAGTAAGTCACAGAACTGTTATTCAAAAACCAATTTTATCCACAGGTAACTTAACAGTGTGCCACATGCAAGTGTGACACTCTCTAAAGAAACACGATAATATTCAGCGCTCACTAATCATATTCAGCACTCATAGTGCCTGTCATCCAGTAACAATTGCCAGGCATGCAAAGAAACAGAAAAACATGACTCTCAACTAGGAGAAAAGTTAATTGAGAGGAACATGAGCAGAAATTGCACACATTTTGATATTAGTAGACTAGTGCCTTAAAACAGAAATGACAAAAATATATAAACTGGTTCAAATATATAACTGAAAGCAATAAGACAATGAAGAGAGAAAATGAAGACATAAAAAAATTAAATGGGTCTCCTAGAGATTAAAAAAAATACAATATCTGAAATTAAGAAAAAAGAGAGGCCAGAAGTGGCGGCTCATGCCTGTAATCCCAGCACTTTAGGAGGCCAAGGCAGGAGGATCATTTGAGCTCAGGAGTTCGAGACCAGCCTGGCCAACATGGTGAAACCCTGTCTCTGCTAAAAATACAAAAAAAAAAAAAAAAATGAGCTGGGCATGGTGCTGCGTGCCTGTAATCCTAGCTACTTGGGAGCCTGAGGCAGGAGAATTGCTTGAGCCTGGGAGGCAGAGGTTGCTTTGAGCCAAGATCACACCACTGCACTCTAGCCTGGGCAACAGAGCGAGATTTTGTCTCAAATAAATAAATAAATAAATAAATATTAAAATTTTTTTATAAAAGGAAAAAAAAACATGACCAGGTACATTGGCTCATGCCTGTAATCCCAGCACTTTGGGAGGCCGAAGCAGGTGAATTACTTGAGGTCAGGGGTTTGAGACCAGCCTGGCCAACATGGTGAAACCCCATCTCTACTAAAAATGCAAAAACTAGCTGGGTTTGGTGGCAGGTGCCTGTAATCACAGCTACTTGGGAGGCTGATGCAGAAGAATCACTTGAACTCGAGAGGCTGTGGTTGCAGTGAGCCGAGATGGTGCCACTGCACTCCAGCCTGGGCAACAGGGCGAGACTCTGTCTCAAAAACAAACAAACAAACAACCAAAACTCTAGATGGGATGAATAGTACATTGGGTGCTGCAGAAGGAAGGTCAGAGGGCTTGGAGACACTGCAATTGAAAGTACCCACAGTGAAGCACAGGGAGAAAAAGGTGAACATAAACAACAGAGCATCAGTGACTGGGGAGAAATTAGCACGCAGTCAGAAGACACGTAACTGGGCTACCAGAAAGACTATGAAACTTAAAGAAACCAAAAATGGAAATTCCAAATTTGATAGAAGCTATAGACCCGAAGACTCAAGAATATCAACCCCAAGTATGAAGAAAACCACACCAAGGTACATTATAATCGTATTGTTGAAAACCAATGATAAATAAAAACAATCTTAAAAGCTGCTTTAAAGAGGTACATTATATTCTTAGAAGAAAACCTAGAAGGAAATCTTTGTGACCTTGGTGTCACAAAGGATATAAAGAATATGAGTCAGAAGCATACAAACGTGACCTTCTATTCCCTTAGAATAGATTATTCCCTTAGAATAGAAGATCATAAAGTATACAAGAAAAATTGATAAATTAGACTTTTCAAAATTAAGAACTTCTGCACTTTAAAAACACCATTAAGAAAAGAAATAGCTAAATCAGAGACAGGCAGGACATTTTTGAAAAACATGTATCTATATGAGAATATATAATTAACTTTTAAACTCTATAAAAGAAGCCAAAAATTCAATTTAACAAACAGTTGAACAGAGAAGACAGCTGAGCAGCACACAAACCCATGAACAGGTGTTCGGTGTCGTCAGTCATTAGGGGAATGGCAACTAAAACCACAGTGAAATGCCACCACACAACCACCCAGATGCTAAAATTAGATGACCGATCATACCAAGTGTTGGCAAGCATATGGAGAAACTAGAATGCTCACCTGAGGCTGATGGTAAGGTGAAACGAAACAACTTTAGGAAACAATTTGGGAGCTTCTTAACCTGTGACCCAGATATTTCACTTCTTGTTGCTTATCAAAGAGAAATAAAAACATATGACCACAGAAAGACTTGACATATATGTTCTTAGCATTGTTACTCATATTAATTAGCTCCCAGCTGGAAACAACCAAAACATTCAGTAACTGGAAAAATCTTTTCGACTTTTCACTTAAAATTGTTGCTGATTCTTTTTGTTTTGTTTTTCAGAGTAAAGAAAACTTCTACTGAGCTATTTACAACTTTTAACAATTGAGCAAAATATACTCCTGTAAACAAAATTTAGAGCATATTTCTTTCTCTTTACCTGCCTTCTCCAGAATTTGGAAATTATTTGTGAGTATTTTTAACATAAGGCAATATAGTTACTTGAGTAAGTTCAATAAGAATGTGTTTTCTTTTGTAGCAAGACACAGTTGGAGACACTGCTTATTTTACCAAGGCTTTGACTGAAATGACATATTTTCAGACTGCTTTAAGAAATCGAGGCTGACCTACAGAGATGATGAAAGCCCCTTGGAGGAACTGACCTCCTACCTTGTCCTGTACAGGATTCCCGACCTGTGGCAAATAAAGAATGTCACTTTCTGACAGGCCCAGGAACTCCAAGCTTTGTTGGGACCTCAAGAAGAAAGGAATTCACCCAATTCATACAAGTATCTGCAGGCACAAATAAATCCTTGGCTGGGCTCAAGAGACTTTTAAAAGGTCTAATCTGAGATTCCTTATGAAAAAAATTCCAGCAAAGCCAGTTAGAAAAAAAGAGCCTATATGGCCAATAATTATTCTTGCTGCACTTTATGTAAATAATTAGGCAAAGTATAATAAGGCAAGCTTATTTTGCAAATAAATTGGTCTTGTCTTTAGTAAAAATAAACTGGAGAGAGAAAAATTATGTTTCAAAACAGCTACAGCACACCTGTTATTAGATTCCAGCCTCATCCATTGTTCTTGAGCTTCTGCTGATGACCCCATATTTGGTTGATTTTTGGGGTTATTCACCTGGATTCCTTGAGGCTTCAGGTCAGTTCTACAGGGACTCCTGAAGCTAGGACTTTTGAAACTGCCGCTGCAAAATTACAACTGAGACAGTGAAAGAGATCTAACCTAACCAACTGCATCTTGCTTCTAACCTCCAAGCTGTCCTTGGTCATTCCTGGGCATAGGCTGAACTAATTTTGGGAAGAAGTTAATTTATAGTTTGTAGTTAAAAATGAAGACAATAACAGCGCATTCCAGAAGAACCCTCCTTCTTTCCTGGGAACTAGATGCCTTTGTAGGACTAACAAATTAGCCACAGGATTAGAAATTATGATTTAGGAGTCATGCAGCTGGAGGCTACAAGATTCTGATCTCCCACCCCCCAAACTGCTCCTAAGATCAGCGCTTGAGATATTTTGCAGACCTGGCACTTGATGGATCAGCTGGCACCACCCAGATCAAGAAACCAGCTCATCTGATCTGTGGCTCCCACCCAGGAATTGACTCAGCGCAGGAAGACAGCTTTGACTCCCTGTGATTTCATCTCTGACCCAACCAATCAGCACTCTCGACTCACTGGCTTCCTCCACCCACCAAATTATTCTTAAAAACTCTGATCGCCGAATGCTCAAGGAGGCTGATTTGAGTAATAATAAGACTCCGGTCTTCCACACAGCTGGCTCTGTGTGAATTACTCTTTCTCTTTTGCAATTCCTCTGTCTTGATAAATTGGCTTTGTCTAGGCAGCGGGCAAGGTGAACCCACTGGGCGATTTACACTTTCACTCCTTATATTAGGGCTAATTATTATTATTACTATTATTTTAAATTTTAAGTTATGGGGTACGTGTGCAGAATGTGCAGGTTTGTTACATATGTAAACGTGTGCTATGGTGGTTTGCTGCACCTATCAACCCATCACCTAAGTATTCGGTCCAGCATCCATTAGCTATTTTTCCTGATGCTCTCCTTCCCGCTCCCCAATAGGCCCCAGTGTGTGTTATTCCCCTCTGTGTGTCCATATGTTCTCACCGTTCAGCTCCCACTTATAATTGAGAACATACAGTGTTTGGTTTTATGTTCCTGCGTTAGTTTGCTGAGGATAATGCCTTCCACCTCCATCCACTTCCATGCAAAGGACATAATCTCGTTCCTTTTTACGGCTCATTATTTTTCTTCTTAAATGCTGTACTAAATCTGTGGATAAGAGCACCAATGTTTTCGTTATACACATGTTGGACCCCAACAAGTTGCACTTGAATACATACAGGCAACTGCAAGACACTTCCACTCCTTTTACCCTGGGGTCAACCCCTCCCCCAAATATGCCCCCTGTCAGCAGGAAGAAGTTAGAGCAATCATTAGCCTTTTCTCATCTCCGTAGCTAACACCTCAGGATTGAGGGGTGCTGAAGCCCAAGTGTGTGTGAGGGGGATTGAAACTACCTTTGCAAAATTATGACAGTAAGAGAAATCTGACATGGCTGACTCCATCTTGCTTCTGACCTCCAAGCTCTCCTTGGTCATTGCTGGCCATAAACCAAAGTAACTTTGGAAGAAATTTAGTTTATAGTTTAACTTAAAAGCAAGAATGATCATCAAGTGCAGTGGCTCATGCCTGTAATTCCAGCACTTTGGGAGGCCAAGGTGGGAGATCACTTGAGCTCAGGAGTTCTAGACCAGCCTGGACAACACAGCAAGACTCCATCTCTACAAAAAATACAAAAATTAGCCAGGCATGGAGGCATGTGCTTGTAGTGCCAATGACTTGGGAGGCTGAGGTGGGAGGATCACCTGAGCCTGGGAGGCAGAGATTGCAGTGAGCTGAGATCACGCCATTGAACTCCAGCCTCGGTGACAGAGTGAGACTCTGTCTCAAAGAAAAAGCAAGGATGATAATAGTCCCTCCCCAAAACTAACCCCCTCCTTGCTCAGGGAGCAAAAATCACCCTTGTAAGACTAAGAAAGCCCACAAGAACAGGATTATGGGGGGACCTGAATTCTGCTAAAATGTAGGCATAATTTCTGTAATCCCTTACTGCTCAGGAGTCATGTGGCCAGAGGTCACAAGATTTCTGACTCCCCCATTTGGTCCTGTAGATAACATCACTATTGCAGAACCTAAGATTGGTCTTTTGAGATTTTTTTTTTTTTTTACACCCAGACTTGTGCATTCTGGCAACCAATGGACCCCACCCAAACTCAAAACTCATGACTCAACTTGTCCTGTGGCCCCACCCAAAGGAGTACTCACTCACAAGGGCAATTTTCCACACCCCTACGATTTCTTTTACAAGCAATCAGCAACACCCATTATCTATTACCCTGCCCACCAAATTGTCCATAAAAGTCCTGACCTTCACACCTTTGGGGAGACTAATTTCAGTGACAACTCAGTTCTCCTGTGTGGGCTAGGCTTATGTCAATTAAACTCCTTCCCCACTAAAAAAAAAAAAAGAAAGAAAAATTCTAGATAAGGCAAAGCTATGGTTCTAGAAAGTAGATCAGTGGTTGGAGGTAGCATAAGGGGTATGAACAGAAAGGGCTAAAGGAAACTTATTGGGGTGGTGAAAATGTTGTCCATTTTGATTGTGGTGGACTTTATACAAGAGTATATATTTGCAAAAATGCATAATTGTGCCCCAAATGGGTGAATTTTGTGGAATGTTATTTACACCCCCTTAGAGGTGACTTTTAAAAAGAGCATTGCAAGCCATTGAAGGGTATGGAGTTTTGTATAGTCTTTGGTGTGTTGAGTTTTGTAAGCTGGTAGAAAAAGCTTATTGCTGTCTAGACGTCCACATTAAGCCTTAAGGACAGTGAAAGACCCCTTGCGAGCATGCACGTACAGGAAAGAATAAGCGACACTAGGACGTCCTCTAACGAAACTGCAAATAAGAATGACATGAGTTATAAGAAATAAGGATAGCCGAGTGTGACCCCCAAGCACATAAAAGAAAACGAAAGAGGCTTCATAAAACCTTGATATTTGGGAAATTCTCCCTCAAATGGCAAATTTTAATGACATAGTATCAGATGGCCTTCTCTATGTATTCAATTATCCCACTTAATTCTACAGAACAAAATTTACATAGTTATATTATTGTAGTGCCTGATTTTCAACTGAAAAAGTTTTGAGTACTAACCTACTGATGAAACACAGTAAAATTATATAAGCACTGAACACAACAGAATATAATTTTTTGTTTTTTTGAGACAGAGTCTTGCTCTGTCCCCCAGGCTGGAGTGCACTGGCACAGTCTCAGCTCACTGCAACCTCCACCTCCCAGGTTCACGTGATCCTCCTGCCTTAGCCTCCCAAGTAGCTGGGACGACAGGCATGTGCCACAACGCCCAGCTAATTTTTGTATTTGTATTAGAGATGGGGTTTCATCATTTTGCCCAGGCTGGTCTCAAACTCCTGACCTCAGGTGACCCACCCGCCTTGGCCTCCCAAAGTGCTGGGATTACAAGTATGAGCCACCAAGTCCAGCCAGAATATATATATGATAAGCCTTAATATGTAAAAATAACAGTATAACAAAAAAGTAGGATGTGAATTTGAAAGCAGTGTTTGTGAGCAGGTGTTAACTTCAGATACTGCCTAAAGCTAATGAATTGAGACGTAAACATTTAAATATATTATTTAAAGTCATAAAGCCAATCACTAGGATACAAAACAGCTGATAAAAATCTAGGAAATGGAGAGGGGAGTGTGCAGGTGAAAGCCAGGTAAGAAAAGAGACAGCATGATGAAGTGCATTCTGCATCTGTCAGTGTATTTAGCTCAGAGATATTGGCATTAGTATTTCTTGAAGTTGTAACTGTAATGAAAAGAATGTTTAAAAACAAAAGCTGCAGCTGGGTGCGGTGGCTCACACCTGTAATCCCAGCACTTTGGGAGGCCGAGGCGGGCAGATCACCTGAGGATAGGAGTTCGAGACCAGCCTGGGCAACATGGTGAAACCCTGTCTCTAATGAAAACACGGTGAAACCCTGTCTCTGCTAAAAATACAAAAATCAGCCGGACATGGTGGTGGGTGCCTGTAATTCCAGCTACTCAGGAGGCTAAGGCAGGAGAATCGCTTGAACCAGGGAGGCAGAGATTACAGTGAGCCGAGATCATGCCACTGCACTCCAGCCTGGGCGGCAGAATGAGACTCTGTCTCAGAGAAAAAACAAAAAACCCCACAAAAGCTGCTCCATTCCTTGCTTCTGAGGAGGGCACATGAGTGGTGGCAGGGAAGGCGAACTTTTGAGTTTTCAGTTTATACCTTTTCTGACTGTTTAAATTTTTGAAAACAATATTCATGGATAACTTGTATAATAATAAAATCAAGTTAAGCAAATGAATAGATAGGTAAATAAATTAGTAAAAGGATAAAAGAGATCTGAACTGGCAAAGAAAAATACCCAGGATACATTATTGTTACATGAAAAGAGTAAATTGCAGAATGTTTTGTATGATATAATCCTGCTTGTGTGAAATTTAAAAAAAGGAGTCTATTAACACATTTGCAGATGAAAAGAAAATACCTGGACATTTTTGGTAAAAATCAAACTACTAACAGTGAGACTTCTGGGGACTGAAATTCACAAAGGGATAAGAGGACTTTACATTTTGCTTTAAGTACCTCTGAAGGATTTGGGTTAAACAGAAAGTAATAAACTCATGTTGTCTAAATACCTTTTCAAAATGTGATATTAAAAACAGACAAGCAATTACTTAAAGCAAATACGTCTGTGTGCCTCTGAGCAACATTAGAAAAGGCAAGGGTCAGCACGAAAGAGGTGACAGAACCCTCTTCTTTCAGTGCTCAATCCATGCAGGGAGGGCTGAGCCTTTTAGGAATCACATTAAATATGCTTTCCCCTTCACACCATCAATTTGCTTTTGATATAGGAAATTCAGAAAATAGAGTGAAAGATAAAATTAACTCCAATGCCATCATCCAGAGACAGCCACTCTGAACATTCGTGATATGTAATTTTCCATGGCCTTTTTTTTTTTTTGTAAAAAAGCAAAATGGGATCATTATCTACATCCTGTTTTGCGACCTGCTTTTAGCAGAGCGTATCACGGTCATCTTTTTCCTGTCGTTCCCTGTTTTGTCTGCAGCAACCTGTGAGGGGCTGTCAGCATCTGATCGTGAGGTTTAATGAACCGTTGTCATTTTCCCCACTTCTTCTGCCGCACACCCCAGCTGTTTCCATTTTCTCAAGATCATAAACATGCTGCAAAAATGTCCTTTGCTCATGCCCTTTCTCTTTCCTCATATCTTCCCTTAATTTTTGTTGAGGTTAAAAATCCCACAAGTGGGATTCCCACGCTCAAGAGCATACATAACCTTTCTAAGTCTTCCGATATATTTTGGCAAATTGTCCTTCAGACATTTCGTACAGCAGTATGGAAGTATGTAGTTCCCTGTACTTTCTTAAACAAGGGTTATTATTCTTTTCATCCTTTCTGAGCTGGCTTACAAAAAAGTGGTCTTTTACTTTTCAATCTCATTTTTTATTAAGCAAGTACTGCACATGTAGAAAATTAGAAAATTCTCATCTACGCAAAGGAAAAAAAATCAGTTACAACCCTACCACCAATGGAAAATCGTTGTGAATGTTCAGTGTATGCATTTTCAAAGGTGTTACATATACATATAGTCTTGAAAAATGGGCCAAACTGTTTATATTGTGTCATAACTTGGTTATTTCTGTGAACAGTACAGTATAAATTATATATAAATAAATGTAATTTTGAACCATATGAATAACTGCATGCTATTGTACAAATTTACCATTAATTTATTTAATCACTAATGGTCAAATAAGTTATTTTCAACTTTTGGCTGTTATAAATAAACCCACAGTAAACATTGTTGTAAGGTAAATATTCAATTGTCCAATATTTTTAAGCTATGTTTCCATAACCGGAATTATGGTGTTTAAGAATATGCACATTTTTAAAGATCTTGATCTATGAAGCTAAATTAATGTTTATAAAGGTAAGACTGGTTTACATTCTCACCGTGATGAAGGAAGCCATTTCTCCAGTCCCTGGACAATGGTTTATAACAAATTAAAAAAAAAAAAAACAACTCTGTCAATCTGCTCAGTGAAAAGTGATGAACAACATAGTATTAATTTACTTTTCTATTGATTTTATCATGTACTTATTAGCCACTTGTGTTTCTCTTATTATGATTTGATCATCCACGTCTTCTACCACTTTTTACATTAAGGTATTTATCATTTTGTCAATGATATGGAAGACCTCTTTATGTGATAAATATGTGTAATTTTTACATTAATGTCATAAATGTAAATATTTTTCTTAATTTAGGTTATGCTTTTTAACTTACTAATTTTTTTTGTTTGTTTTGAGATGGAGTCTTGCTCTGCCATCCAGGCTGGTGTATAGTGGCGCCATCGCAGCTCACTGCAATCTCCTTCTCCGGGGTTCAAGTGATTCTCCTGCCTCAGCCTCCCTAGTAACTGGGACTACAGGCGCCCACCACCATGCTCGCTAATTTTTGTCTTTTTAGTAGAGACGGGGTATCTCCATGTTCGCCATGCTGTACTCAAACACCTGACTTCAAGTGATCCTCCTGCCTTGGTCTCTCAAAGTGCTGGGATTACAGGTGTGAGCCACCATGCCCAACTGAACTTTGTGTTTGTATTATGTATTACAGCATGGTATGTATTATGCAGTAAAAGCTATCATTTCTACCTAGTCAATTTATTAATCTTTCCTATTAATCTTTCCTGTGTCGTTCACACTTGCAAATGTCTTCCTCACTCCTAGATGATAGAAATATACAACTATTTAAGAAATTTTTTCACCACTAGCTATGAATATTTTAAATGTATAAAAAAACAGAAAATAATGTGACACTGCTAAGATCAAACAGATATTCATATTTTGGTACACTTTCTTCCTTCTCTTTTTTTCCTCTCTCTTTTTATGTTCCAGATATGAAGATACAACTAAAGATTGGTCATTATTTTCTCCTCTCTTTCTCTCCAAAATTAATAATGATCATGGAGTTAGTAGGTGTTAACCATGTATGATTTTGGACATTTACGACATGTATAAGCAATTATAAACAATATATATTGCTACTCTGTATGTTTTAGACTTTTAAAAATGGCTTCATAATGTATGTAACCTTTTTGCAACTTGCTTTTTTTTTCAGAAATATGTGTTTTTGAGATTTGTTTGTTGTAATACACAGATTCCCAGTGCTTTTTTTTTTTTTACTGTATCCTTTTCTATTAAGTGAATAAACTTCCTTTTATTCATTCATTTTCTAAGGGACACTGTTTCAAAATGATGAAATGCATTGGGATGGGCAACCTCATACATTCCCTGTTTTGCACATATGTGAGAGTTTCTCTGAACAACACAGGGAATTTAGATATTTAATTTACCTATGGACTTACAGGGCAGTGGGCTATGTTCCCTCAGTGGCACTATGGGTTCCCAAAACACTCCCCAAAGCGATCGAACCCATTTATCATCCCACCAGCAATACCTGAGAGTTTTCATTTTCCCCATATTCTCACCAAAACTCGTATTGTCAAACATTAGTTTTACTAGTGGAATAGGTAATAAATTAAATCTTTTTGTTTTAATTTGTTTCCCTTGATTATATTTGAGATGCTCATGGGTTATATGGATTCTTTGCCTCTGTATACGGCCTATTCATATATTTTGACCATTTAGAAAAATGTAGTTTTTTTTTATAGCTCATTTCCAATGCCAACTAAACACATAATTTACCTAGAAATGGACCTAATAAAATATGTGCAAACTTGTATGGAGACGTAAACTTTACTGAACGATGTTAAAGAAGGGCTTAAACAGAAGGAAAGATGGATTTACCATGATTAGGAGGACTCATCATTAAGAGGCATATTCTCTCCAAATTACTTAAAAATCAAATGTGTTTCCAATCTATATTCCAAAGGGTGTTTTTGAGGAACTTTACAAGCTGGTTTTCAAAATTTTATGCATAAGAAAAGGCTCAAAAATAGAAAAGATATCTATGAAGAGAAAAAAAACCAAGATAGAGAGGAGTCCCCTCCTAGATGTCCACACTTACTAAAAGCTGCAGTAATGAAGATGGAACGGACCAGGGAGTGTAAAAATAGAACAGGAAGTGAACGGAGAGTCTCAGACGGACCCTCATGCACATGCCGGGGAGGCACTGTGCGTCTCCAGGGCGGTATGAGCTACTCGATAAATGAGGCTGAGAAAACTTTTTTCTTCACATAAAACTGTGGCCTTACTGCTCAACCATTCTTGACTATTGAATCCAAATTGATTAAAGACATAAATATGGTCCAGGTACAGTGGCTCACACCTGCAATCCCAGCACTTTGGGAGGCTAAGGTGGGCGTACCACTTAAGCCCAGGAATTCGAGACCAGCCTGAGCAACAGAGTGGGACCTCACCTCTACAAAAATTAGAAGAATTAGCTGGATATGGTGATGTACGCCTGTAGTCCCAGCTACTCGGGAGGCTTAGATGGGAGGATTGCTTGAGCCTGGGAAGTCAAGGCTGCAGTGAGCCATAATGGTGCCATTGCACTCCAGCCTTGGTGACAGAGTGAGGCTCTGTCTCAAGAAAAAATTTTATTAATTGTAAATCAAAGGTGAAAATTAAATCTTTTAGAAAAAATACAGGATATCTTTAGGGTATAGATAATTATTTAATGACTTGACAAATCAAATATTAGATAATAAATTTTTTAAAAGCCATTTTTCTTACTGATTTGAATTGCCTTCCTTATCACTTACTCAATTCCCACATAATCATGGGCCTATTTCTGGACTCTGTCTTTTCCTGCATAGAACCACATAAATTAATTACTCCAGTTTAATGATACAGTTTCAGTTCTTTTTTAAAAGATTTTCTTCATTATTCTTTCTCATTCATTTTTCTGATTTAACTTAAGGCTATAATTTTGACAAGCTATGAATTCCTGCATTCATTTTTATTGGCATTAAATTTAAATTTATATACAATTTTTGGAGAATTGGCATTGCTAATGTTATTGTTGAAAAAAAGAAAGCTATTGATTTTTGTCTATTTCAGTTCTCTTATTAGCTCTAATAGCTTTTCAATTACTTGTCTTAGATTTCCCTGAAAGACAAACAGATCATCTGTTATGCCTTTTTTCGAAATGTGTAGATGTTGTATTACCTTTTCTTGTTGTATTACACTGGCAAGAATTCCCAAAACAAAGTTAAATTATCTCAATGTTAGCAGGCGTCTCTCACTTCTGAATCTGGCTATAGGCTTGCAGAAGATATCTAGGAAGTTTCCTTTTTCTTTAGGTTACAACAAGCTTTTACAGGGATGCCTTTGATTATGTTTCCTTTTTTCTTTTTTCTTTTCCTTTTCTTTTCTTTCTTTTTCTTTCTTCCTTTTTTTTTTTTTTTTTTTTTTTTTTGAGACAAGGTCTTGCTCCATTGCCCAGGCTGGAAGTGTGTGGCATGATCACGGCTCACTGCAGCCTCAATCTTCTGGGCACAAGTGATCCTCCCACCTCAACCTCCCAAGTAGCTGGGACTACAGGCATGCACCACCACACCTGGCTAGTTCTTGTAAATTTTATAGAGGGAGGTTTTCACCATGTTGACCACACTGGTCTCGAAGTCCTGGGCTCAAGCGATCCTCCTACCTTAGCCTCCCAAAGTGCTGGGATTACACTTGTGAGCCACCGTGCCTGGCTATGTGGTTCTTAATGCTAAGTTGTCTTTTCACAGTGGAATGAGCCCTCCTTAATCATATTAAACATCATGTTTGATTGAAATAGCTTGTTTTATAGAAGTATTTTTGACTCTATATTAATTAGCCAAAGTTATCTGTGGTTTGTGTGTGACTACTAATCTTTTGATAAAATTCAAAACTTTACATGAAAATGATGTGTGCTCTTTACAGAAAAATATTTAAATACAGGAAATTATAAAGAAAACGTTTCCCAGAACCCCAATACCCAGAGGCAATCTCTGTGAATATTTTGGTGTATTTCTTCTTAGTCTTTCTGATAGTGGGGGCGGCAAGGGATATGCACATTTTCAAGTTGTTTATGAAACTCAAATCAGCATACAGTAGAGTTTAAATGGAGTGCTTGGAGTGAGAGGCTCTGGATTCAAATCCTCACATTACAGTTTACAAACTACGCCATATTTGTCAGCTTCCTTGATCTGTTCATGTCTCATTTTCTCAGTCAATACAATTGAGATAATAACTACCTCACACGGTTGTTCAGAGAATTAGAAAATGTAAATAAAGTTCTCGATGTGGTGACTGGCACAAGTCCTCTAAATAAGCATGAACTGTTACGATGCTGTACATAAACTTTTGTATGTTTCATATTACTTAATACTGTACCATAAACCTTTTTAATGTCATTCAAGCTAATAGTAAATACCACTTTTGACATTTCCCTACTACATGTGGATGTATGTATATAGCTTCATCTAATATTTGTGTATGAATTATTGCCTACATTTTAGAATTTTTCCCTCAGTTTAGGCTCTCAGAAGAAAAATTGCTTTGGTTCAATACCGTGGAACTGTTTCGGAGCTTCTGGTCTAGACAGCCAAATTGCTGTCCAGAAACGCTGTGACAGTGTTGGCTCCTAGCAGCCCCACATGAAGGTAGCGAGGTCCTCTAGCACCCAGGGGAGTCCCAGAGAGGGTCTGATTCCTTCCTTTGAGGAATCCATTATCCCCTGAACAAGAACTTTTGAGACAGATCTTGCAACATGCTGGAGGCCACAGCTGGCAGCTCCTGCTCCGTGGAGCCCATATTCTAGTTGATGCAGGGAGGAGAGCAGAGGGGAAGGCAGATGGCAGACTAGCAAAGTAAACGGCCACTGATTTCTAGGAGAGGTAAGTGCCACAAAGAAATTCAAACAGGATGACGGGACAGAATCATCGCACAGGCCCAGGGGTATTTAGATAAGAGAAAGACCTCTCCCAGAAAGTGCGACGTATGCTGGAGTCTTCAGTGGCAAGGAGAGGCTTTGCAAAGCACAGAGGGCAGAGCAGAGAGACGGCTCTAAAAGTGCACAGGCTTGGCAGATTCCCAGAGCAGAAAGAGGCTCCCTGCACTTGGAGCAGAGCAGCCAGGGATGGTGAGAGGAGGGCAGGGCCCAGAGACCAGCTGGGGAAGGGTTGGGATTTCTTTCCAAATGCCGTGTTGGACCATTGTATGGTTTTAAGGAGGAGCTGACTTACCTTTAAAGGGATCACTGCAGCTGTTGTGTGGAGGAGATTGTGGGGTGCGGGTGAAGCAGGACACTAGATGGGAGGCCACCGCAGGAGATCGGTGAGAGGTGGCCATGGCAGAGCTAGGGCATTGTTAGTGGAAATAGAGAAGTGGATGGAAATGCTGAGATGCCAGCAACAGCGTGACAGTGACCTTCAGAGGTGCAAGGGAGAGAGACACCCCTCAATCCTCCCAAAGATTAAAATCTTCTGCCCCCCACCAATCCACCTACAGTGGGGTGTCTGTGTTCAGAATCAGAACCCAGTATCTAGCGGGCATCTACAGGGAAGTTTTCTAAAAAAGTGAATGCATTGCAAAAACTCACACGAAAGTGCGTATTCACTCTGGGAAGCCTAAGCTCTAACAGGATGCACCGTCTAAAAAGCAATCCATCTGGTGCTTCGTCTCAGCTGGGGTCTGATTCTGAGAGTCCATGCTTTGTGGGGAAAGACCGCCAAGCCAAGGCCACTCTGTGCAGGCTGCTGGCACACCTGGGGCCCAGGAGAACTGGGCTCTCTACCTGACTCACTTATTCACCCACTGCGTACCCTGCACACTCTCTCGCCCCTCCCAGCCTCGGTTCCCTCTTCTGCAGAGTGAGCTCTGAGTGCTGGCATCTGGGGCAGGCCCTGACAGTGAGGTCAAAGCAAAGCCAGCTCACATCTTGCTCTGATGATGCCTCTAGAAGCCCCCTTCCCTCCCTCAGTGGGCACAGGGCTGGGGTGCCCTCAATGCTATGGGAAAATGCATTTCTCTGGCTTTCCAAGAAGTCAATTTCAGCTCTGAAAGGTGACCCTTGACTCAGGTTCAAGCTGTCGGGGCATAGACTTTCTCCCTGTGACAGGACCAAGAGCTTGGCCTGCAGCACCAGGGCTGCACCATGGGTGCTGCCTCAGGTGCGTTCAGCAGCCTGTAAGCCTCTGGCTTGGCTGGGAACGCAAGAGGGTCTTCGGGAGCTGAAGCCGTCCCCTGCCTTGTCAAGGTCTGGGTGGCTGTCTCCTGGCCCCCAACATGCTGTTTCCTCCCACACACCTGAGAAAAGCTCTCAAACATCACGGGGAAAGCAGATGAGGCCGGGGAGGAAGGCTTGAGCTGCTACAGCAAGGGCTCTGGGAACCTGAAAACATCTGGAACATCCAGGCGTGCTTGGCAGCTGGGAGGCTCAAGCCAAAAAGGGGCCAGGGAAAGTGGCTGGTAGAAGTCAGAGGACCAGCTGACAATGTCACCAAGTGCTGTGGCCACTTGGACTTCTAGTAAATGTCTCAGACTTAAAATGGCCAGAGGTGAGTTCCTGGTCAATTTCCATCGCTGTGAATGGCAGCTCCATCTTCTCTTCCTCATGCTCTTTCTCTCGTATTCTGCACATACAAATCCACATGCAACCCCGATTTCTGTTGGCTCTCCCGTCCACAGGCAGCCAGGAATGGACATCTCTCTGCCTTGGCCGAGAGCCGGGTCTAAGCCACCTTCATTCTTTCCAGGATACACACAGCAACTCCTCCCTGCTCTCCTCTTCCCTGTCCTCCCACCTGCCTATTCCCAAAGGCAGCCCACTGTGACCCTATAAAAATGTTAGGTCCCATCACATCGCTTCCCTACTCAGAACTCCCCAGTGTCACCCTCTCATTCAGAGTAAAATTCAAAGTCCTGTATGGAGTCTCCTCGACAAATTAAACATAGAATTACCATATGATCCAGCAATGCCAGTTCTGGGTGTGTATCCAGAATGACAGAAAGCAGGGACTTGAGCAGGTATTTGTACACTTGTGTCCACAGCAGTGTTGCTCAGTGGCTAAAATGTGGCAGCAGCCAGTGTCCATGGACAGATGGATGGATAAGCCCAGTGTGGGCTATATGTACAATGGAATCCAGTCTTACAAAGGAAGGAAATTCTGGCACATGCTACAACATGGGTGAGCCTTGAAGGCATTGTGCTAAGTGAAATTGGCCAGACACAAAAGGACAAACACTGTATGATTCCACCTAAATGAAGTCCCTAAAGTAGCCCAATTCATCGACACAGATGGTAGAGTAACAGGTGTCAGGGGCTGGGGGCTGGGTCGGGGAGTTAGTTTAACAGGGCTGCTATAACAGATATCGTTCATGGAAAAATGGGAGAAGATAGAAAATGCATAAGACCTACTAGATTGTCTTTCTCTCAATAGATTATTAATAAATGTTCCTTGAGTAGGTCAGAAAGATCCTCTGGGAGAGACAGCAATAGGGCGGTGAACTTTCTTTGCACCGCAAGGGGGAAGGGCGGTCGTGAGACCCACCCACCAAGTGCAGGACTCGGGGTCTGTGAAGTCTCCACTGTGCGGTGTGGTCTAAGAGCATCCACGACAGTGTCTGTCGGGCTTTCTGTTCTTTGTTACTGTGGCTGTCAGTGAGAAAGACGTCAGGCTCTCGCACCCCCGTTCTACTTTCTGTTCTCTGAATGGGACTACTCCAGGGACTCATTTAAATGGAATTGCAGTGTTTCTCCTTTGTGTCTGACTCTCTCCTCTTAGCGTCATGTCTTCGTGGTTCATCCATGTAGCAGTATGTGAAGGAATTTCCTTCCTTTCAAAGGCTGAGTGGTATTCCATGGAATGTACAGGCCACGATCTGCTTATCAGTTCATCTGGGCATGAACTTTTGTTCCATCTACAGTGCCTGACATCCCAGGCACGCGAGTGCACACCCATCCCCACACCAGGATACAAAAGCCTCCCAAAGCCTTTCCTACAGGCAATGCCCCTGGGTATTCTCTATTCTATATGATTTTGTTTTTAAAATGCCAGCAGGAGCCCACTTGATTTCATGAACAACTAAAGCAATTCCCTGTTTGATTTCCTGTTTGAAGCCACTGTTCTGAAGAACACAGACTGCAGGAAGCTGTTCTGGGCCATCCCCGCATGCAGCGCAGCACATATGACATGAGGCACTACAGTGGCGGGGAAAATTGCATTTTAAGCACTGATACAATATTAGAAAAGACAAAACTTTGAAAATTAAGGAGGTAAGTGACTGGCCTCTAAAGACAGAAAAATAATGCAGTTAAAGAAAATGGAAGGAAGGGGGAAATAGAGGCAGGCATCCAGATGAGGGCTGCAGCAAAGGAAGAAGCCAAAGACAGTAAAAGAATGCCCCAGAGAGACGCAAGCAATTAAAGGGGAGCAGGGAGGACCCCTGTGCGCCGGCTGCTTACTTCGTCCCAGACACTCCCCCAGGCCCTGAGGACTCAGGTGGAGCCACTGACATGGCTGACCCCTGGCACTACCTCTCAGCTCCTGGTCATCCTCAAAGCATCCCAGGAGGCCGGCTTCCAGACCTCCACTCTACAGGTAAAGAAATGAAGACTGACGGAGGTCAAGCTTGCTCGAGGTCCCTCAGCCGGGAGTGGCACAGGGAGGATGTAAGCCCAGACCGCCTGTACTTCCAGGACCCATCTTCCTTCTCTGCTGTGGCCACCTCCACCCAGCCCAGGGGACAGCACACCCCACTCGAGAGCTTCCATCTCCTGGCACCAACCAGCAAAACAGGGCAAAACCCTGAAAGTTCTTGGTGCATTGCAACTGGGCGTTTGCAGTGACTGCTGGCCTGTGTGGAGAGACTAGGGGAAGAATCTCAGAGCAGCAGCTTGTCGGGGAATGTGGAGGGGAGGACTCCAGAAGAGGTGAAAGTCATGTGCGTGCCTCAACCCTGGAGTGGGAGCTCCCCAGGAAGGGGAGGGGGCTGAGGTCAGTGACTCCTAGATTTGAGCAGGTATTGCTGACTGGTGGGTTGGATCAGAAATGATCTGGGACTGTAATAGCTTCTTGGGCTCCTGCATATGATACAGAAAGTATGAAACAGGGCCAGGAATCTGTATTTTTTACCTCTCACCCCCATTCTGATGCTCAGCCAGGGCTGGAATGGAGCCCTCCTAAGCCTGTAGTTGCCCTGCTGCATAGGTATATCCACCAGCAACTTGCCAGGATGGGTCCAGAAAGCAGGCTCACGGGCTACTCGAGCCCAGAGGTGGGGGCAGTGCAATCACAGGGGCTGGGTGGATGGAGAAGGCCCACAGTGGCAGCTTCGGCTGGGAGCAGCATCTCTGCACTGTGTCACTTGTACCCCAGCCTCTCTCCCAGCTGTTCCCCTCACTGCTCAGAGCTCAGCGTGCAAGAAGGGTCCTCCACTGTGCTCTTACAAGGCTTCTGAGACCTGGGATGGCCTGCTGGGCCTCAGATCCCTCGGGGAGGCCATTGCGGGGCTCTTGCCTGTAGCCCGCAAACACCCTTGTTTAGCGTCCTTCTGCCTTTAGGATGGGACTAAGACAGCATTGCCTCTCTCTCGCAAAGGACAAGTGGGTTTTCTCACATTTGCTGGAACAGTGGACAGGAGTACCCTGTGGACAGATCAAGGCTCTATTTGCTGAGTCCTGTCTTTCAGCTGAATTGGAGCAACCGTTAGACTCAGTGACAGGTAGCACATGGTCAAGGTGACCAGGGACAGAGACCTTGCCCAGACCCTGTTCACTTGAAATAACAAGGATTTTCCTCCACTCATTTCCTGGGATACCAAAACAGAATGGTTCCTTGTGCCAGAAGGGAAGGTCCGATCCCCTTGGCAGATCCTGTGTCATTACGAGTTTTATTGGGTTCAATGTCATAAAACACCACAGCCATGGAGACCTATAAAATGCCCCAAACATTTCCCTTGCAAAAGTCAGACCAAGGAGTTGAATTATTTCCAAGGTGCAGGCTTCTCCGAGTGATGGGAGACTCTGAATCCACCTGGGTCGGGCCCAGCTGCTCCATTACCCCAAGCCCCCTTCACACAGGGTTCTCATGCAGTGCGCGGCGGTGGTGTGGACTGCCCGCCAACCACACTTAAATCACATGGAATTCAATAAACGTCCACAACCTGTTCTGAGCACCACTCTATAACTCTGGCTAACTATTTAGAAGGCACTTTGGGAATGCAATGCCTCAAAGGCCTCCCTGGATCACTTGGTATGAATTTTGCAGCCCAAGGTGCAATCTTGTACGAGTCACTTCATCTCATTGCTTCTGTCTCTGTGCAGCGAGGGCTGTGGGTGGATGATCTCTGAGTTGCCTCCAGCCCTAACATTCAGGGGCTATGATTGCATCGCAGATTTAGGGGATGCTGAGGGACAGACAGCCTGGGCTCTGCTCACAGCTGCAGAGAAAAAGTGTGCAGCCTGGAGATGGTCCAGCCCTGGCACTCTCATGCCCTAAAGGAGCCTGGGGGTAACACAGGGCTCCATCAGGAATGATGCTCTGGTTTCTCTTCGTCTCTCCACTCCCTCTCAGTCTCCACTATGGTCCACGAATCACCAAGGTCTTCATTGCTGCCAGCATCAGCCTTGTACCCCTGCTTTTCCATCTCCCCCTTCCTACCATCCACTCCCACTTCAAGACACAGAGGTCCTAGTTCATCAGCCAACTGCGTGTGGTGCATTGAGGACAAGCCCTGGGACCCAGCATGCTCTGTAAGGCTCAAGGCCAGAGACCAATCTAGGCCGTGGGCATGGACAGTAGGGATCTCGTAGGAGGATAAAACAAGAAAAGTAAATATTTTATCAAGGACAAAAAAGAACTTCAAGAGACTCTTGCTTCAGACTTCCATGAATAAATAATTCTTTTAGAAAGGCAATCATGTTATGTGGCCCGTAAGACCTTAAAATTGAATAATCTGACCAGCCGCGGTGGCTCACGCCTGTAATCCCAGCAGTCTGGGAGGCCGAAGCGGGCAGATCACTTGAGGTCAGGAGTTTGAGTCCAGCCTGGCCAACACAGTGAAACCCCATCTCTACTAAAAATACAATAATTAGCTGGGCATGGTGGTGGGTGGCGCCTGTAGTCCCAGCTACTCAAGAGGCTGAGACAGCAGAATCACTTGAACCCAGGAGGGGGAGGTTGCGGTGAGCCGAGATTGTGCCACTGCACTCCAGCCTGGGTGACAGAGCAAGACTCTGTCTCAAACAAACAAACAAACAAACAAACAAAACCAGAAGCCTGTGTAATTTGCAGTAAAATTTTAAAATCTCTCTGAGCCTCAATGGCTTTATCTATAAAGTAGAGGGTGGAAATATGTTTTCTGCCTGCCTTAAAGGATCAAATTGATAATACTAAAATAATTTGTAAAACATGAAGTCCCATGTAAAAATCTCTGTTGAGACCCAATTGAACCTAAATGATTAGAACTGTTGGGCTTTCAGACTATCCACATCTGTGTCAGATGGCTGACATGTCGTCAGAGTGATTTCAGGGTGGGGTTTAGGATGAGGAATTTTACGTGCTTATAATGATATTGGCTAGACCTTGTTAAGAGATCATAACAAGTTCTGGAAAAGAGCTAAACAAACAACACAGTTTTCTGTGGTGTCCTCCACAGGTCTGCTTGAAGAACTAGTCTTCGTTCACGAGGTCATCCACACATCACCAACTCTGTACCCATTAAGTCATCCCTTCTTCTGATCCCACAGCGCTTCTTACAGACCAGTAGCATAGAACTTGCGTGTCTGCCTTCTAAACCAGACTCCTCCTGAGCTCTTCAAGGAAAAGCCATTTTGTTTGTTTGGTTGTTTATCTTTGTATTTTCAGGCCCCATCTTACCACTTGATACATTGTAGACATGCAGTAAATCTTTCTCTTCTTTGAACGAATAAATTAAATAATCAAACAATCACAGAAAACCCAAACGTAAGAAAATGCTTACTTTTCCACCTCCCGACAGCATCCACTGCCAGAAAGAGTAAATAGTTTCATTTACCAAGACAATGGTGGAAAGATGTCATTCATACTCCCAACCAGTGTTATCCTAAATATTGATTATGGATCATTAGCCAATACTTTGGGGTCAAGAGGGCACATTGATCTCATGTTGAATGTTGCACTACATCTAAGACGCCCAAAATGAAAATATAATTTTCTCCTTTTTGTTGCATGACTGTTTGCCGTATTTCAGGAAGTCCATCCCCTTTAAAGACTGCTAGTTTTCAACAATAATAAGTGGGAAACCTAGCAGAGATTCCCAGAGGAAGAAAGGAGAAGAGAAATTGAATTACACCCCATGTTCTTTGCTCCAGGTATACACACTTGTGTTTAAGGAAATTTAAGACAGAATTTCTAAGAGAGAAAGCAAATCAAACTTTTTTAGGAAGTCAAACCCGCTGACTGGTGCCAGAGTTTGTTGTTAACAGAAACTGATTTTTTTTTTAATACTTTAAGTTTTAGGGTACATGTGCACAACATACAGGTTTGTTACATATGTATACATGTGCCATGTTGGTGTGCTGCACCCATTAACTGGTCATTTAGCATTAGGTATATCTCCTAATGCTATCCCTCCCCGCTCTCCCCACCCCACAACAGGCCCCGGTGTGTGATGTTCCCCTTCCTGTGTCCATGTGTTCTCATTGCTGTGTGAAGACAAAAGACCGAGCTGTATTCAGGAATTCAATGAGCTGAAGTCTCCCACTCCGTTGGGTGGAACTTTTGGGTTTGGTCTCTTGAATTTCAAGGTTTCTTTGGCTCCTTCAGCCTCAAATAGTAACATTTCAGTTTGGTAAACACAGCTCACCTCCTATGGTGAGTGTTTGTAGCAGGAAAGAACAATTAACTAACCACAAATATTTGTGTGTCAGTCTGACTCCCTGGTGAGAAATGCAAAGCTTACGGGGATCCATGTGTTTTAAAATGCCAAAGCATTTCCTTTAGTTAAGAACCACGGACGGCCATAATCAAGGCAGAATCTCGTACTTTAACACATTAGCAATTAGCTTTGGTTAAAAAAGTAGAAATAGAAGCAACTGCCTTAACAAAGAGGCACTTTATTTATGTATTTATTTATTTATTTATTTATTTATTTATTTATTTATTTATTTGAGATGGAGTCTCTGTCATCCTGGCTGGAGTACAGTGGCGCTATCCCGGGGATAATATATTCCCTATCCCATTACTGGACCTCTGTATGTAGGCAAAGATCTTTCGATTTCTTTCATTTCAATCTCGGATTCCCAGAAAGGGGGAAAGAGACAGAGAGAGAAAGCTGGGTTTTTTAAAAAACATTTTTGGGGCCACAGCCCCCGTTGAGAACCTGATGGAACTACAGACACTATCCCTATAAAATACACTTATCACAAACATGCCAAATTTTGTGCTCAGCTTCAGGACCTCTCCCCCGACAAAGCCCCACAATCATTCATGGACTTCTGATTAGAAACCCTGGTTTAGATGATGGGACAAATGTACCCAAAGCCTTGGGGTTTGTTTCCTTATGAGTCATTTCATTTCACAGAGAGGAAAGTCTGCTCTCTGGCCAAAGACCACACCAGTAACCCTGGCCAGCAAATATGGCCGTCAAGGAGCTGGAGAAAAGAGATGAAAAACTCAAGTCACTATCACACTGACTTTAAACGCAATTTAAAGCTTACCCCACGCCAGCCCCCAAATGAATGTTTCATCTCCCCATATCATCGTAATTCCTTGAAGGGATTAGGAAAGAACACTCTCCAGCTCCACGATGTAATTCAGAATGACTTTGCAAGCTGCATTTATTTTTTCAATCATCACCTGCTATGGTGATACAAAAATATGGAAGCAAACGAAACACCTGATTGAAATGGTGATAGAGTTCACACAGTGAAATATTATGCAGGCCCAAAAATGATCATTTTGAGTCCTCAAAAGTGATCAAAAGTAGCAGTGGGAAAGATGCTTATGTTATAATAAAAAGAAAGAAAAAGAAAAGAGAAGAATCTAAGGTGCTATGTCTTTATGATTCCAGCAATGAAAACTGCGCATCAGATAAATCAAAATGGGTAGCTCTTAGGTAAAAGTGTTAGGTTGCCAGTGTTATTGATGGTTTATATCTATTTTCAAAATTTTCTAGGGTATTATATAATGTTTACAGTTTAAAAGTCAGGAGAAAATGACACATCTGTACAAAATCAGCCTGTTCTTCCAAGTGGCTGTGGCCAGACTGCCCCTCTAAGTGGTCCAGCTCTTTCTGTGGCTTCTCTGGTGATTAGGCTGAAAAGGCAGCCGGGTCGCCACAGACCCGGCAGAGCACCCCCAGGCTTAGACAACCACAGAACCCGAGCTGGGAGACTGGAAACACTGGCAAGGGCGCAGTCACATCCCAGCGCCCACCCTGCTTCCTATCAGCCCCCGTGCAGTTCAAGTCTGCCGCACAGAGACTGGCTCATGGAAGCTGGTGAGGCATTTCCATGTCTAAATCCACGTGGGCCTCTGATTTTTGGATTCACGTCATCCATGAATTGGCTGTGAGTCAGATATCAATGACCTGTCCAGGGCAACAGCCCTGTGGATGGTGGATGGTAAAGTCCCTGGGCTGCCAAGCCCCAGGCCTGGCTGGCTTCTTGCTGGCATCAGCTGATGCTGGAAACCGAGCTGGGGTCCCGATGACATCCCTTCGGGTGCTGTGAGGTTAGCTGCTCCCACAGCAGCCACCGAGAGAGAGGATTGCCAACTTTTCGTGCGGTGTAACCTAAAGGAGGGGTAGCAGCTTCAACAGTTAGGCAGCCACTGTGACCTGGTTAAGGGTTATGGTCAGCACCTGAGTCATTGTTGTGATGCCTCCTAAGTAATAGCAGTGCCAGCTGCATGCAGCTCATGGCCTGCTTGCTCCCCACAGGCTGGGCTGCTAACGACCTCCCTTGCCTGCAGCTGGGGGGAATTGATGAGTAGGAGGCACAAAAGGCGCCCAGCATTTCCTTCCCAAAGCTCTCAGTGGATGGGCAGGCACCTCCCTCGAGCCCTGAGAAAACCCCTCCACCACGGCTCCTCTGGCCTCTGCAAATGTCAGTTGCTCCCTTGTCTGATGGCCCCAAAGGGCAGGACCGGCCCCCATCACAGTTGCGTTTGGGTCAGAAGGAGAGATGGGTGCACACAGCTGACACTACAGTGGCTGTCTTATTTCTGCCGCCCGAGGCCCAGCACAGTGTCTGGCTTTCTGCACATCCCCGTAAGTAATGATTGACTAGTGACAGTTCCAATTCCAGGAGACCCGAAGGCAGAGGGAATGCGGGAGAGGACTGACATGAAGTACCTTCTGGTATAGGGTGGTCAGAAGTGGAAAGCAAGGAAGAAGTGAAAAGCCACGGGTGGGGGCTGGAGCTACTGCGTGGACAGGAATGTGGCTCACCAAGAGGGGGCCAAGGAAGGTCCCACACATGATGGCTTCGCCATGGGGCCATGTCTTCAGGCAAACTTGTGCCAGAGCCCCCTAGCGGAGGAAAGCTGTTCTGGATCCCAGGTTTTCTGAGGCCTACAGTCACCTAGCACGCGCCCCATGTGAGCACAGCTTGAGCTCACCCGTTCTTGGCTCTTGATCTACCCCCAGTAGCTGTGCATGTGTCTGCAAGCCACGGGTGATTTCCCAGCATGTGCTTAGCCTTCGCGCCGTGACACGCTTCTCTTGCCTTACAGTAGTGGCAGAGGCGGTGGTTAATGAAGACAGATGGAGGGTTCAGAGCACTGGCTTTGGGGTCAAACAGTCCTGAGCCTGCACTTTGGCTCTAGTCCTTCCCAGCCCTGGGCCAGTGGGCAGGTTCCTGATGACATCACGGGGCTGTTGTGAGGACCACATGACTTTAGGTTTGAGAAGCACCCAAGGCCTGGTGATGACCCCCTACTTGACCAGTGTGCCTGATGTGCCACACAGAGCCACCAAAGGGTGCACTGGAAGGCCGTTGACTCTACCCCCGATTAGCAGTGCTGGGCCCTGAACCCCAGAGAGAGGAAGTCACCCAGCCAGACAGCAAGGCCAGTGCTCACGTGTAGAAATGCTGGCTCGGGGAGAAAACTAGCTTGCCATGGGGTGACTGTCTTTAGCAATCTCTTCCCTGCTCTCCTGGCCTCAGGTTCCCCCTCCAGTCCTAATCCAGGTCACCATCCTGCCTCACTGTCATCTGCACCCTAGGCCTGGCTGATCTTTGGCACCCACTGAGCTGTATGTTGACATGGACCCAGTAACCCCCAAACCCCCAAGCTGGTCCATTGGGACTTTCTGATTCGCCTCTTCTAAATTCCAAGTGCTTGGCCACTCCTTACCTGGACCTTTTATCTCCACTGGGTCCACTAAGCTCCTGTCTCTTCAAAGTTCTTTTAAAGCGTGACTTGCCTTCTTTTAAAAGCTCCCAAAAGCCCTCAGGGTGGGTGGTGTCTTCCCCTGCAGTTGGGGTGGTCATCCCTGCCTTTCTTGAGGGCCATGACAGGCCCGTCCCCTGGGAGGATCCATTAGTGACATCTACATGGTGGTCCAGGCCAGGGCCACTGCAAATCCAGGACCACTCCCAGGGGCAGGGTTTGCCAAGGTGGGAAGGTAGGACATTCTGCCTTATTCTTTTACAATCCTAGTCCATCGTCCTTCCAATTCTAACTAGTTGTCAAGCTGTCCTTCCTCCCTAGCCCGCTTCAGTTTCCTTCCCCACTTCACTCTTCCTCTGCCAAGGGTGTTGTTACTTGGCTCCTGGCCTTGTAAAATCACAGTGTACATTTATACTGCATGTTGGAAAAAACATCAATGTCACAAGCTCAGTGATGCTTACACACTGCTCTGTCAGCAGATGGGACAGGCTACCTGCCTTTCTGAGATTGTTCTTCCTCCTATTTGTTATTTTCCCTACCCGCACCTGAACCATTCACGATGGTTCTGCACCCATTGTCACAGGAAAGCAGAAAGAGAGACAAAAGAACTTTCCTGCTTTCAGCCCGTGATGCAGATCTTTCAGCCCGTGACTGAGAGATCTTGTTGAGTCAGTTTGGGCAACCGCGTCTCAAGTGGCCTCCCTGAGAGTCCCACCTGGGGGGCCCCAGAGTGGGAGGATGCATCCCTCAACCTGGGATGTGGCCTGGAATCTCTGAGAGGGGGCTTGGCCAGGGTCAGAGGCTGACATGACATTCTAGCAGCCCCCTGCATGGACTGATGACAAAGACCAAATAGGCCACCCCAGAATTCCTGAGACTCATGAGGCTCCCAGAACTTAGACCCCACCCTGGAGAAAGGTATGAAGACCCTGAATTGAGAGGTCAGTTTCCTCTCCCCAACAGAGATGTAGCTATTACCAGATAGCTTTTCTGTTTTTGCACACCAAGCTGTGGACTGAGATTCACACTCAACATACGTAAATCCAGTCTGTCAGTCATTCACCTGAGCCCACCCACACCCCTCCAGAGGCCAGGAACGCCCTCATAAGAAGCCTAACCTGCCCTTCCACCTTCCATGAAACTAGTGCCATGGCCAACAGTTACAAGGATTCAGCACATTCTGTTGTTTTCTTTTTTTCTAAAAAATGATAAATGAGCCAACTACATCTTTCTGAGTGTCTTCAGGCTGTGACCTTGGGAAGGCAAAAAGCCCTGGCATTGTCCTCCCCTAGGTCTGCAAATAGGACATAAAACAGCTTCAAGCACATTCAAGGTCACCTTAAAGACACCCCACGATGTGGCAAAGAGACAGCTCCAGAGCCAGGCTGGTAACCTTCTGCGTGACCTCAGGAAAAGCACTCAGCTCTCCAGGTGTGCGGTGGGGAACCAGGATGAAGAGCCACGTGCACCTGGCACCTGGCCCAAAACCTGTTCTACCATCTGCCTCCCTGTTGGGCCCACTGTGGGAAGAGATTTGTCATGCCTGGCGGGGACAGGAGCAGGGCGAGAGGAAGATGGGGAGAGGTCTTATCGGAGGCAGGGACATTAGGACTGGACCTCCAAGGATACATAGAAGCTCTCTGAAGGAGATGGGCATTTCAGGCAGGGAGTGGAGTTGGCAAAAGCTCTGAAGTGTCATGTGTGCCAGGGAGTCCTCAGGGACAGGACAGATGGGCCCAGCGTGCTTGGAGAAGAAAGGAGACCCAGACTGTCCACTCCCTGGAGGCCTCAATGGGAGACTTGGCCCTTGTTCTCAAACACAGAGGAGTTTATGGTGGCTTTACCCTGTGCGGTGATAGGGCCACATTTGAGTTTTAGAAAGACCTTGGCAGCCACACATGGGATGAATTGGAGCATCAGATTCTGAAGACAGAGAAATGAGCTCCAAGGATGCGGAACTGCCCAGTCTAGAAGGGGGAGGGCCTGAACGAAAGCAATGGAGCTTGGGAGCAAATTGGAGAAAGGAGAGAACAAGTGTTATTACAACTTTGCCCTCACTCAGGGACACCGGCCAGAGGCTACAGTTGGCCCTGCATTGAGTTATGAGTGTCCAGGTCACCCTCTGGCTTGGCAGGTCACCATGCTGTGCTCAGGGACAAGGGGTGGAGGGAGCGGGTGCTGTCTCCCTTCTCCAGGCCCATTCCAAGTAGAAAACAGAGATCTCTTGCTATTTGACAACAGAAAACTTTGTACAGTAGAAAGAATAGAAAGAACTTTGTGAAGGATGATACTCAAGTGACTAGATTTCTACAAAATAGATGAGGTTTAGGAAACTTTATGGCACAGAATTTATTTGTTCAGTTTTGCTGCAATAGTATTTGTCATGGTAGGTGGTTTTGCTGTTGTTTTTGATAAGCATGTAGATGTACCTGTATGTGTGCCTGTGTATCTTTGTGTGTTCCTCTGTGTCTAGGTATTTCTACATGTCTGTGCATGTGTGTATATGTGTGGGTGTCTGTGTGTTTCTGTGTGTATTCTTATGTGTATGTGTCTGTATCTATGTGTCTGTGTGCATGTATGTGTCTGTACGTGTCTCTGTGCATGTGTGTTTGTGTGTACATATGCTCTGTATCCATTACCCCCTTGCCTGAAACATGGCCACAGAGATGTCCTCATTTTGGTGTTTCTTGTCGTAAAATCCTTGAAACAAAGTCCACATGGGCCACTTAGGCCAAACACCACATGCTGGAGAGCACCAGGGTGCCCAACACTAAATATGCCAGCACCCTTATCAGGCCTCATCTCAAGGGTGGGAACAGGGGGCACACTCCTCAGTCGCTTAGACCGTCCTCAAACAGCAAGTCACCATATTGGAGACAGTTTTTGAGCACATGCTCCATGTAGCCTGAGCTAGTAGCCCCTCCCGCCTGCAATTAACTAAAAGTATTTAGCTACGAAGACTGATAAAAGATCTTAAACGCACGTCCCTGTGATGGCATTACACACGGATAACCAGCTTCTGAAGGCGCCTACTTCTCCCCCTTCTGAAGGGCCTACTTCTTCTTCTGTGGCCCTTTCCTTGGCCACAAAGGGGTGTGGCTTTTGTGCAGGTGAATGGGATCTTTTCTTTTTTTTTTCTTTTCTTTTCTTTTCTTTTCTTTTCTTTTCTTTTCTTTTCTTTCTTCCTTCCTTCCTTCCTTCCTTCCTCCCTTCCTTTCTTTATTTTGAGATGGAATCTCGCTCTGTTGCTCAAGCTGGAGTGCAATGGTGCGATCTCAGCTCACTGCAACCTTTGCCTCCTTGGGTTCAAGCAATTCTCCTACCTCAGCCTCCTGAGTAGCTGGGATTACAGTCGCACACCACCACACCCAGCTAATTTTTGCATTTTGAGTAGAGACAGTTTCGCCATGTTGGCCAGACCAGTCTCAAACTCCTGACCTCAAGTGATCCGCCTGCCTCGGCCTCCCAAAGTACTGAGATTACAGGTGTGTGCCACTGTGCCTGGATGTGAATGGGATCTTTCTAAAGCCAGGACCTAAGCTCCAAGAAAGGCTGGGGAGACTTTAGCCCCAGGGTAGATCCCTTCATCTCCCGGCCAGGAGCCTCTCTGGGGGTAGTTTTGATTCCCACTTGCTAGTTCCCACAGGACACTTGTCTGGGTGGCAACGTGGAGTGCCGGAACCTGGAAAGATGCACTTGACCAGCAGGGGAGGGTGGAAGATGGCCCCTTTCACTGCGAGCCCAGGGCAGCCAGCAGCCTCAGCAGAGGTGAGGCCCAGGCAAGAAAGAGGACAGAGTGACCTCTTCCATCCTCCACACCTGCACATAGGAACCTCCAGTCTGGTGACCAAGAGAGCAGGTGTCTCCTTGCAAGTCTCAGCCCTCAGACCTTGCCAAGAAAGAGCACCCTTGCTTACTTCAGACAGCACACAGATCCCTGGTCCACGGCAGGAAATCACCCAGCCACATGCTCACACTGACCTGGTGGCAAAGGCCTCTCTGAAAAGGGTCACCCTGTATAAGGCTTGGGCACAGGATGGAGCAGAAAAAAATAGAGCATCTCACGTCCCACCTGACACAGGGGCAGGTGACAAAGCTGCACCTCTCCCTTTGGGAGTTACTAGTCGTCTGGGTGTGCCAGCACCCCCAGATCTTTCTGATCAGAGGAAACCAGATAAAAGCCATAAACGCACTTTGCAGAAGAGTGCCCACCTACACACAAGCTCCCATCCAAGATCAGGAGCTGACAGGCTACCAGGAGACTCATCAGAAGCCCAGGGGCTAGAAGGTCAGAACCAGCTTAATCTATTAAGTGCAGAACATCAAATGTCCTTTTAGATGCTACGTGTGGTTGTGTGCTTCACACATACACAAACATTCTCTGCACTTGAACAACCTCAAGCATCAGGGCCTCCTTCAGTTTTGCACCCCAGGTGTGTCTTTACCTCCCTCTGGTCCTGGCTCAGCATCCCAGGTATCAATCTGTGCAAAGAGGCCAGCAGAGAGTAGAGATGAGAAGGAGCCCAAGGGGACATCCTTGTATCCCATGGTTGTGGAAAACAGTAGCCGTTTTGCGAGTGGGGACTTGCGAACCCCACAGTGGCTGGCAGCAGCTGGTGTAGGGACATGACAGCCATGGGGACAGGTTCTCCATCCAGGCCCACAGGCCCACCCCCCTTCCCCTGCCACCGAGCACAAAGCAGGGTCACCCACCTGGGCCTCCGCTGTCAGGCTCGGGACTCAGGAGAGCCCAGGAGGCAAGTTATTCTCCACTTGTCCCCACTTGGCTGCAGGCAGGACCCTGATCTGCAGTGTGGCCTCAAGACACTCGGCCTCCCCGTCAGTGATGCACTGGGGGCCAGCTTGTGCCGGTATGCTAGAGCCGGTTGTTAAATTCTCAGGAATTTTGTGAGCTGAATTATTCAAATCATTATGCAAGATTAAGGTATAAAAACTATACGGGCCGGGCGTGGTGGCTCATGTCTGTAATCCCAGCAGTTTGGGAGGCCGAACTGGGCAGATCACTTGAGGTCAGGAGTTCAAGACCAGCCTGGCTAACTCTACTTAAAATACAAAAATTAGCCAGGCATGGTGGCGGGTGCCTGTAATCCCAGCTAATTGGGAGGATGAGGCAGGAGAATCCCTTAAACCCAGGAGGTGGAAGTTGCAGTGACCAGAGATCGTGCCACTGCACTGCAGCCTGGGCAACAGAGTAAGACTCCTTCTCAAAGAAAAATAAAAAAGAAAGAAAAAGAAAAAAAAACTATATAAAATTAAAATGATAAAAAATTAAAGTTGAATTATACAAGATACAACTAAATGGATTCTATTAAAACAAAGGTTATAAATACTTAAACCTCATCACTTCCTGATTATTTTTACTGCATCTTAATAATAGCTATGCTTTGAGGTTCTTTAACTGACTGTGTCTATAAGGCGGAAGTACTCTATCGTGCTGTGCTGCTGCGCATCTCGAACCCATGTTCACGCAAGTCATGTTAGCAACTTGAAATTGGCCCTGGTGGGAGTATTTATACAACAGGAACAGGCAAATGCTACAGGTCGGCAGTGATTTGTTTCATGGATTTTCTATGCTTAAAAGAGCATCTTGTCTGTAGCTAGAACACTGTGAGTAGCACAAAACATTGAGGAAACTTTTCTGAATATTGAAAAACTACTACCCAGTTCAACAAAGAAGCCGCTCATGGCACTAAGGCTGCAGCCTGCCCCAACTCTTTGTTGTTTCACTTTGATCTGCTCCTTAACATGAATGAACATTTCAGTGTTTGTGCCAACACCACACTTGCTCATCTGCTGCAACCAATGCTTGGCTACGGATATGACAGTGCAAAGTCACGAGAGCTTTCTATGAGACTCAATCACCTCTGCGGTATTTAGGACAGAGACTATTGCATATTTTGTTATTATTTGTAAATTAAGTGCTACGCATCCTTTATATCAGTACATGTTACTATAAACTTATGTATGTATACAATACATTTGTTTCCTGGAAAGCTGGTTGTTAAACGTTTACCAGGACGCCATGCTCTTCATCTACAAGATGCCTATCTTGACCTCACACTTCCCCCAGTGTGCTGGCAGGTGCCAGAGAGCCCATCAGATAGACAGACAGACAGACACCACAAAGTAGAAATGATTCCTTTCCATGCTAATGTGTTAAAAAAAAAAAAAAGAGAGAGAGTTTAGCCTTTCCCATAAAGCACCAAATAAAATCAAGAAAATGGGCTATGACTTTTGACCCTATTTTCGTGTGTAATACTTTTTAAAGGATCCTTTTATTTATTCAAATAAAATAGTAAATAAAATTAAAAGTATCATTTAATTTTTAATTTTTTTCACTCTGTCGTCCAAGCTGGAGTGCAGCGGCAGTCTCAGCTCACTGCTGAGATCTCCTGGGTTCAAGCAATTCTCCTGCCTCAGCCTTCTGAGTAGCTGGGATTACAGGTGCCTGCCACCATGCCCAGCTAATTTTTGTATTTTTGGTAGAGATGGGGTTTCACCATGTTGGCCAGGCTGGTCTCGAACCCCTGACCTCAAGCAATCCTCCCACCTTGGCCTCCCAAAGTGCTGGGATTACAGGTGTGAGCCACCACGCCTGGCCAAAATAAAAAGTATTATTTAACTTTATGTAAAAATCCAATTGCACCACAGAAATGGCAGGAATAAAAGAATCTTAAAATGAAATAATTTATATAAACTTTAACATAAAAGGTAGAGCCAGGCATGGTCACTCATGCCTGTAATCCCAGCACTTTGGGAGGCTGAGGCAGGCAGATTGCTTGAGCTCAGGAGGTTGAGACCAGCCTAGACAACATGGTAAAAACCCATCTCTACAAAAACCAAAATTAGCCAGGCGTGGTGGTGCACACCTGTGGTCCCAACTACTTGGGAGGCTGAGGTGGGAGGATTGCCTGAGCTGGGGAAGTGGAGGCTGCAGTGAGCCATGATTACACCACTGCACTCCAGCCTGGGAGGCAGAGCGAGACCCTATCTCAAACAAACAAAAACAAAATAAAACAAAACAAAAAAACAGGCCAGGTGCAGTGGTTTATGCTTGTAATCCCAACACTTTGGGAGGCCAAGGCAGGCAGATCACTTGAGGTCCAGAGTTTGAGACCAGCCTGGCCAACATGATGAAACCCTGTCTCTATCAAAAAAATACAAAAATTAGCAGGGCGTGGTGGTGCACACCTGTAGTCCTAGCTACTCGGGAGGCTGAGGTGGGAGAGTTGCTTGAACCCGGGAGGCGGAGGATGTAGTGAGCTGAGATCAAACCATTGCACTCCAGCCTGGGCAACAGAGTGAGACCTTGTCTCAAACAACAACAACAAAAACAAACACCCCCCAAATCAATCTAAGGTGGAATATGTGTAAAAATAAGCTATTTCTATAACTGTAATAGACTCACAGCTGGACATTTGACTGCAGGTTGGCTCCCTCAGTGAATTTTTCTGTTTTGTACACAGATAGGGAACTAATCCTTAGTGAGCACCCTCACTGTATATCAGGCTCTTTCAGAAATGCTGTCCTGCTTGTATTTGTTTATATATTCATTTCCTAGTGTTTCCAGAAAAGATTTGAGACCGCTTATAAAAATACATACAATACAACAGGATAGAAAAACAGATAAAGAAATTAGACCAAAGGGTAAGTTAGGGCAGAAAAAAAAATGTGTATAAAGCTGGTGCACAGAAATACAAACTGTGACATGCTGTCACCAAACTGCTAGTGGTTAGATGCAAATTGGGTTCTAAGTGTCCTGGAGTCCAAGCACAAAGAAGAAAATAATCAGTTTGAAGAGTCACAGTGTCTGTAAGACATCCATTGCTCCAGAGAGGCATGGATTTCCTGGATCTGGAGTCTGAGAGTCATCCTCTCTGGGCTTCTCCTGTGGAGGTCCTGGGTGGAATGCGAACAGCTTAACGTCATCTCAGCAATAAATTCCACTGTGAGTTTCCAACCTCTGTTTCTTATGCAGCCTTCAGCACAAGCCACGGCAGTGTACCCATGCCAAGAAAGAATGCCCACATCTGACTCAGGAAATGAGATTCTCTCAGGATCTCAAGCACTGTGAGATCCAAACACACAGCTCTTGGACTGACTATCTGGATACAGGGGAAGTTCCCAAAATATAGTTACGTATTGCTTCACTACAGGGATCTGTTCTGAAAAATGTGTCATTAGGTGATTTTGTTGTTCTGCGAACATCGTATACAAAACTTAGATGGTAGAGCCTACTCCACCCCTAGGCTCTGTGGCATAGCCGGTTGCTTCTAGGCTACACACCTACACAGCCTGCGACTGTACTAAATACTGCAGGCAGTAGTAACACAGTGGTGAATATTTGTGTCTCTAAACATAGAACAGGTACAGGCAAAATACAGTGTCTTCATCTTATGAGACCACCATCATATATGTAGTCTGTGATTGACCGAAATCTTATGTGCCCTGTGACTGTGTCTAGGTTCATGGCTCTCAATCTTACTAAATTTACTTTCTCTTTTGAGAAACAACAACACCATGCTCTCCTTTGTGAGGTTTCAAAATGAATATTGGGCATAAAAGTAAATCAAAGAAGTTGTCATGTAAGATGTGTCTTTTTGAAGTACAAGGACCCCCTGGTGGTTCTGACATTGAGAATTGAGTGCACCCTGTAAGAAAAGTTGTGTGCTCCTCAGCTTCAACTCACCTAAAAATTAGGGCTTTGTAATTTAATTCTGTTAATCCTGTGATGTGCTATTATCAATGAATGAAGAAATAAGACTGAGAGGATATAATTAACCTACCCGAGACAGGTAAGGCTGCTCGTATACAGTGGGGTCAAACTATTATCATCTCAGGAAGGCACACAGTGACTTGCTCACATTGCCAGGGCTGAACCTTGCACTGGAGCCCTCTGGTTGACAAGGCCAGCCGTCTAACCACTACACTGCAGGACGAGACCACTCAGATGTGGCTGCTTTGTCTGACTTCTATGTCCAAGTCCTTTCCACTTCCTCATATCCACAACACGCTGAGAGAGAAAATTAAAGTAGTCTTCCTAGATATTTGACTGTGTGATTCCAAATATTTTGGGGTTCACAGACCCCTTTGGGAATCTGACAAAAACTGTAAGTACCCACCTACACAAAAGCTTGTTTACAAGTTCACGGAGCTCAGAGCACCAGGAAACTCATCAGGAATCCACAGACTCAATGCTCAGAACCCACTTCATCTATTAAGCACAGAACCTCAAATGCCCTTATAGACACCACATGGCATTGTGCGTTTCACACATACACAAACTTTTCCTGCACTTGAACGACCTGAGCATGGGAGCCTCCTTACATTTTGCATCCCAGGTGTGTCTTGTTTGCCTCCCACTGGTCCAGGTTCAGCATCCTAGGTGCCAAAGTGTGCAAAAAGGCCAGCAGCTAGTTGTGATGAGAAGGAACGTGAGAAAACTTCCTTGATTACAATGTGGAAAGCACCAGCGCTTTGATGAAGGGGTTGCACAAGCCCCACAGTGGACAAGGAGGAGCCTCGTCTATGTCTTGGGCTCTGGACCCCCATTCCGTGGTTCTGTTCAGTTCTCATGTCTGTGCTTGAGAGTGGGTGCAACTGCTCCCACTTCACACTCCCAGCTGGCAGGTGCAGAGCCAGACTGACCTGGCTGGCAGGAAGCCCCAATGCTTTCATCTATACCACACTGTCTTACAGGAAGTGGAATGTGCCAGAGGCCTCAGATGCCTCTTCTCTTTCTTCCAAGGGTCCTGTCAAAACCCCAGCATGCTGATGGCACTGGGGTGCACCACGATTAGGGATGATCATTCAATTATCTTTGCTTTTCCTCTTTCAAGCTTTCATCCTCATGTCTTAACCTTGATTTTCATTTAAGGTTTTGCCCTTGTGTCTTTAACTCAAGAACCACTTTACCAGATACCCCTGGTGGGCCAGGCACTGCGCTGGGTGCTGGGACCTGGAGGCACATGTAGGGCATGTCCTTGTCCTCAGGAGCTTTGGTCCAGAGAACCTGGCAGGCCTGCAAACCAGAGCCCTGGGTGTGTGCTGGTGGTTGCTGGGGACACACAAATGGGCTTGGGCACTGTGACTGGGAGGAGACATTCGCACCTGCCCTGGACGTCAGAGCAAATGCAAGTTGCCTAGGTGGGAAGGTGGGGAAGGGATTCAGGCAAGCAGGAGCACGCCAGGGAACATTCCACAAATGGGAGGGCTGCTGTGGGGTAGCAGCAGGCTGGCAGTGGGGTAGCAGATGTGACAGGAAAGGCACTGCAGGCCCACATGTAATCACCAACTTTTAGCTGTGATTTTCCTGTAAGAGTTTTGTGATTGATTTCCATCTCAGTATGTTGAGATTTCCATCTACGTGCTGTCTTCCTGCGGCTTCATCATTTTTTCTTCCTCCTCACCTGCTTTGGAAGCTTTTCTCTAATCAGGCGCAGCATCACCTTTGAGTAGGGCTCACCCGCTCTGCTGGGCCTGCAAGAGGGGCCAGGTTTCTCTGTCTTGCTGTTACCTCTCTATACACGTGAACCCTGCAAGCCAGGATGCTGGCCACCGGTGGCCAGTCCCCAAGGCTGCAGACCCCAGGCTGCAGGTGGGCTCACAAGGTCAGAATCCTCACTCAAATGGGATCTGGCCCTTTGAGTCCCCTCTCTACATCCTAGAGGCCACAGTTTACTCTCGAGGAAGGGCTGTCGAGCCCAGCTCACAGCCACTTGGCTGACCAGATTCTGTGGGGTGGTTGAGCCCAGAGGACGGCAGATTCCTGGCTGGAATTCTGTACTCCCCCAGGGGCCTGGGTCCTCATTCTCTCCATTCCTGGCTTTCTGCTTCCTTCCTGGAGAGGAGTCAGGTCTGGGTAGCTGGGCCTGTGCTTGGGGTGCCAGGAGCCTGCACCAGTGCAGTGAGCTTCGCTGGGCAGATGAGAGTGTATTCCGTCCTGCAGCCCCTGCCACAGAGCAAAGGCTCAAAAATGCATGCTGGGCCAGTCACAGTGACTCATGCCTGCAATCCCAGCACTGTGGGAGGCCAAAGTGGGAGGATGGCTTGAAGCCAGGGGTTGGAGATCAGCCCAGGCAACAAAGCGAGACCCCATCTCTTCAAAAAATAAGATTAAAAAATTAGCCAGATACAGTGGCGTACCTGTGGTCCCAGCTACTCAGGAGGCTGAGTTGGGAGGATCGCTTGAGCCCAGGAGGTCAGTGCTGCAGTGAGCGATGATCTCTTGCCACTGCACTCCAGCCTGGGCAACAGAGCAAGACCCCATCTCTGAAAAACAAAAAACATAAACGAAAAACAACCCCCACAAAACCCATTGGACACCAACAACAACAATATAATCATCCATGAGAAATACTATGAAGAGAGGCAAATACAGAGCTATTCTGGAATCAGGTAGGGGTTGGGAGAGAGAATGATGGATGGTCAAAAATTCAAAAGGCCTGCTATATTCCAGAATGTTCAAAGAGAAGGTGTGATCACCAGGCCATGAACGCCAGTTTTCCCAAGAATGCTCAGGATTTGGCTACTCCTGCTCTGAGGAAGAATGAGTCTAATTTTTTTTAACTCTTTATTTTGCAGTAATTTTAGATTTGGAGAAAAATTACAAGGGATAGCACAGAGAATTTCCATATTTCCTTCACCAGGTTCTTCTAATGTGAACACCTTACGTAACCATGGTACATTTGCCAGAACTAAGCAGTAATTGTTACCACAATATTAGCGAGACCCCAGGTCTTGTTAAAATTTCACCTATTTTTCCACTAATGACCTTTGCGGTGTTGCTTTAGGATCCAATACAGGATGCGAATTCTGGGTTTGGGTGTCCTGACCATCATGTCTCCTCTGATCTGTGACGCTTTGCCTGTCTTTCTTTGTTTTTCATGACCTTGACATTTTTGAAGGTGAAATATGTTGTGGAATCTTCCCCAGTTTGGATTTGTCTGATGTTTTCTCATGATTTGACTGGGGTTATGAGTTGGTGGGAAGAACCGCACTGTCGTGGCAGTTCACAATAGCAGCCCAGCTTATTCCCGGTGATGCTAAGCTTGGTCCCTTGGTGAAGCTGGCATCTGCAGGTTTCTCCTCTACAGAGCTACTATTTCTCCCTTTCCATACTCTTAGTCCAAACCTCACTCAAGGTGAGGGGAATTAAGTCCCACTCTCCCGAGGGAGGAGGATATGCACATATCACAGCAATTTCTTCTGTTACTGCAAACGCACAATTCCTTAGTTCCTTGGTAATGTGGGTGGATGAGGGTGAACTTCATCCACCCGCATTACCAGATAAATGGAAACGTTGTCAAAACCTTACAATTTACACAAATCCTTTCAAAATATGTGATCAACTATGCTTTCCTTTTCACAGTTGGTGTTTCCTGGTGAAATAGATCTCTTAAACAAGAAGATCATCATTACATCTATTCAGTTACCCCATTCCTGAATGCCTGAAAAATGGAACAACTTCATTCAGAAACAAACAAATAAAACGAAAGCAACAGTCATTTGCCTTGAGCCAGATGCTCCCCGCCTGTGACCACTAACCTCTGTCAGCTCTGCACAGTCAATATCACCTCCTATCAAGAGGCCGAGTGACTCGCCGGGAGCGCAGCAGTGGCCTGTGTGTGCCCGCTCAACCCCCTCTCTACATCCCACGTCCCTTCTCTCCTCTGTGGCACATTCACTGCCTTTTCCAAAAAGCAGAATCTACCCTGGATGGATGACCTTTTATAAATTAAAAATTCTCAAAACTGGAAATGCACAAACCATGGAGCAATCTATTCATAGCTGAGGCAGCGATCCATTCATGCCTCTTCCTCCGTCTGTGGCACCCACAGCAATGTCCTTGCTTGCTTGCCCCACTACAGGCCTTACAGCACCATTTGCACAATTTAAAGGAAGACGATAAAGAACCCGGAAGACGCAGGGCCTCACCTTGGCAATGCTTCAGTGGTGTTTCACCATAGCTCTTCAGATCCTGACACCCTTACAGTGGAGCAGGCTCCTAGCGACAACGAGCAACTTCCAACACCATCCTAAAGCAAAAGCCAGTCCCAGATGAATTCTTCTCATCTCAATCAGTTTTCATGGCTTGTGGCTTTCTGCCGGCAGCAGACAGAGGTGGCAGCACCCCCGGTCTGCGATCAGAGCCTCCCCAGTCCCCAGTGAGCAAGTGCAACAGGGGCCCCGCCCTCCAGCCGAGCCCTTCTGAAGCTCCTGTGGGCTCCCTGGGTTTGGGGGTATCCCTCTGCTCCAGGAAAACTCGTGAGGAAGGACCATGAGCAGCTGCCCTGTCCCTGGCCCTGGGCAACGTGGGTCACAATGCCCTTCTGTCACCAGAAAGTTTTCTCCTGGGGTTTTGGTTTAACAGCACGGCTGGTATTTTTTCTGCACCAAGTCCGGCAGAGTTAGCAAACCTCCATGCTGACTCTACAAGGTAATTTGCCCTGCCGTGTGGACAAACGCTGCAGATCTCATGGAGAGGGCTTGGGCTCTGCCATGTGCCATCTGTGTGCACCAGGGCAGCCGTTCTTTCAGCCTCACTGGTTTTGCTTTGTCTTTAAATGATGCTAATAATAGCTAGCTCACAGGATACTATCAGCATTAAATGGTAGAATGGGTATGAATGGTGGGCATAGAATTGGTGTTTGGTAAAAGCTAATTTCCCATGTGTTTTACAGTACCCTAGCCAGTAGTTAGTTGACTTGGATCTCAGAGCCTCTTCAATGGTGGAAATTTGCTTGGCTATGAAAACTCAGAGGAGTAGAGAACAAGAATAATGGAGGTAACGGGAGAAGGATCCCAACATCTAGAGTGGTGAGTGGTGTCTGGAGTGGTGGGTGGCATCCTGTACACAGCAGTCAAAGGACCAATGGGACCAAGAAGGCTTCTGTGATGACGTCAGAGTCTTGCTGGTCCAGCCAGACACAGTGAGCCACTGGTCAGCTGGTTCCTTTCCACTAGTGTCTTGATATTGGCTTATAAGAGGAAGTCACTCGGTGGGCTCTCTCTTCTCCCTTCATAGTCTTGGATCCTTGAGAGTGGGTGTGGGAGGCAGACAGGGTAGCTTCTACCCCATGGTCCAGAATGTCAGCTTTCTCAAGGAGTTCATTTCCTTGGATTGGACTGAGACAATACTGAGCTATGAGTTGCAGGTTTGACAGGTGTTCATGTCAATAGACGCAGCAACGCAGAGTTCTGGGGTTTTAAGACACTATGGAAATAATCTGTTTCACTTCCCCAAGGGGTTTTGTGAGAATAAATGGATTCATGCATAAAAAGTATCTATTACAGTATTTAGCACATAATAAACTGCAAATACCTGGAAGCTGATGTGAATGTGGCTAATTGCTTTAAATCCCAAAGCTGATCTTCTCCACGTGGTAGCAGAGGGCTCACAACAATGTCCAGAACCCTGGGCCTGCTCAGTCCATGGCAGCTCCTGTTAATTTACTCTTACATTCACTTCCTGATACCTACTACATGGATCCAAACATGAAACATGAGTTCCAAACTCTGCGAGCTTCTGATTTAAAAAGTGACTGATTTGAGATGAGGTAACTTAGTCTTCCTATTTCAATTCAATTAATGCAGCACTGTTTTTCTGAACACCTGCTCTGTGCTAAGCACCTGCTGGAGGCTGGGGATACCAACGCAGCTACACTCCATCCTCCTCTGAGAGTCTCAGCCTAAGGAGCTTGGAGAAGGGGCCTGATAAGCAGATCACTGCAGTGGAGCGTAGTAGATGTAGCCACAGAGGCCTCAACGGGGCACAGTGCTAGACCAGAGGCGGAGGCAATAATTCTATCAGGGGTCACTGGGGGAAGCTGCCAAGGAGAAGGCTTTGAACATGATTCGTGACTAAGACTCCTACAGACTCTCAGAGACAGATCCCTAGGCTGAGTCTTTTACTGAACCAGGATGTTGTGACGCTGCCTGAACCGCCTCTAACATTTTTTCAATAGGGCCTAAATAGCTGACGTTTGGACAACTTTTATATACTTGGACTTGAGGGTATAGAGAATGTAGTGGAGAGCAGGAAACCCAGCATCCTACAAAGAAAATACATGGTCTGTCTACCCAAGGTTAGAGTGGGAGGGGATGTGAGAGTTTGCAGGGAGGTGTGCTGGCCCTTATGTGATCTGTGATAAGACATCACCTTTATGCCCACCCCAACAGACAGAGGTTGGAAAATAACAATACCAGACACACACACACACACACACACACACACACACACACACACACACACACGATTCCAGCAGCCACTCAGAAAGAAAACAAGGAAATGACTTTGCTCATGGGTTCCAGATGTCTGAGCAGAAGTGAAAGTTAATTTCAGCCATTTTCACCCTCACAGTCACGGGCCCATGAGAAAGGCGGAAGAGAGGTGGGGAAAGGACCCCGGGGAGAAGATGGGAACAGTGACACTTGTTAGGGGAGGCTGGGGAGCCTTTTGGTAGAAAACCTCAAAGCGGTTTTCTCAAGGCGGGACTGAGACTAGACCCTAGCTCTGAAACGCCCAGTTCAGCGTTCAGCATCACTGGTTCTGCCATTTATTTTTGTACATTTGAGGTGACTTATGCAAAATTCAGCTCTCCTTCCATGTGCCTTCACCAGCCTCCTAATATCAGTACATCTCTGATCAAAATCAAAAGCTGTAGGCAATAAAGTAAGTGGAAGAAACATAAAACCAATCCAGTCCAAGATTCACCTCAGAAGGGTCTAAGAAGTTGGCCAATTTCTTTTTGAAGAAAACAAGTATAAAACTAGACAAAATTGTCAGAAACAACAATTTCTGGGTACTAGAAAATGTTTGTTTCTGGGTACTAGAAAAACCAAAAGCAGACAATGATCTGATAAGTGTTTAATCTTAAAAATGGCCTGCATCAGAATGGCCATGAGTCTACGGACATCTTGCCTGAAGCTCCCCAGCCCCTGGCCTGAGTGAGGAAAAGCACAGGTTACCTAATGGGAATGGTGGACTTGGTTTGAGGGCTGTCACTGAAAACCAGTAGCTAGGCAGGGAGCGGTGGCTTAAGCCTGCAATCACAACACTTTGGGAGGCTGAGGGCGGGGCAGATCACTTGAGGTCAGGAGTTCGAGACCAGCCTGGACAACATGGTGAAACCCCATCTCTACTAAAAATACAAAAATTATTTCGGTGTGGTGGTGGGTACCTGTAGTCCTAGCTACTAGGGAGGCTGAGGCACAGGAATCGCTTGAACCCGGGAGGCAGAGGTTGCAGTGAGCTGAGATCGCACCACTGCAATCCAGCCTGGGTGACAGAGCGAGACTCCACCTCAAACATAAATTAAATAAATAAATAGATAAAAAGAAAACTAGTAGCTATACCAGCAGAAGTTGGTAGATTTGGTCTGGGATGGGGGAGATGAGAATCTGCATTTTATGGGTTAAAGTTCATGGAATCAGTTCTAGGGAGAAAATAAAAATCTGCAGCTTTACTGGCTTGAGATTATAGCTTCTTTTCATGGTAGACAGGAGATCAGCCAGAATTGTGATGAGAACTTGGAAGTAAGCAAGCCATGAGAGGGCTGGGACAATAAACTCCCTGCACATCTCTGACTAGGGAAGAAACCCAAAAAGGCAGCAAAAAGTGAGAGCCAAGGGAGACCTGACGATGTGCAAAAATTTTTTTGTTTAGTTTAAAATTTATTTGTTTTTATGTATTTAAGGGGTACAAGTGCATGTTTCTTACAATGCATATATTGCATAGTGGCGAAGTCTGGGTTTTTAGTGTGCCCATCACCTAAATGGTAAACATTGTACCCAATAGGTAGTTTTTTTTTTCCTTCTTTGAGACAGGGTCTCACTCTGTCCCCCAAGCTGGAGTGCCATAATGTAGTCACAGCTCATTACAGCCTTGACTTCCTGGGCTCAAGTGATCCTCTCATCTCAGCCTCCAAGTAGCTGGGACCACAGGCACATGCCACCACACCCAGCTAGTGTTTTGTATTTTTTGTAGAGACAGGGTTTTGCCACAAAAAGTACCTATCGGAACAAATAGGTACTTTTTCAACCCTCACCCCTGTCTCACCCTCCCACCTTCCGTGAGGACTTGTACATGTGAATGTGTTTCTTCGGCCACACACAGCTCTGGCAGCAGAAGATGGGAGGCTTAGTTGTTCAAGGTACCTGAGCATAACTTCTGTCTAAATAATTGTCTCATCATCATATAATACAAGAATAGAGGACACCTTTAGGGAGCCAGACTGAAAAACAAAGAAAAATATTATAATAAAAACTGCACTGTAGTATCAGTGGCTGCACACCATGGAGGAGATTAATTCTGCAATTTAAGTCCAGAAAAGTTACTAAAACAGAAAACCAACAACTTTTAGGAAAGTGAATGGAGTCTAGAATCACTGCAATGTCTAGTTTTCAACCAGAAATTACTAGACATACAATGAAACAGGAAAGTGTGACCAGAAAAACCAACACAGACAGTAGATTAAGACACAACTTCAAAGAAGTTGTTATAGCTATGCTCAAGGAATTAAGGAAAAATGTTCAAAGAATTAAAGAAAATTTTGTTAACAGTGAACCAATAGATACTTTGGATAGATAGATGAAAATTATAAAAAAGGAATCACATGGGATTTCTACAGCTGAAAATTACAAAAATTCACTACATGGGTTCAAGAGCGGATCTGAGACGGCAGAAGAAAGAAGCTGTACATTTGAAGATAGAGCAGAAGTTATGCAATCCAAAGAACAGAGAACGAAAAGTTAAGTAAACAGAGCCTTAGAGACCTGCCAGACAATATAAAGTGTTCAAACACAAATGTAATAGGAGTCCCAAAAGGAGAGGAAAGAGAAAGAGGCACAGAACAATTATTTTTTTAAAAAGTTGAAAAGTCTCCATGTGAGTAAATACCATTAACTTACAGAGTCAAGAAACTGAATAAACCCAAGGTAAAAAACAAAAACAAAAACAAAACAAAAAAAAACTTAAAGAGAATCACACCTAGATGTCATAGTCAAAATGCCAAAAGCCAAATAAAGGAGATAACATTGCAAGCACTAAGAGAAAGAGAGAGAAACAGAGATACATCACATTAAAGACAACATGATTGGTGGTTGACTTCTCATCAGAAATAACGGTGACTGGAAGGTGGTGGAATGACATGTTTAAAGTGCTGAAAGAACAACAAAAACAAGAACAAGAACTTTCACCTACAAATTTACTATCTGATAAAACTACCCTTCAAAAATTGAGGTGAAATAAATATTTTTCCAGATAAACAAAACAGGGAATTTAGTTCTGTTGGACTTACACTACAAGAAAAGTTAAAGGCAGTCCTTTAAAATGAAAGAAATTAATATCAGATAGTAAACCAGTTCACAGAAAGAAAAGAAGAGCACTGGGAATGGTAAGCATGTAGGTAAAGTGAAAATATATAATATAATAAAAATATAAAATGTATATGTATACATTACTTTTTCTTGTCTTATTTTAAAACACACACACAATTATTTAAATCAGAAATTATAATGCCATACTGTGGTTTTATAACTGTGGGTTTATAACACAGTATGGCATATGTACAAATAGAATATACATGACAATAACAGCACAGAGGAGGGAGGGTAAGAAATGAAGCTATAATTGTGCAGTTTTTATTTTTCACCAAAAAAAGTAAATCGGTATGAATTTAAAGTAGATTATGATAAATTGAAGATGCATATTGTAATCCCTGCAGCAACTACTAAGGAAAAAAGATTTAAAGAAACAGAGTTAAAAAAATAAACAGAAGAATTTAAATGGTGTACTAAAAATATTTTAATATAAAAGTAGTTGGCCAAGCATGGTGGCTTACGCATGTAATCCCAGCACTTTGGGAGGCTAATGTAGGAGGATTGCTTGAGCCAGGAGTGCAAGACCAGCCTGGGCAACACGGCAAAACCCTGTCTCTACAAAAAATACAAAAATTAATCGGGAGTAGCTGCGGTCCTAGCTACTCAGGTGTCTGAGATGGAAAGATCATTCGAGCCTGGGAGGTAGAGGTTGCAGTGAGCCATGATTGTGCCACTGCACTCCAGCCTGAGTGACAGAGTGAGACCCTGTCTCAAAGATAAATTAAAAATAAAATAATAAAACTAGTCAAAGAATAATAGAGGAACAAAAAAGACATGACAAGTAGAAAAAATAACAAAATTCTAAATCTAAATCCAAACATAAAAAATTTTATTAAATTTAAAAGAATTAAACACTCCAATCAAAATGCAAAGACTGTTAGACTGAAAAGAAAGCAAGACCCAATTCTATGCTGGCTACAAAAAATAAACTTTAAATTCAAAGACAAACAGATTAAAAGTAAAAGGATCCAAAAAAACTACATACCATGTGAACAATAAATACATTACAACTGGGGTGCCTATATTAATATCAGGCAAAATAGAATTTAAGATAACACATATTACTGGGAAAAAAGGGTGACTTCATAATAAGAAAAGAGCAAGCAATAGCCAGAGCTGTCAAAATTATGTTCATGTACCTTTTTAAAAAGTCCTAAAACACGTGAGGCAAAATCTGACTGAACTAAAAAGTTCAATACACAATATACCAATGATAGTTGAAGATTTTGATAATTTTCTTCCAGTAATTGATAGAACAAGTGGAGAGAAAGTCAGAAAGGATAAAAAAGATCTGAACAACATTATCAAACAACTTGATTAAACTGACATATATTAGCAATCCACCCAGAATATCCATTATTTTCAAGCTTACATAAAACATCACCAGGATAGACCCTATGTAAGCCATAGGGTCTTAAAGAAAGTCTCAATGACTATAAAAGGAGTAAAATTAAACAAAGTATCTTCTCCAACCATAATGGAATTAAATTAGAAATCAATAACAGAAATAATTTTGTTAAATTTATTTGGTGTAAATTTGTTTGGTGTAAATTAAATGACACACTTCTAAATAACCCCAAAGAAGAAATTAAATGAAAAATTAAGAAACACATTGACCTGAGTCAAAATGAAAGTATAGCACATAAAATTTTATGGCAGCAGCTAAAAAATTAGAGGGAAATTTATAGCTATAAATATTAATACTAGAAAAAATACAAGGTTGGTCTACAATCACTGAAAAAGAAGAACAAGTGAAACACAATGTAAGTAAAAGGAAATTAATGAATTAGAGCAGAAATCAATGAAATAGAAGACAAATAAAAAAAGAGATAATCAGTGAAACCAAATATGGGCTTGATAAAACTAGCTATCAACAAAGAAAAGAGAAGATTCTATTTTCATCACAGAATCTCCAGAAATTTCAGGAATTAGAAGTGAGGGTAAGTTTTCACTTCTCTCTCTCGTCTTCTGGAACTTACAGAATGTGTATTTGTTTCACTTGATGCTATACCATAAATCTCATAGGATTTCTTTATTTTTTTAAATTCTTTTTCATGCCTCTGACTGTAATTTCAAATTACTTGTCTTCGAGTTAACTGATTCTTCTGTGCAAGTCTGCTGTTGAAGCTCTCTACTGCATTTTTCATTTCATTGATGGTATCCTGCAACTCCAGAATTTCTGCTTGGTTCTTTTTTTTTTTTTTTTTTTAATTATTTCTATCTCCTGAACATCTCCTTTTGTTCATGTACTCTTTTCCTGAGTTCAGGAACTCTGTTTTCTTGTAACTCACTGAGCTTCTTTAAAATGATATTTTGAATTCTTTGTCAGGAAATTCATAGATCTCAATTTTGAGGGGGTTATTCACTAGATATTTATTGTGTTAATTTGTTGCTGTCATGTTTCCTTGATTTTTTGGTGCACCTTTTACCCTTGCCTTGTGCCTTCACATAAAGGAGTAGCCACCTCTTCCAGACTTTACAAACCAGCTTTGGTAGGAAAAGGCCTTTACCTATGGGTGGGCACAAGGGCACTGGCTGGAAAGGGCGTGAGCAGTGCTGGGTTTGGCACAAGGTCCAGGGATGCTGATTCTAAGGCATGCAGAGGTGCCATTTCTGGGTGCACATGGTGATGCTAGGTCTGGCCAGTGGGCACATGGCCACCATTAGTGATGGGTCTGATTGGTGGGTACATATACAATGCGATGGGGTGCAAGAATGCACATGGTGGTGACTCCAGCCCTGGGGGAGGCATAGTGGTGACTCAGGTCCCAGGAAAGGAGCAGTGATGGCTCTGGCTCTGGAGGGCACAGTGCTATGGACTTTGGGCAGCTCTGTCAGCTAGGATGAGCATTGGCGAAGACTCTGTGGTATTCAGTGGCAAAGGCTGCAGGTGCCTGTTGCAGCAAGCAACAGCAGTAAGGGCTGTTAGTGTCCTCAGTTGTAAAGGTTTCCAGGGTCCTGCTATCCTTTTTTCCTATTGGAGGAAGTTGTGACCAAGGGTGTACCTCTTGGCATCCGAGCTGTGCCAGCTTGGGATTGGGGTGATGCAAATGAAATGCTTCCAGCAGTTTTCTCCGTGGCTGTCCTCTGTTATTGCAATCCACTGGGGTGTTGCAGCTTTCTAATTATACTTTGGAGTTCTCTCAGAGCCATTTTCATACATGGGTAGTTGTTAAATCATAGTTGTTATGGGTGAACAGGGGTGGGACTGCCTAGTCTGCCTTTTTGCTGATACCACTTCATCTCTATTTCATTTTCCAAAGTTGGTTTTGACCAACTAAGTTGATTTTCACTACCACTCAGCCATCAAGCCTCACAGGGCAAAAAAACAAAAATAAACCCCCCAAAACCACTGGTGTGGAGTGTTCAGAAGGAACTTTTTTCAGCCTTGGAAGCAACTGAGTCCAACAGGATGAGCACTTTACCATCACGCATCTCAAAGTTGAAATTTTAGTTTCATAAACTTACCAGCTGTGAGATTCCAGCTGTGTCAATTCACCACTGAGCCTCAGTTTTCTCAAAAACTGAGATTACAAGAGTTCCTAGAGTTCTTCTGAGAGCAGGCTGTAAAGTGGCTGGCCCTCAAAAGGCAGTCAGAAAATGTTCATTGCCTTTTCTTTTAAATTAAAGGCAAGATGCATGAATAGTGTGGGTCTTTACATGTGTGTCGTCATGTGTCTCTGAAAAAGCTTAATGGTTAACACCTTGGATTCTAGAGCAAGACTCCCTGGACTCGAACGCTGCCACAGACATTCAACAGCTCCAAGAATTGGAAAAGTTGCCCAACCTAGCCGTGGTTAGTTTCCTAGCCTTAAAATGGGGATAGTAGTAATACCTATCTCTTTGTGAGGATTCTACAAGCTGAAGTATACAAAGCATTTAGAATTGTTTCTGACATACAAGACATTTACCGTCGTCACTGTAGCCATGGTGACTGAACACATGAAATGAATGACAGTCAGGAGGGAAACAAGGCTCCTTTATTCTGAACTGAGGTAAAGGAGGGACTCAGAGGGACTCAGTGATTTCCCTTCCCTTCCCTTCCCTTGTCTTCCTCCCTCTCCCTCTGTCTTTCTTTCTCCCTTCCTTCCCTCCCTCCCTCTCCCTCCCTCCTTCCCTCCCTCCCTCCCTCCCTCCCTTCCTTCCTTCCTTCTTTCCTTCCTTCCTTCCTTCCTTCTTTCTTTCTTTCGTTCTCACTCTGTTGCCCAGCCTGGAGTGCAGTGGTATGATCATAGCTCATCACGGCCTCGACCTCCCAGGCTCAAGTGACCCTGTCACCTTACCCTCACAAGTAGCTGGGGCTACAGTTGCATGTCACTTTGCCTGGCTTCTTTTTAAAAACTTTTCATAGAGACAGGGTCTCGTCATGTTGCCCAGGCTGGAAACTCAGTTATTTCTAAAGTCCTCCTAAAGTCTGTATTCTGCACATCTCGAAATTCTGTGGATAGAGTTTGTTATGAAGGGCATTGTGTTTCCCTAAAATTCATATGTTGGAGCTCTGACCCTAGCACCTCAGAATGACTATACTTCGGGATAGAGCCCTAAAGGGGTGATTACATTAAAATGAGTTATTTCAGGAGGGCCTGTGTCCAACCTGACTGGTGTCCTTATAAGATGAGGAAGCATATAGAGACACCAGGGATGTGTATGAACAGAGGAGAGACAGTGTGAGAACACGGGGGGAAAGACAGCTGTCTGCAAGTCAAGGAGAGAGGACTCAGAAGAAACCAAACCAGCAGGCACTTTGATCTTGGACTTCCAGCCTCCAGAACTGTAAGACAATAACCTTCTATTGTTTAAGCCACCCAGTCTTGTGGCATTTTGTTATGGCAGCCTGAGCAGACTGGTATAGAGTTCCATGGACAGCCATAGGCTGAGTACTTTAAGCCGACTGCCTACTCTCTGAGACAGTAGACAAAATAGTTTGGGGGCAATCTGTAGAAGACTGTGGATGCTGTTGTTTTTAGTTTTGCCTCAGTGTTTTGTTTGGTTGGTGTTTTTGTCCACCTTTCAAAATTCCCCGTCCCCCTTCCTCCGGTAAGAACAGTGCTCCCTGGTCACAGGGGACAGTAATGACCTGGCGCCTGCTAATTATAATGCCCCACTTCTCTGATGACAGGCATTGCTCCATGGAGTGGTTTTGTGGCCCCAGCATGGCCCCCTACAGCTGTGTGGGGGATTCCCATGCAGAGAATACTCATAACAGCCAACACTGATTGCACTCTTACTATGACCACCTGCTGTTTTAATTTCTTTTCAGGTATTATCTCCTCTAGTTCTCAGACAACTCAGTGAGATACTGCAGTTTCTTTTACTGTTCTCTGAGACGTTAAGTGACTTGTCCAAAATCACAAGGTTAGTAAAAGGCTGAGCCAGGGCGGCAAGCCAGAGAGCCCCACCTCACGGCCCAAGCCCTCCGTGGAGGTCAGTAAGCTCTGGCTGCTGGTGGGTGTTTTCCCGACGACACGGAGACGTCCTGTGTGTAGTCATGGACAGACGCTCAGTGGTTCAGGGTGACAGCACTGGCAGAACAAGGCAGCAGATCCATCCTATTTGATCGCACCCTCCACAGAGTGATGCTGATGTCCTTTACTCTGCTTTCTAGTGGAAGCCACGGGCCTCATTTGGCAGCACTGAGATGGGGCTGGGCTATGAGGACCCATCAAAGTCCCTGAAGATGAGCCTGTGTCCTCCCAGGGCCTTGGACAGGTCGTAGCTCACCTACTCAACTGCAGAGATCCCAGGCCCTGTCCTGAGATAAAGATCCTGATAGGATTCAGTTCTGTGTCACCACCCAAATCTCACGTCTAATTGTCATCCCCAGTGTTGGAGGTGGGGCCTGGTGGGAGGTGATTGGATCCTGGGGGTGGATATCCCCTCATGATAGTAAGTGGGTTATCCTGAGATCTAGCTTAAAAGCACGTAGCACCTTCCCCGCTGTCTCTTCCTCCTGCTCCCCCCGCCATGTAAGACGTGCCTACTTCCCCTTTTGCCCTCCGCCATGATTGTAAGTTTTCTGAGGCTTCCCCAGCCAGGCTTCCTGTACAAACTGTGGAATCTTGTGCCAGTTAAACCTCTTTTCTTTATAAGTTACCTGGTCTCAGGTATTTCTTTATAGCAGCGCAAGAAAGGACTAATACAGATGCCAACTCAGCCAACAATCTGGAGTGCTTCCCTACTGACCTCCTGCCCTGTCAATTTGCAGTTAGAGACAGCAATCATCACCAGACAGAGTGACTGTGTGTGTGAACAATGAACTGATCTAATATTGAGCAAGGCGCAGGTGCTCACTAGGGTTCCTGATTATTTGGACCCCATTGTCACTTGGGGACAATGGAGTTCGTCTCTGTGTATCTGCGGCTTGCTAAGATGCTTCTTTATACCAGAGCTCACCAACCATGGCTGTATCACCAGAACCCAAACTTCTCATTTTCGAGCCCTGATATAAGTGTAAGAGCTGCCATGTGGAATCTCAGGGGCACCCATCCCAGGAGCTGGCACCCTCTGTTGTCTTCCAAAGCTCCCTCAGGGAAAGGAGCCCTCCCTGCTGGAGGTGCTGCCACACTGAGCTATTTGGAGGCCTCCAGAGGTTTCTGAACTACTCAAAGCTAGGCCCCACTCTAAAAATATCCCGGGAACTTTGTCAATAGTGCCTGTGGATTGGTACATTGTTCTCTTGCTCCTACATAACAGCACCCCCTCAAAGAAAAAAAAGAAAGACAGAAATGCCCTATCAGAAAATAAGATGCCCAGTGTGGCTGAGCCCTTGGAGAAAGTCCACTGGCTGCTTTCCTATTTGTCAGCTAACTGAAGCCGGCCTCTGGGCCCAGGACTTATGTGTGGATTTTGTGCAGAGAGCTGGCAATGGCCCCAGAGCCACCTGCAGGGGAAGTTAAGGGCCAGCACAGGCTCAGGCTCGAGGCGCTAGGGGCAGAGAGGAGTGTGAGTGTATTTGAAAGGGAATAGAGCAGGGAGGAGACAGTAAAGAGTTCTAGAGCCCTGCAGCCATGCCTCCGGTAGCCCCTCACCACCTGTGAGTACCTGTGTTGGCTATAGCTCTGCACCACGCTCTCCAGTCATGTGCCTGCCTGTCTGCATCACATCTTCACTTGGTGTCACTTGGTGCCACTTGGGTGTCAACTTAGGGCTTCAGACCTAATATGTCCAAGACCAAGCTCTCGATTTTTCCTCTTAGACCTACTTCTTCCCCAGCTCAATGACTCAGCAGCATCATTGACTATGTTGCTCAACCCTGAAACCCTGGTGGTCATCATCCTGGTGACTATATTCTCCCAGTCTGCAAATCCTAAGGGCTCTACCTCCACGGTTATCTGCAGTCAACCCACTTTTCCCCATCTCCATTGCTATCAGCTGGGACGAGGCATCAGTTACCTGGACAATTGCCTTCTCTGATCACCTTTAACTCCCCTGCCCCCAGTACTCTCCCGTGAGCCACCCTATTTTGTTTTCTTAATGGTATTTATCAATACCTAAAGGTGCCTGTTGCATTGGTGGATTTGATTGCTACTGCCTTGCCGTTCTTTTCCGCCACTCTACCCCCAGCAACCTCGAACACTCCTTAGCTCATTAAAGGTGCTTGGTCGTAATTACTCAGTGATTAAAGGGACCCTCACACACAGGCCTTATTCTCCCCATTTTACAGGGTCAAGAGAAGGAAAGAGATTTGCTCAGGGTTGCAGTCCAGTGAGGAGTGACACCCAGACTGGATCCTAGGTCTCCCAACCCGCAGTCCAGTCCTCTTTTCTCTCCAACACTTGGCCTTTTAGGAAACATTTCCCAGACTTCCATGCCACAATCCCACTAACTGGTTTGAGTTGAAAGCAGATGTTCTAGGAACTTCAACCCCTGAAGGCTGAGCTGCCACATATCAAACTTTCTCAGTAATTTCAATAATTTAAATGGCAATGTTTATAGCTCAGAAACTCCAGGCCATCCCAAGACCCCTCAGGGGGCCACCCCGCCCTGGTAGGGCCCACCCCTGGTGAGTCATGGCTGAGTCAAGGGAAGCTCTTTCAGGCCTGAATGCCTAGGAGAGTCCTGGCCTCGCCCAGGGCAGCACCAGAAGCCGAGACTGAGCCAGCATCACTCGATGGACACAAACCAAACTCCAGGAGCAGGAGGGTGTGGCTGGAGCTGGGGTGGGCTGGGGAGGTGTGGTGGCTGCGGACGTTGGCATGGGTGGGGGGGGTTCTCTCTGGGGAGGTGAGAGAGGTTCTGGATGGGACAGGGAAGCCTGGAGGCCCCCAGAAGATCTTGGAATCTCCTAACTCACTGGGGTGAGGCCCCAAATAGCCCCCACACTACCTGAAATGCTTCACTTTAACTTTTCATTCACAGAGTGCCTTACTACCTTGTTCTAAAAAAAACACTGCACAACTATAATACACCAAATAAAACATTTTTAAAGAAGCTGGTGAGGGGAGGGGTGGAATGAGTCAAAGGGGAAGATAAGAGCAGAGGAGTATGATGGAGCTGGGAGTGGGGACTGTAGGCACGAAGCCTGCCATGAGTGCCTCTCCACGTGATGGGGCGGTGGGTAAGCAGTGTACTGTTTACTCTTATAGCCTCCAGTGGTATGCTGAGTTGATCACGACCCTCATACTTTCAGCCTTCAACACCCCAACACTCCTTATCTAGGAGCCAGGGTGAAGAGCACAGCCCCACCGTTCATGGATCCATGTCCAAAAGGGAAAAAACAGCCAGCTGTTCAAAGAAGCCCAGTTCTCCTGAGGTTGAGATCACACAAAATTCACCCAAAATTCCGGAATGTCTGGTGAGTCCCCTTGGGGGGGATGCTGTGTAATGTAGGACATGACCCCCCCCGTGTGGCAGACTGTCACAATTACTACTTGAGACCATCATTATAACAGTTACTGCTGTTAGTAATTGAGACCGTCATTACGAGACTGAACGAAGGAGGACAAACACAGAAATGAAAACTTAAAACAAAAAAAAACTCTTTTAAAGAAAAGGGCCAGGGGAAGAAGAAAAGAGCTCCCTACTTCTAGTGAGCAAAGCAGTAGCCCTGAGCTTCTACAGCCCTTCGTATTATTGGGGAGTGAGAGCAGGGAGGAGGAGGTAACGATTGGTCAGCTGCTTGATTGATCACAGGTTCACGTTATTGCTAACAGGCTTCAGATTTGCCTAATCACAAGAAACACTTGTGCCTGGGTTGTGACTGCCCTCAGCATTCCTTCTGAGCTGCAGACGCAGTTTGTCAGTTTGCCCAACATCCTGCTCTCATGAGAATAGTTTGCTGTTTACTCATATAGCGTCCAGTGGTATACTGAGTTGATCACGAACCTCACACTTCCGGCCTTCAACACTCCAACACTCCTTACAGAAGCCCAGAACGAGGCTCATGGGCTGTTTCCTGTCCCACACTACATGCCAAGGGGCGGGAAGGCCCAGGGAAAGCAGAGTGGGCAGGAGAATCCATGGACCCCATTTGAAGACCCTTTGGGCCTTGGGTCCTTTTTAAAACAGGCCTTGGACAAATCATTTTAACTCTGGAGGCTCAATTTCCTCATCAATCAAAAGAAAATGATACATTTACAGAATGACTACAAGGGTCCCAGCTACTCAGGAGGCTGAGGCAGGAGAATGGCGTGAACCCGGGAGGCGAGGCTTGCAGCGAGCCGAGATCGCACCACTGCACTCCAGCCTGGGCAACAGAGCAAGACTCCATCTTAAAAAAAAAAAAAAAGAATGACTACAAGGAAGAGCAAAATTACAAATATCAATGCATTATAAAGCCATAATAATTAAAATAGTGTGGTATCAATTAACTCAGGAATATACAGCTAGATCAATAGAATTGAATAGAATGACCCATGCATATATTGAAATAAAGCGTATTAAAATGTTGGCATTTTCAACCATCAGAGAAAGGATAAATGATGCAATAAACAGCTCACTACATGACGATGGAGTACTTGGGTATCCATACAAAAAAAAAAAAATTACATGCTCACCTAAGTGGTAACAAGAGAAATGAAAAGTAACAGTAAGATATTGTTCTCCCATATCACACACAAAAATGTCAGTCACTATCAGGAGTTGGCTTGGTTCATAGGTAAACAGGTCCCTAGTGGTTGGCATATACATGGTTACATCGATATATAGAGTGAATTCTGTCAGTCTCTAGTAAAACAGAACATGTGCTGGACCATTCACCTAGGATGTCACCTCTGGGAGCCTGTGCTCGAGAAGAATGGGTGAACAGGATGCTGTCTCAGTGCAGTGACTGAGAACAGCTGAAATGCCCAACAGGAAGGGAGTGGGTTGTTGAAGTGGCTTAAATCTGTGTGTATCAATAGCAAATGCCAAGCTGGGTGCAGGGGCTCAGGCCTGTAATCCCAGCACTTTGGGAGGCTGAGGCAGGCAGATCACATGAGGTCAGGAGTTCAAGATCAGCCCGGCCAACATAGTGAAACCCCGTCTCTACTAAAAATAAAAAAATTAGCTGTGTGTGGTGGTGTGTGCCTGTAATCCCAGCTACTCAGGAGGTTGAGGCAGGAGAATCACTTCAACCCAGGAGGTGGAGGTTGCAGTGAGCCAAGATCGCCCCACTACACTCTAGCCTGGGTGACAGAGCAAGACTCTGTCTCATAAAAATCAAACAAAAAAAAAATCAAAATACCAATTGCAAGAAACAAAAAAAAGCAAATTGCAGAGCAATGCATATAACTATAATGTTAAAACCATTAAAAAATACAAATAAACAAAATAAAACTGTATGTGCTTTATATACACCTGCACGTAGAAGTCATAACAACGGGTTAGGGAAATATACCCTTAACTCATAGTAGAGATTATTATGGGGAGGAGGAGCCAGAAGCAGCTTTGAGGGGTGGGGGTTGGTTAAAAAGGGCTTAGCCTTACCTATAATGTTAGAATTTTCTAGAAGAAGAATCAATTTACTTACATCTAGCATACTTTTAAAAATAATATGGGCTATGAAAAACATAGAGGAAATTATGCTGAAATGTCAATAGCAGTTCGTTATGGTTCATGGGAATATAGATGACTGCTATTTTCTTCTGGGGAGAAATTTTTATTTTTCCTTTTTTTCAAATTTCCGACATCCAAAAAGAAATGGGACAGAAACAAAAACTAAAGGATCTATTTTTTAAAAAAAATCTAAACATATGATTGAAAAACGATAAAGAAATACGTGTGCTGAGTGCCGGGTGTGACTGGTGCATGCCAGCCACGGCTGCTGCTTCATATGGCGGACTCTGGAGAAAACAGAGGACTTAACTGTGTCCTGGGACCTGAAATTCCCCAGTTAGATGGCTCGGGGTAAAGGATCACTCTCTTTTAAAAAGCAAACATTCTAGAAGGATCTATCTAGGAAGCCAGTGCTTGGCCTCCCCTAACTGGGCTTCTTCCCTTTGTGGTAGCCAGAGTGGGTCTCCCTGAGGTAAGGAAGCCTCATAAGATGTCCAAGTGCAAGGAGTAGTAGGATTAGGTGGAAGAGAGAAGGATAAAGAATTCCCAAGCTGGAGACAGCCCTGTGGGATGGAGTGCAGGCTCCATGGGGTGGGGGCATGGGGTGCGGAGCACAGGCTCCCAGAGACCCCCCAACAAGGGCTAATTGAACAAGGCTATGGGAATTCGGGTGGGAGCTGAAAAGGGAACGGGAGGGGGCTTTGAGTGCTTCCGCCAGAAAGAAGGGGATGGGAGAGGATGGACGCCTCCTTCAGAGAAGGGGCTGAGAGGAAGGAGGGGGTGGGTGGGCCTTGTTCCGAGCCCTTCCTGCCTAAGGCCTGCCCTTCTCCTCAGCCGTGGCCTTCAGCCACTTGCTCCTCCCTGGCAGGAAAAGCAGACCCTCAGCTCCCAGACCCTTAACTCCCCTCAGCTTTCCTCAGCTCCCAGAGGAGCTGCCTTTCCTCACCTGACTGCCTTGGGGACCGGCTCTGTGGTGGGCAAACAGGCCGGGCTGGGCAGGCCCAGGCCCAGGATAAGTCCAGGGAACGGAGGCCTCTTTGTCTTTGCGGATCCAGGCCGATGTCGCCCTTGGCCTCGGTTCCTCTCCTCAGGGCCTCCCCAGGGGTGGGTGGCCCCAGCTTTGCTCAGACACACTCTCCCTTCCCACCACCCCAATTTCTTTGTCACAGACTCAGGCCCTGCCTCCTCCCTGGCACCCCCACTCCAGCCCAAAACACCATCTCCCAAACAAGGCACACAGGAGAGCGTTTTAGGTCTACATAGGGCTCTAAGCCAGAGGCTGCCTAAGTTCCCACCCTGTCGCTCAGGCCAAGGCAGTGATCCCCCCAGGAATGGTTTTAAGGCCCTGGGGCCCCGTGTTCCCTTCCTTGGCTCTATCCTCCCCCACCCCGGCTCACATGAATCTCCAGAAACCCAGGTGCAAACACCTGGGCTCCCAGAGGCTTTGGAGGGAGGTGGGGCAAGTCATAGAATTTTCCCAAGTTGTCCTATGTCTGAGCAGAAAACACTTGCACAGGCCTGGCTCCTGGCTCAGGGCGGAAGGCTGTGGGAGGATAAACGCCGCCATCAAGCCTGGGCAGGGACTCATATTTGCTACCAGCACTGGGTGCTAGGGAGGTTGGTGAGTCCACGCCCAGCTTCCCCTGTGGCCTGGGGGCACCTCGTGAAGGGATCTGAGCCTCTCTGTCTATAGAAAGGATGCGTCAAAGTTTGTCAAAGTTTGCCTTTTGCCGATTTCCCGAGAAAGAAGATGGAATCTTCTACAACTCCATTTTAGCTCCTTAGAAAAGAGGCAAGATCACACAATCCCATTAAAAACAGTGGGGAGATCCATGCCTGTCCTTCTGTCATTGACTGGGGATGGGGGAAAGCCGGGGGGCGGGGGTGGGCACTGGTGGCCACATCACATCAGCAGTGAACTAAGGGTGCTGCTTCCTCTGGCCTCTCCTTCCTCTCCTCCTGCTTCATTCCTAAGGTTGGAGAGGACAAACGGCTTGGCTCACACACCACCCAGCCCGGCACCAACTACCCATCTGGAACATTCCTGGCTTCCCTGGGTTGGCTCATCTCCCACCCATTCCTTCTTCAACAGAGGAAACTAAGCAGAAGGGTTATTGAGAATGCACGCTCATTCATTCATCCATTTGTTCACTTGTAGAAACATCATTGATTACGTACCCACTGCATTCCAGCCCTGCACTAGGCACTGGGAACATTCCTTACTCAAAGATGAATAAGAAACCACCCCTGAGCTCATAGGACTCGTAGTCTACTGGGAGGATAACCAAGAGGTCTGCGTCCACAGGGGTGAGTGTGGGAGTGGCAGGTGTCCCAGGTGATAGGGAAACACAGGTGAAGGGCAGCAATTTGAGTTGGGGGAGGGGACATAGAGCAGGGGAAAGGAGCTAGAATCAATACATTTAGGGAAAGATTAGAGAATCTGTGTGTTCTAGGACCTGCAAATAGGCACATCTGACCTGATTGAGTCAGATCATATAATTGGTACTGGATATGTTTGTATGGGTGTGCTTGTGTGGGGTGGGTTTTTAAAACGTAATGGCTCTTCTGATGGCAAGAAGACTTTTGCAGGAGGTTCAGAAGGAGTATGATGTGTAAAAGGTTGGATCTCAACTGTATTTTAATCTTGGCTTCTGCTTGATTTCTTTTGGGCCTCATCTGATTTCTTTTAGACTCTGAGATCCTAGAAGCCTGAGTGACTTGCGCAGCTGAACATCAGGGTGAGAAGGCCCAGCTGGGGGTGGGGTGAGGTTGAGAGGCTTTTATGCAGACACTCTAAAGTATTTGCAATTGCCAACAGATCGTTTTTCCTCTTGGAAAACTTCTAAGAAAATCCAAGTCCTTCAACTCTGTGAGCATGCACAAGGGTGCAGAGAGGCCCATAGGGAAACCGAGTAGGAAAACTGAGGCCAGGCTGGAGGGGCACAGGGAGGGGGTCCCAGAGGAAAAGCCGAGGAACCTGTCCTAAGGTGGGGGCACCACGGTGGGCCTTGGCTGCAGAACTGTTAGCCCCAGGCTGGTCTGGCCCTTCCTGCAACCACTGGACTGCCCAGTCTGCTGGATCAAGGCCTTTATGAGACAGTAAGAGGGGAAGAGTCCTGCTCATTTGTTTATTCTGACAGTGTCCAGGGGACTCCCATGGGCTCCTCACTCCAGGACACTTGGCTGCTGGGCAGAGTGCAACCCACTCTGAACCTTTCTCTCTTCCCTTCCTTTTGCCTCCCTTCTCCCTCTCCCCTCCCCTCTCCTTCATGTCGCCTTCGCTGTTGATGTTATTGTGATTCTTCTTCTTCCTCCCCCTCCCCCTCTGCCTCCTCATCTTCCTCCTTACCCCCTCCTTTTCCTCTCCCTTTCTCCTTCCTACTCCCTGTCTCCTCCCCGTAAGCCTATGGCGTCATCCCACAGAGCCATTTGTCTAGGAGGGCTGATTGTGAAACATTTTGATCAGACCATGAAACATCAGTGGGTTCTTGCAGAAGTGATTTCTCTGTGTGTTCATCAGTCTGTCCTCTGCACTGTGGCTTCTCGCATCTTCCAGGACCCTAGGTAAGCCCATCTCTGGGTGCCTGTATTGATTTTTCTCTTCTTTTCTGCCTCTAGTTCTGTCTGTGAAGCAGAAACCAAGTCTCAATCCTAAGATGTGAACCATAGCCTGGCAGCTGACCAGGTTGGAGTGGCTTGCTGCTTTCCTGGGCCAGGAAGTGCTCTGGAGTCTGTGCCCAAAAACTGTGGCTGAACCACGGGGCATGTTTGTCTGTTCCATGCGCCGTCCTGTTTTGCTGGTGTCAGGTTCCAAACAGGGCTACCTCATGCTCTGGGAAGACAAACAAGGCAGCTAAGATATCCAGGAATGCTGCCAGTTTGCTTGTTGAATATTTGTTCATGCTGTGCCTGGTACCAGAATGAGTGAAAGCCACACCCCTTTCCAGGTGGTGCGCAAACCAAGAGCAGTTGGCGCGCAGACGTGATAAAACAGTGTTGGCCGGGCACGGTGGCTCGTGCCTGTAATCCCAGCACTTTGGGAGGCCAAGGCAGGCGGATCACCTGAGGTCAGGGGTTCAAGATCAGCCTGGCCAACATGGTGAAACCCCATCTCTACTAAAAATACAAAAAATTAGCCGGGCATGGTGGCGCATGCCTGTAATCCCAGCTACTCAGGATGCTGAGGCAGGAAAATCGCTTGAACCCAGGAGGCAAAGATTGGCAGTGAGCTGGTATTGCGCCACTGCACTCCAGCCTGGGTGACAGAGTGAGACTCTGTCTCAAAAAAAAAGAAGAAAGAAAGAAAAGAAAAAGAAAAAGAAACAAACAAAAAAACCACCATTCCCTGTGTGCTACTCCCTGTCTAAGACTGTCAGGCATTTTCTAGGCGTTAATTCTAATCCTCACAGTGAACTTCATGGTAGCTCTTGGTACTGCCAATGTGTAGAGGAGGAAACTGAAGCTCAAGAGACTAAGGGATTTGCCCAAAGCAGCCTGACAGCAAGGGGCAGACCCAGAGATAGAACCGCACCCTGCACTGCGTACACTTCCTCCCCACCTCCCTGGCCAGGATGGGGATGGGAAAGAAGGTGTGCGTTCTTTTTGTTTGAACATCTACGTGGCAGTGGGTTAGAGTTGATTTTAGGAGAGAAGTTACGTATAAGGGAGGCTTTGTCCTCAGTATCTCTTCGGGGTACAGTTGTTGAAAAGAGGTTGAATATTAAGAGCCCAAGTCCCGTTTCCCCAAAAATCCCCCCCAGCACTGGTGAATGACAGGCAGTCCTTCTCTTTTAGCACCTTGTTTCACTCCTGCCTCCAAAGCCTGCCTCATGTCTCGGCCTTCCTGATGACAGAATGATCATCCCTGTATGCAACAAGCTTCCCCCCACACCAGTGTTCATCAGTCTGTCCTCTGCACCTTGGTTTCTCAAGGTATCATCAGGGATTGGCCGATGGAGATGAAATGAGCCCCTGTGTCCTCGCTCCTGCATCACTGACGTTGCCGTGGGCTATTGAGTTGGAGAAGACATTGGGCTTCCCTGTCCTGGCTTCCATAAGGGGCAGAGCTCTACTGCAGGTCCTGGTCTTGCCTGCAGGTCAAGGGCCACCTCACCCTGAGTTCAAGCAGGCTCTTCCCCAGGATGGGGGTGCCGCCTTGTTCCTGAACATCCTGGGCTGGCTCTCATCCCAGCCTCAAAACCAGCCTGTTTCTTTTATCTTGCTGGCCTTGATTTATAGTAACTGCCAGACACCACTAATTGACAGTTCCTGGTCCGGCCTCCTGCCTCTGCCCAGCAGGATAGAGTCTATTCAGCAATTGCAGAGTGTCATGGAATCAGGGGTCAGAGGATGGCAGAGCTGGAACCACTCGTTCTAGTGAAAAGAAAGCCATCCAACCAAAGGAAGTGATTTGACAAAGTTCCAGTTAGTAAAAGAGCCCACCCTGGAACCTGGATCTCCTGGCTCCTACTCAGGGCTCTTTCCATTACTCAAAGTAGCCAGGCTCACTGGGTGAGAGGACTGCTTAGAATCACGTCTAGAAGGCTCTCCCCTGCCCATCAGGGTTTCCGGTCTTCTGTTGTTAGTGGTGACATTTCTGGTGCCCTTCAAATGCTGTGCATGCAAGAATCGCTAGAACCCAGGAGACGGAGGTTGCAGTGAGCCGAGATCACGCCACTGCACTCCAGCCTGGGCAACAGAGAGAGACCTTGTCTCAAAAAAAAAAAAAAAAAAAACCCAAAAAACAAAAAACAAAACAAAACAAAAACAAATGCTGTGCATGTTCAGGAGGCCTCCTTCCAGCTGTCACCAAGGATGTGCTGGTGCTGGGCATTCCACAGCATATTCTAGAAGATGTTCTTACAAGTGTTCACAAGATAAAACAGCAAACTCCACAAACTCAAAGACATCACAATGGAGAGGGGCAGGATACGGGAGGTGATCGCTCATGTCTGTGTGCGGTGTGCTGCGTAATCTGCTCCTTAAACAAACCAGCAAGAAAGGCTCAAATCAGTCCCAGCCTGACATTTGAGAGGCCCAAAGTGAATGCACAAAGGGAGGCCCACATGCCGTGTCTCTAAATATTTGAAAGTTATAAATCAAGTTAATAAACTGGAAAATAGGTTTCGTTCTTTCCTCCTGCCTTGACAAATATGCCTTTATAACAACTTCAAAAGCAAGGCTCTGATTTGCATCCTTGGACCCTTGAACAAAGAAGGGAGGTGGGAGTGAGGCCTCAGGCCCCACCTGTGGCCCCCCTCTTACTTTTCCCACCCAGAGCTTGGACAGGGGAGCAGCTCAGCCTGAGAGCGCAGCCTTCATCCAAACCCCATAGACCAGGAAGAGGCCACACAGGCCTGAACGTGGCCCATCTGAGCAGGAGATCCCTGGGCCCTAGGTCCCAGGTGGAAAGGAGGGAGTGGATTCTGAGAGGGCAACCCCTGACCCCCGGCCATCTTGCCTGGAGAAAGCGCAGGGCAGGGTTCTCTAAAACCCAGCCCAGGCAGCCCTCTCGCTCACGGATCAAGGCAGTACTATGAACAGTAAAATCATTTCCATCTTATTGATGATGTAACTGTAGCTCAGAAAACTTAAGTGACCGCCCATGGTACATACTAATCACCAGAGGAGCTGGGATGCAACCCGGGTCTGCCTGACTCGTGGTCCCCTGCTGTCACCACCTCTATTGCCGTCCCAATGTCATCATCACCTGGGACATGCGGGGGGCCTCATCACCTTGAGCCAGCAGAAACACAGAAACAACCTCTGTGTGGGCCTCCTGTCTCAACCCCTCACCTGCCCAGCTCTTCTGAGCTAGGAGAGCCGTGATGCGCTCCTTCCTCATCCTCTGCCTTTGCAGTTGCGCCGAGCCCTGCAGCTGTGCCCTTGTGCCCGCCACTCCTCACCTCGGCCGCTGAGCAACCTCCTGCTCTGCACAAAGCCTCCGCACATGCCCTTCCAGATGCAGTTCCCTCTGCTGCCTCAGAGTGGGCACCTCTCCTAGCTGAAGCCCACTCCTCCGCCTCACCTAGGCTCAGGTGGAATCTGTCACCTCCCTACTCCAGCACTAAGGTGGACGCTCTGTGTGGTGACTGCTCTGTTAATTATCTTCCTACCAAAAAGCCACGTGCGCCACACTCCCATGTCTAGCCCCCGGGTGGCACAGAGCCAGCCGCCCCTAAATGGAACTAACAGGTTCCCTAGAAGACAGAAAGCTGGCCCTCATTGTCCTTCTGAACTTCAGCCTGAATCAGCCTCTTCTGAGAGATGAGAGCAGGGAGGAGCCATTGCAGCTGAACATGCCTAAGACAGTCACTTCCCGCTTCTTCTTGAAACTCTGGGCCCACGGATGGACAAGTCCCTTCACAGGAAAACAGCAGAGACCGGTGGACTCTGGCCCTGGGCTGAGAGTCTTCATTGCTGCCTGGAGCAGGGCAGGGATGTCGCCACCCTTAGTGTCCTCTGTCCCACAGAGCCCAACAGAAATTTCATCCTTCCTTCTCTTGTATCCCTAGAATCCAGGAATCGCCTTCAAGTAGCTTATAGACTCAAAAGGGATCAGGAGAGACTGATTTAGAGAGGGCTTTGTGCCCTGAGAGTGACAAGAGAGCAGAGTCTGGTTCCAGCTGTGCATTTGGAGCTCCCCTCGGGGGAAGGCCAGTCCTCACGAGGTCTGCCAGGCCCAAGGGCTCTGCCGCAGCACCTGCCCTGCCCTGTCTCTGATGTCATCTCCCACCCATGCTCTACTCCCTGCCTGCTGCATTCTGGCCTCGAGGCATCCATGCTGGCCCCTGATTGTGGCAGGCACGTTTGTTGGCCCAGGGCCTCTGCACTGACCCTTTCCCTAGAACACCCTTCCCCAAGACACCACAAGACCCCCTCCATCGTCTCCCTCAAATCTTTGCTAGAAAACCACCTTATTAGCGAGGCCAGCCCTGCCTACCTTGCCTGAAAACGTGCACACTCTTCCCCTCCTCTGCCATTACTTCCAATCCAAGTCTACAATTCTGTTTTTCTATCACTCACAATATTGCTTATTTACTTAGCGTATTTGTCGGTCATCGTCTGCCTGCTTTCCTCTGCTAGATTATCAGTTCTCAAGGGCGAGGTCCTTCATCTAACTTGTTCACTAACATTTCCCAAGAGCCTAGAACAATGTCTGGTATTTAGTGGTACTAATACGTATTTATTGAACAGATGAATAAACGAATTGGGAGAAATTCTGAAAGAATATTTTAAGTTTAAATCTTTTATTTATTTATTTATTTATTTATTTATTTATTTATTTATTTTTGAGACAGGGTCTTGCTCTGTTGCCCAGGCTGGAGTGCGGTGGTGCAATCATGGCTGACTGCAACCTTCAACTCCTGGGTTCCAGCAGTCCCACCTCAGCCTCCCAAGTAGCTGGGACTTCAGGTGTGTACCACCATGCCCAGCTGAGTTTTCTTTCTTCTTCTTCATTTTTTTTTTGTAGAAGTGGGGTCTCACCATGTTGCCCAGGCTGGTCTCCAATTCCTGGGCTCAAGCAATCCCCCTGCCTCGGCCTCCCAAATTGCTGGGATTACAGGTGTGAGCTACCATGCCTGGTTGGGCATTTTTCTTGACTCATCTATTTCACAGCTTCCTGTAGGATTATAAGAGGCAATGTCTCATGCATCATGCACCAACGGAAAGAAAACTTCTCTGTAAGGAATCAAAGGGAAGAGAGAACCTCTAGGTGGCCTTGCCTTCTCTGGCCCACCCAGATCCTCCCACCATCACTGGGTTTCAGTGTGCCTGACACAAAAGGAAGTGCCATCAGAAACACCAACACAGTGCCATCTTCCCTTTTGAGTAGTGTTTCTTGATGTTTCTCATTACAAAACGATTCATTGTAGAAAACGAATGCAGGCTTACAGAAGACATTTTAAATCCTCCATTATCCTGCAGCCCAGAGATAACGACAGCTAATATTTGCATACACTCTTCCAATCTTTTTTCCATGCATACATATGAATTAGATATTGGAATGAGAAGTTTCATAATGTACACAGGATTTGGTGTCCCAGTCTTATTTACTTAGCGTTAAATCGTTAGTATTTTTCTATATGATCAAATAGCTTTTGAGAATATTATTTCTATGGCTACATACCATTCTGTGCTAACTCATTTATTTGACCACTCCATATGATTTCACTTTGGAGTTGAGGCTACTCCAACCAAGACTGCTCTTCCTCCTCCCCTTCCTCTTTCCTCTGGCCCACTCTCCTCCTGGTCCCCATCACTGATTACCCTCCTGCCCGCAGACAAATGCCAGGCAGAATGGGAGCCACAGGGCAAGACACCACCCTTGCCTTGGACAGGCTGCCTGTCCATTTGAGGCATGCCACAATTCCCCCATGAGAAAGCATCTGCACTCCCAGAAATAGAAGCCATAGGTCAAACAGGGAGCCAGGAGGTAGAGGTGGGACAAAGCATTTCCAGATGGGGCTGAATGGCCCATCCAAAAAGATCTTGGAGCATTCACCACGTGCCAGGGCCATGGGCACACCAGTGAGCAATGCAGCCAACTAGGGCTCAGCACCGGGGCTGTGGTCAGAAACAGCCAGCACCCAGAAGGATGCTTTATCCCCAAGTCCAGATTGAGGCTCCTGCTTGCAAACATGGTTCATGCCCTTCCGGAGCCTACTGCCTCAGAGGGAGACACATACTAATCAAATAACCTCACAGGTAAACTTGGAATTATAACTGGTCCATGAAGGACATAAGGCAGGGGGCTGCCAGCACCTGTAACCTGGGGTTCCCTTAGGAGGCAGAGCTGCAGCAGCCTGTCGGGAGGAGCAGGTGCACAATGGGACTGGAAGAGGGTCTGTTGTCTGGGGAGCAGGGTCTGTGCAAGACAAGGCCCTAGAGACGGACAGAGGCCAGCCAGGCCCCTGCAGCCAAGCTAGCTGTTAATCCTCAGAGGACTGGGGGCGTTGAAGGCCTTTAAGCAGAAGCAGCTGAGACTGGATTTCCATTCTTAAGAGTTTCCCCTGTTTGTGGAGGAGTAACTGGCTTGGGAGGCGCTGAGAGAGGGTAAAGGGAGATCAGTATGGAGACTGCGTGCACGCTTGGACCCGGGTGGCAGGTCCCAGAACTGGGTAGGGCAAGCTGCTGGTGGCTTGGGTAGGGACAGTGGCAGCGGGCAGGAAGAAGGAAGGAGTGATGTTTAGGAGCTGGAATCAGAAGATCTGGATCAAGGCTGTGACTCTCCAAAAGATGCTTGTTAATACACCCGCTAGCTTAGGACCGTTCCCTCATTAGCATGACTAGGTCTGTACTGGCAAGATGTCTCCTTAGACGACGTCCCTCAGAGGACCTTCCAGTGAAGGTCAGAAAGGAAGGGAGTAGGTCAGGGCTGGATGCGGAGTTGCAGTGAAGGACGCGGGCACCAGAGGGCAGCACGAGTGTCTCGGGCCCCTGCAGGGGCTAAGACCCCACAGAAGGCCCGACCAGCCGCGCACCTGCCTGGAGCCTGCGCCAGTCACTTTGCAGCCCCACCACTCAGCTTCGCGTCTGGCCATGTAGGCGGCGCCTGCGCGCACGCCCAGGGCTATCGTGAGAATGGCAGACTGGAGCCCTTTGAAAGACGCTTCCAGCCCCGGGCATCTAGGAAAGGTGCTTGATGAGGTCTGGGGTAAGAGACCCCCATCCAGTAACCAGCCTTGGGGCCTCCAGTGTCTGGCCTGGGCCCCTCGTCAGAAGCTGGGACTGGTCCTGAAGACCTGCGGTCCGGGCAGCTCGGGCTGCTGTCCTGCCTGTGCCTTAGGGTTTGCAGCTCTGGGCTCTGATGCAGCAGGGACTGGGTCTTAGAATCTAACGACAGCCAGAGGTGGCCGATGCCGCGCCCCTGGCGGGACAGACACCCTGTGGTTAGTGGGGCAAACGCTCGCGTCTTTGCACCTCAGTTTCCTCATCTGGCAGCCAGAGATGCCTACACTTGCCCTGCTGGGTCGTTGGGGGGCGTGGCCCACGGTAGGCGCTCGCGGGCAGTCGTGGCCGCGGGTCCTATGAACTCCTGCCGTTTGGGGGTGGGTGAGGCCCTGGGCGTGGGGTCCCCCTGCGCCCTCCATGCGGACAAACTTCTGACAGTGGCGCAGTCACGTTGCCACAATTGGGGGAAACTGCCTTGGTTTCGGGTTTAATGAGAAAATGGATGTTTGGGTTTGGTTTCATCTGGGGTTTGGCGAAGGCATGTAGTTCCTCTCCACTCGCGGGGGCTGCCCGGGCCGGTGAACCGACAGGGCGCTAGGACCCGGGGCGCGCTCGGACCCGGGGCGAGAACGCGAGGCCGGGATCGCGGTGAAAGGCTCGCGGCGGAGAGCTCGGCCGTCGCCAGGCAACCGCCCTGACGCAACGCAGGGGGAAAAAAAAAGTCCTTTCCGAAAGGAGCAGCGCCGAGAATTCACCGGAGCTCGGGGAGGCGAGGCGGGAGCCCTGAGCTGAGGCCGGGCAGCGCGGACCCGCGCAGGAGGAGGCGGCGGGGACACCGGCGAGTCCCCAGCAGGGCCCCTGGGCTCCCGGAAGGTGGGTTCGCGCCGGCGGCGGGGACTTTCCCAGGGACTGGGAGGTGTGGCCGCGGCGGGCGGCGCAGTCTGGGCAGGGGCTGAGGCGTCGCAGGTCCCCAGCGCGAGCACTGGCCCGGAGCAGCCCGATCCCAAAGCGCCCTGGAGGGGACGCGCTCCTACCGCCCCCCCGGGAGAGGCCGCTCATGCGCTCCCGCGGGTTCGCTGCCCTCCCAGAGGAGCCGGGCAGCCAGGGCTGGACTTCATCTCCTAGCTCCCTGCTGGCCGTGTCCGGGCTCGGATTCTGGGTGGAGGTTCGGGGTCTGCCGTCTGAGAGGGAGGGCCGCACTCAGCCTCTCCGGGTCCACTCCCAGGCGGCTGGTGACCTCCAAGCCCAGCCTGGCTCCTGTGTATAGGTTCAGTGAGATGGAAGTTTCTGTCCCCACGGATGCGGTCCCTAACTAATGGGAGGTGGCCCAGGGCACCTGGACCCAAGGGTGCTCTAAGGACCCAAGCCAGTGTGACCTGAGGGAACGGCACAGCCGCAGGGGCCCCCGGGAATGAGCAGGTCAGCCGTGAAGGTGGGCACCCTGAGTCACCGAGACACCGGAGCACAGACGGCGGGGGGGAGGGTGTCTTCTTCAGCCAAGTTAGGTTGGATGTATAGGTTTTCTGCACACCCGTTACTGCCTGGTTTTTATTCCCGGCGGGGCTTGGAGGGAATTCTGAGGACTGGGACCTCCTGGGAAGATCTGGAAGGAGGGTTGACTCTAGGTTGGGGGCTGGCCACTGCCGTATGCCTGCAAGCAGGTTCTCCCAAGTCAAGTTTCCACAAACTCCCCGTCATTGCTGGAGAATCCCAGAAGATGAGATCACGTCCTATCCACAGGGTTTTCACCAAGGGGCACATGCTCCAAAGCAGCTTCCCACTGACACAGTAGACACAGTCCTGCCCCTCACTAAGCTCGGGATGGAGCGTGGAGAGCGTGGACAAAGTCTTGGGAAAGCAGAGGTGCTGTGGCGCCTGTTGCCTGAGGGCGTTGGCAGGATAGGAACTTCTGCAGCGTGTTTTTAAGGAGCTTGGAAAGCAGCCATGGGCTGTGCTTGGAATGGATAAAGATGACAGCTCTTCTTTCTTGAGTGCATTTATGGACCATGCACTACTTAGAAACCCTTCGCATCCCTTGGTCACTCCATCCTCCCCATCAGTCTTCAAGGAGACTCTATTATCCGTTTTGCCAATGGGACTCTAAGAAATTGAGTGACCTGGTGTGGCTCCCACACCTGGTGAGAGAGCAGAGAGTCAGCCTCACGTGCCTGACTCCCGGGACAGTGCTCTCAGACGAAGGCTGCTTTGGGAAATCTGAGGCATCTAAGGCCCAGAGAGGGGCAGAAACCACTCACGCCCAGATGAAATGAGAACTGTGTCGTGGGGCTCATCTTATGACCTGAGAAGGTCCCCTGCCTGCTTGAGGAACCCTGTGGAGCCAGGAAAGCCATTTCTTCTATTAGGAGCTTGCAAGGCTGTGTTGTTGGGCCTGGCCGGCCTCAATTCTTCCCACCTGAAGCAGAAGAAAGGGTTGCTCCCCCACACCCTGTTCTCCTCCTTGCCTGCCCAGAGCCCCCAGACTCCCTGCGCACTTGCTCCTGTTCTTCTGGTCCTCGCAATTACATGCATGGATTTCTACTAAATTGCCAGTCCCCGCCTTCCTGTCTACTAGCTTGGCCCCCCTCCAGGAGGAACTCTGGCAGGGAAATAAATTAAGGCCATGCCTAACTATTTGCTGAGAGAGAGCCACAGAGCCCCAGGCCAATGAGGAAGAAACTACTTGCTAGGCTTCTCACACCCTGGCTGCTGTGTTCTCTAGGCAAATCTTGCTCACAGAAAGCCCCGTTGGCCCTACAGGAGCCCCGGTATTCCCAGAACCCTTTGGGAGCTGTGCTTTCCCAAGGGACTTGAGCTGCTTGCAAAGGCGGAAAATGAGTAACTGAGCACTTTGCTCCTGGTTTCCAGACCAGGGGTGGGAGAGCACGCACGTGCCACTAACTGGAAATCCCTTAGGATTAGCCTGGCTGGCTGTTACTGTGCAAATGCACCCCGAGACTTGGATTGCCATGTGGAGACAGGAAGGAAAAGCACAGACTGAAACAGACCTTGAGGGGCTGAGGATGGGCTACATGGTGGGCAGGGGGAGGTGGGGAGCAGGAAGGATGGGACAGGGTGGGAAAAGAGTTTAGGAGGGGCGGCAGGTGAGCCTCACTGGCTCTGCAATCACCTGTAGAGTCTGAGCTGCCACCGAGGGCCGTGTTGCCAGGATGAGTCAGGTAGGCCGCAGGTCTCAGCTTTTCCCTGGTTAGGACCGTTGCCCTGTCCATTAAAGGCCAACTCTTCCCCACCCTGACCCCTACCACTTCTCTCTGGAGAAGTGTTGGAGAGGAAGGACAAGCATGGAGAAAGAAGGTGAGCAGAGCAGTTCAAGGGGGGCTGCTCCCACCTCACCCCCTTTCCTTCTGCACACTGCCTGCCTGCTCATCTCTGCCAGGCAGCATCAAATCTCATCCATCAGCCACTCTCGAGAGGACTTTGCTGAGCAGTAGCCCAGTCTCCCTGTGGGCACAGCCGTCAAGGGGGCCTCTCTTCTCTAGCAGCAGCTGTCTAGCGTCAGGCTCCTCTCCATGCCAGGGCCCTGCCACGTGGCCTTAGCAAGCACATAGTAGCTCCCCCCAAGTTGTCATCTATAGTGGGGGGTGGCTTTGCTCCCCCACCACAAAGCTCTCTTCACTGAGGAATTTCCAGAAGGTCCCTCGGGTGCCCATAAGTGTGATCCTCCTCCCCAGCGGCCTTTGCAGAAACCTGAAGAGGATGAGGGTTCACCTTCTCCCACTGGGGGCATGGACCAAGCCCCCATTTCTTCAGTGTGGCCGGAAGTTCCCTCCAGGGCATCCTGATCCAAAGGTGGAAGCTGGCAGTAGATGCCCAAGGGCTCCCTCGCAGGGCTTGTCCCTTGGGCATCCCTAGAGGGACAGGCCCAGGTCAGACCCCATTTTCCAGGTCCAGTGGCAGGTATGGAAAGAGCCTAGGCAGTGACTTGTGCACTGGCTACAGTTCCAGGCCTTCTCGAAGGCTGGGCAGTGTTTCCTCATTCCAGGAAGCCAGCGGAGCCTCTGCGAGCTGGCTGGGCACAGCAGCCCCTAGGTCAGCAGGCTCATGCTTAGGGTGGTGGCCACCCAGGAAGGTTCTGGATGAGGGTCTTTGCCTTAGGGACCTGGCCCCCACTGTCCACCATCAAGTTGAAAGTGACACTACCTCCCTAGTCTTGTGATCAGCTCCACGCACTTCGCCCTGGAAGTCCCATGCCAGGCGTGAACTGACCTAAGTCCCTCCAGTCACAAAGGCACTTCCCAAATTTGGTTGTGTGGCTGCTGCTATTTTGTTTATTTGTTTGATAGCAGCCACTGAAAACTTGGAGGAAGGTGAAGCCAGCCTCATTATCAAGTTTGAATGAAAGCAGCCTCAGAGCAAATTCTGCCAGACGTACACATTTTTGGACAAATATTTACCTGAAACAAGTCCAGCGGAGTCCATACAGCCTGTCCTGTGGGCTCGGTGAAGCCCAGCAATCTGCTCTCTGCTGCCCTGACCACACCTCCCTGGAGCTCTCATGGATTCTTTTACCTGCTCTTTCCTGAGTCAAGAGTGTCTCTGAATTCATTTAGCCAACCCACACATCTTGAATACCTCTGTCTTTACCAATGAGAACGCATTTCTAATATTTACTTTGCTAATCATCAAATGCCCAATGCTGACCAGAGATAAAGACGCTGAAGTGCCTGTCCCTGCTGCCTCTGGAGCAGATGCTTTCTGCTTCGAGGCAGTGGCTGCGAGTGGGGTAGGGGTGGGCGTTGCTGATTTGAATACATCTAGGTTGTAGCTGGCATAATGAAACCACACAGAACAGCCCACCATCTCTGCAAAGGAGTTTAGGATCCAAATGCACCACCCTACCAAGGAAGCAGAAGGTGAAGGCCGTGCCCTCAGGGAGCGTGCAGTCTGGCGAGGTTGCTGATGCAGTAGAGTCCTGAGCTCACAGTAAAATGCTGTTCTGCACGCTTCAGTTAACTTTCGCAGTGCAGGAGCCATTTCCCAATTCGATGGACCAAGGAGAGTGACAGCCAAGCACAGTCAAGAGCAGGAGGTGACAGTCGTATTAGAGGTGTAACTAAAAATTCACGTAAACTTGATCTCATTTGGTCCTTCCAAGACTGTGAGGTACGATCCATTACAATCCTGTTTCATGGATGTGGAACCTAGGCCTAGGAGGGTTGAATCTGTTGATCAAGGTCATAGAACTAGTAAGTGGCAGGCTGGCTGTCAACCAACCCACGTCCCCCGACACCCGGCTCTGCCCTGTTCTAACTTGCTCCATCCCTTTCTCCTGCTCCTGATTCCTTTCCTCTGCGAGGTGTGAACCCGGGAGGCTTCAGCAGCCAAGTACCTCCAGCGCAAGCTGACACGGCAGGGAAGCAAAGTCACACATCCCATTTTCTGCCCTGCCTGCGGGCACTCAGGCCATATGTCCCTGCCAAACCCCAGTGCAGGCACAGCGCTGCACCTGCAGCCACTTACAGGCTGCACTGGGCAGTCCAAGCCAGGCTGAGGCCACACTGGGACCCCACTGCGTCCAAACACCAGGAAACCCTAAGGACCCTTCTAGCCCCTGAGAGGTCAGGACCCCCAGCCCGAACGTGGAGGTGCCCAGTTGGCATAAGCACAGGGAACACCGTGAAAGGCCTTACGAAGCCTTTTAGAAACTCTGGGCTTTGGAACTTGTGCTGCAGAGTAAAATAGAAATCAGATCATCTGGACAAATCCCCCCTTGAGCTGGCGTTTGTTGATTCTGCCTATTTTCAACTTGGAGCCAATTATCCTGTGGATTCAAATAGTCCTAGATCTGCCTTGTTTGGAGGCTGAGGCCAATGCCAGCTGGTTAGGAGCCACTCTGGTGGGCTGAAGCCACAGGGGAGGGCACACATCCCCCGTGTCCTTAGCTGTGCCCTGGTGTCTGAGTTTCAGCCAGCTGGGAAGTGTTTCCTGTTTGTATAGCCAGGGTACCGGCCTGCGCTGCATTCTGCTTTCATCTCTGCAGATTGCTTTAAAGGCCACTCTGTGTCTACTTTCTGCCCTCTAATCCCCACTGCCACCATGGCCTTTGGCCAGAAAAGCCCTGGGTCTCATGTGGCGGTTGGCGGGGCGGCAGCAGGCTGCCTTAGCCCGTCTGGGCATCCCTGCCTTGTCGAGCGTTTCCCGGGAGGAAAACCACATCCTTCTCTTTTTTTCCCATGGCTACTTTCCCCCTCCCCATCTCCTCCAAACTGTCAGATTCTCAGGCACCTCTTCCTGCCTGCCAGGGCCGCCCTTTCCCAGAGCCCCGCAGCCTTGGAAGGGACACACCAGCGACTGGGCGTCCCAAGAGCCCCTCTCCCTGCAGTGGCCCTGGGCTTTCTCCCCGCCTTGCAGGGAGCCCATAAATTAGATCTGTGGCTCCCAGGAGCCAGGGCCTCTTTCTGACCAACAGGGAAGCAGTATTTCTTGGCAATTTTCTCAGCAGCCTCTTTCACCGGGCTAAATGAAAAGGAAGGTTTCCGCGCTCCCAGCCTTCCTGCAGGAGGACTGTGCGTCAGCTTGAAGCAGCCTGAGCCCATCAATTATTCAGCATGGACCCAGCACTTTGAATTTGCAAAGGTCTTAAGTATTTTTATAGATTCTTTTCTCATAATGTCCCAGCGAGACAAGCAAGGTTTCCCTGTTTCCTAGACAATAGATGCAGGGTTCAACTCGGAGTCAGAAGACTTGGGTGCAAGCGCAGCCAGCGCCACTCATGGAGCTGTGGGACCTGGGGCAGTTCTTTCGATGGCTCTGGTGTGCAGTTCTCTGTGGTATAATTCTTAGGAAGGCCTCCCTAGCCCAGGTCATTGTGTGTGTGGGGAAAAAAATTTGCAAATGCAGTGTGATTAAAAAATGCATGTGGTTGCTCTTGTTGCACCAGGTGTGGAAACGGAAGCTTCTATCCTGAGCTGAAGTGCAACCATTAGCATAGGACACTGCAAACCGGGCTCTGCTGGGAGACAGTCCCCAGGGAAACGTGGGCGAGTCGGCGCCTCTACTCCCTGGCCCCGTGGGGGTGGCTCCATGACATGGTGGTCCCACTACCTGCTGCTGTGGGCTGACTCTGCATGTGTCAGGGTGGAAGAGGGCACGGAGGTCATCACACCCAAACCAATGGCTTAGGGTGGGATGGGACCCCAGTAGCTGACTCCCAGGTCGGGAACTCTTTTCTCTTCCACACCAGGCTGGCTCTGTCCAAAATGTTTCTCCCGCTCCCATCGGCAATGCTGGGACCCCAGGCAGGAGGCACCGAGGGCTGCCTAAAGCCGGAGTGTTAGGGCAATCTACGGGTGCAGCCCACTAGGGCGCCTGCCCCTCCCAGAGCCCTGTAGTGGGTTTCATGCCATGTACCCATCCTCTCACACTGGTGGCCCCAGCATCACAGCTGTCCCTGGGACTGGCCCAGGAGCCACCTCCATCAACCAAAACAAGCAGACAAATGAAATGAGTCCCTGGCCTGGTGCGGTGGCTCACGCCTGTAATCGCAGCACTTTGGGAGGCCGAGGCAGGCAGATCACCTGATGTCAGGAGTTCAAGACCAGCCTGGCCAATATGGTGAAACCCCGTCTCTACTAAAAATACAAAAATTAGCCAGGTGTGGTGGTGGGTGTGGTGGTGGGTGCCTGTAATCCCAGCTACTCAGGAGGCTGAGGCAGGAGAATCACTTGAACCTTGGGAAGCAGAGTTTGCAGTAAGCCGAGGTCGTGCCGCTGCATTCCAGCCTGGGTGAGAAGAGCAAAACTCTGTCTCAAAAAAAGAAAAGAAATGAAATGAATCCCTGTTCCAGTTGAATTCCAAAGAGTCGTGTGACTTGTCCAGCGTCACAGGTTGTTAATGGCAGAACTTCCCTTAGGCTGAGGTCCCCTCACTGCCCAGCCCTGCCCAAGGACTAAGACCCCAGCCCCGGAAAGAGGCCCTCCTGCCACAGCAGCTGTACTCACAGCACCCACGTGCTTGGCACTGCAGACCGAGGCGCTCGGTCTCTTCTTCCTCTTCTGCCCAGAACAATTTTACAGAAAAACAAAGCATTGCCTTGGGAATATTTCAGTGTTATTTGCCCCTGAGGTTTCTAGGAACACTGGACTTGTAAGTACTATAAAGCTCACATGCCTGTTACTTCTGTGCAAATGGAGCCACCTGAAAGATGGTCACAATGGTGGAGTTGGGGAGACTTGAGCTGGAATGGTGGTTCCTTCCCTGACCTGCTTGTGAACTGTGGTTTCCTTGCCTGCAGTAGAGATAATACGAGACACTAGATAATACCAGTCATGCCTCAGGGTCATTTCAAGGGCTAAACTAGATATTGCACAGTGCCTGGCACAATAAAAAAGGTCTCCTCTTTTCCTCCTCCTTCTAACAATTTTCATTTATTTCTGTATAAATGAGAAATAGAGAAATGGGTGATAGAGAGAAAAGTAGTCATTCATGCGTTTATTTTATTATCAGAAAGTATGTGTTGAAGTTGTACTGGTTATACCCAGCAGGTGGCCATGAGCAGCAGGGGGAAGAACTGGGGGCGAATTCGCCCTCCTGAAGCCCAGGCTAGTGTGGGCAGTGCCGTTCCAGCCTCTCTTGATGGCAAGAGAATCTTCTGGTGCATTTCACTGGGAAGTTCAGCTCTTTAGGTTCTGCTGGGCCTAAGGGCTCAGAAGATGTCAGGATGCTCTCTCTTTCTCTCTCTTTCTGTTTTTTTTTTCCCTTAGTTCGCCTTACCTCAGGCTTATTCCCTTTTTACTACAGACGGGCTTTCTCCAGACTCTGGAAACTCCAAGCTTATATCCTCCCAGCTGAGCTGCTCCTGATGAAAATACCCTATTTCTCCAAGTGTCTGTGTTTAAATCCCATGAAAATATTCTGATTGGTCTTTTGTGGCCCATTGCACATCCCCAGGCCCAGTCACTATTGCCAGAGTAAGGGCTAAAATGAACGTCTCTTTCTAGGTGTCGTGAGTGTTCCTGGGGCAGGGGTGATGGGCAGGTGCTGTGACTCATGGTCCCTTCAGAACCACCTGAAATTAGACAGGAGTGATGCCCACAGAAGGGATGCTGGAAAAAGATAGATCTGTTCACCCGAGAGGCACATCAGAAATGTGACTCAGTAAAACCATCCAGCAGGTGCACTGCTGCACTGAGAGTGGGCAGGAAAGTGCTCAGATCCAAGTGTGAAGGGAGGAAGCCATCAGCTCCATTCGGAAGAGCACAAAAGACTGTCGAGTGAGGTGCTGTTTGATCCAGGCTTGAAGACTGAGTCAAATTCAAACATAAGGCTATCGCGGAAGGATGAGACATAAAGTTGAGACCAGCATCCCAAACCACCCCATCTCAACTCAAGAAAGATGACTCAGCCACCAGAAGCATTCTGACTTTGAAAGTCTTACCCATGAAGCTGTGGGAGGTCTGCTGGGGAGATGTCATCTGGAGCTGTGAACGACTCTGGCTGGACTTTGTTCGCTGACTTCACCGCATCAGCGTCATCAGCACACACTGAACATCTGCTGTTTACAGGGCCCTGTGCTCGGGACACAAAAGGTGCAGCAGTGTCCTGCCCCTCAAGGAGCTGATGTCTGGTCAGGAAGACAGGACCACAGACTCCCACAGTTCAAGGTCATGCGGGCCAGTGTGCAGTCAGCATGAGGAAAGCAAGTGACTGGAGAATTCAGAGAAAGGTGGCCTGGAAGGTGGGGAGTGTGAGAGGGCTTCAGGGAGGAGGCGAGCCCTCGGATGAGCTTTCAGGCAGTGCAGGGCCTAGCTCGCCAGTGAGGGCCAAAGACAAGGACAAAGGGCCAGATGGACTGCCCAGAAAGTCCTCTTCATTCATTCATGTACCCACTCTCTTACTCAGCAAGTTTCCTGAGCACCCGCTGTGTGCCGGGCACTGCTCTGAGTGCCGGGGTCACAGTCAGGAACAGAATTCGGAAGCCCCTGCCTGCTAGGAGCTGGCATCCTCAAGGGTGGGACACACAGACACCAACAAACATCACGGAGTAAGTGATGAGCTCCGGAAGCACCAGGAAGGCGAGCGCTGGGCTCCATCCTGTGGCCCAGGCTGGGGTTTGCGTGGAGATGAGGTTCAAGCAGAACCAGGCATGAAGCAGCCAGCATATGACATTGTGGCACAGCATCAATGTCCTTCAGAAGAGACTGCCGAGTTCTCACAAGGGTGTGCAGCAGGGAGGGGAAACCCCGGCAGCAAACAGGAGGCTTCCAGGAAGGGGGAAGGCTAGTGCTGTCCTGGCTGGACATGTGCCAGAGGGAATGCTTACCCGGCAGGGTAGACCACAGGGGTGCTTGGAGAAAACCCCAGGAGCGCTGTCCTGTGGAGCCCTGATCCCACCCACACCCCTAACCCAGCCCCGCCCACTTCCCCAACCCAGCCCCGCCCATTTCCCCAACCCAGCCCCGCCCACTTCCCCAACCCAGCCCCACCCACTTCCTTAACCCAGCCCCGCCCATACCCCTAACCCAGCCCCGCCCACTTCCCTAACCCAGCCCCACCTACATCCCTAACCCAGCCCCGCCCACTTCCCTAACCCAGCCCCGCTCATACCCCTAATCCAGCCCCACCCACTTCCCGAACCCAATCCCCCCATTTCCCTAACCCAGGGCCCAACTCACTTCCCTAACTCAGCCCTGCCCACTTCCCTAACCCAGCCCCACCCACGTCCCTAACCCAGCCCCACTCACTTCCCTTAGCCAGCCGCACTCCCCTAATCCAGCACCACCCACGTCCTTCACCCAGCCCCGCCCATGTCTCTTACCCAGCCACACCTACATCCCTAACAGCTCTGCACATGTCACTAACTCAGCCCTAGCCATACCCAGAGCACACACCCAATAGAGCAACCACCTCACACTCGTATATTCACACACCTAGCAGGGCAGCTACCCACACTCTCACACTCATCCACCCAGCAATGCAACCACCCCCCACACTCACACTCACACACCCAGCAGGGCAGCCAGCCCCCACACTCACACTCACACACCCATCAGGGCAACCACCCCCCAAGCACTCACACATACAGCAGGGCAAGTACCCACACTCACACACTCATACACCCAGCAAGGCAACCACCCCCCACACTCACACACACACCAGGCAGGGCAACCACCCCACACACACACCCAGCAGGGCAACCACCCCACACTCACACCCATACACACCCAGCAGGGCAACCACCTCACACTCACACTGATACCCACAAGGCAACCAACCCTTACACTCACACACACAGCAAGGCAACCACCCCCCACACTCACTCACACTCACACAGCAAGGCAACCACCCCCCACATTCACACACACACACAGCAAGGCAACCACCCCCCACATTCACACACACACACAGCAAGGCAACCACCTCCCACATTCACACACACACACAGCAAGGCAACCACCTCCCACACTCACACTCACACACAGCAAGGCAACCACCCCACACTCACACTCATACCCAGCAGGGCAACCACCCTACACTCCCACTCATACCCAGAAGGCAACCACCCCCCACACTCACTCACAGCAAGGCAACCACCCCACATTCACGCACACCCAGCAGGGCAACCACCCCTCACACTCACACTCACACTCTGCAAGGCAACCACCCCACACTCACACTCATACCCATAAGGCAACCAACCCTCACACTCACACTCATACACAGCAAGGCAACCACCCAACACTCACACAACCCCAGCAGGGCAACCACCCCCAATACACTCACACTCATGCACAGCAAGGCAACCACCCCCGACACTCACACACTCATACACCCCGCAGAGCAACCATCCCCCACACCCACACTCACATTCACACACAGCAAGGCAACCACCCCCAACACTCACACCCAGCAGAGCAACCACCCTGCACACTCACACTCAGGTGAGGCAACCATCCCACACTCAAACTCAAAGCAAGGCAACCACCCCCCACACTCAGACTCACACACCCAGCAGGGCAACCACCCCACACACTCACACTCACACACCCATCAGGGCAACCACTCCCCACACTCACACATACCCAGCAGAGCAGCCACCCCCCACACTCACACACACCCAGCAGAGCAGCCACCCCCCACACTCACAATCACACTCACGCAAGGCAACCATCCCACACTCACACTCCTCACACTCATACACAGCAAGGCAACCACCCCCCACACTCACACACACCCAGGAGGGTAACCACCCCCCCCAGACACACACAGAGCAAGGCAACCACCACCCACACTCACACAGCAAGGCAACAACCCCACCACAGTCACACACACACACAGAGCAAGGCAACCACCACCCACACTCAGCAAGGCAACAACCCCACCACAGTCACACACACACACACGCACACACACATATCCCAGCAACCCATCCCTGCCACGTGCAGCACTGGGGCCGGGGTCAGGTCTCGGCAGGATGTCATCTCCATGTCAGGGCTCCTGACACCGGCTCTGACCAAGGCTTGGAATGCAGATGAGGCTGGAAAGGCAAGAGATGAGCGCCAGGGCTAGACAGCAGGGTCCCTCCTGCTCAGTTGCCATGGCAACCCCGGAGGAGGAGGGGACCACTAGGGCAGCCTGGCTCCCGGCAGCAGCTCTGTGGGGCCCAGGGCTGTGTCCCTGTCCTCTCGGCTGCCACCTGGTCAGTGCTGAGCCCAGCCAGAGGCCAGCCCAGTCCTGTCTGGTCCTCTGGGTGAGATAAGTGTTGGGTTTCTGATTAAACCCGGGCAGAAAAGCCTGCACACCCCAGGCTCGCCTCCCTAGGCCGACTGTGGAGCCATGTCCCAGACCTCCTAACCTCTTACTCACCCAGAACAAAGGGATTTGCCTTTTCAGAAAACAAAAGGAAAAGATGCAGGCATGAGCTTTGCCCTGCACCACCCTGAATTTTCTGTGTATGAAACCCCTTAGAGCCTCTGCACTCCCTTGGCTGTGGGGCTGGCCTCACTGTTCTCTGGCCTCTGAAGCCACCGCAGGTCCCAGCTCATGGCCCCTGCCTTTGTCTCCGGTTGAAATCAGGGCTGTGCCCTCTACTGATGGGCCTGGCCTGGCTGAAACCGCAACATCAGGGCAAGGTAGAGTGGAGATGCCTCTTCCTGCCACCCCTGCACCAGACAGGTGTTGACGGAGGAATCAGGAGATGCTGTCCTTGAGTGAAGCCACGAGTCTCTCTGATGTGGAGTTTTAGGCTTGGTGACACACACAGCAGGCTCAGCAGAGGAAACAGAGCGCTTTGCACACACACGTGGGCCTCCGCTCTCCAGCCAAGCCCACCCTGGCTTTGGCAGCAGAGCCATGGGCAACCCAGACGGTGTCGGGGTCAAGAAGGTGAGGCCGGCACTAAAGACATCCCATCCCCCAAGACCTGCCCTGCTGAGGATCCTGCAGGGCCCTAAGTCACAGTGTAGCTAATTCTTCCTTCCAGAAATTTCTGGGAGAACCCAGTTATACCTGCAGATGGAAAGCTTTCCACACGCGTGATAGCTAGTCCTGCCAGATAGTAGGTTCTAGAAGATGGCACAGCAACCCCAAGGAGTGTGGGCAGTAGGCTCTGGGCTGTCACTGAGGAGCCCCGGGCCTTAGGCTGGTCACATAGGCTGCCACCTCGGTTTGCTGCATGATGGGGTAAGAAGACCCAGCCTTCCCTGCAGTGTTTATGTGCTGCGGTGTAGACGTGCTCCATAAACTCAGTGAAGGTGGTTCTGCTGTGGAGTGGCCAGCGTCATAGGACAGCACAGAACCAAGACAGAGCTGGCTATCTCGGGGGGCAACTTGATTCCCAGAGGACACTCTTGCTTTGTTCTGTTTGAGTAGACCATGGGGAGGGTCACAGAGCCTCTGACCCGGTCCTGGTCCCCAGCTCAGCCTTCCTGGCTCCTGCTGCAGCCCTCCCCTCCACCTCCACAGGGAGCTGTGCATCTGCTGGTTTCAGTCCTTGCCCTGCCAGGTACAGTCTGAGTGCCACTGGGCCCGTGCCTTATCATCTCTGTGCCTCGGTCTCTTCATCTGTGTAATGGGACAATCATAGTGCATACTTCACAAGATTCTCATGCAAATAAGTGAGGTGCTATCTCCTTATAGTGCCTGGCACATATTGAGTGCTTCATACATATTAGCAGCTTGACAGTGTTACTAAAATGTTATTTAGAGTCAGGCATGGTGGCACATGCCTGCAGTTCCAGCTACTTGGGAGGCTGAGGCAGGAGATCAGTTGACCCCAGGAGTCTGAGGCTGCAGTGAGCTGTGATTGTACCACTTGCGCTCCAGCCTGGGCAACAGTGAGACCTCATCTCAATAACAAAGTTACTTAGTAGGAAAGTTATTAAGGGGCAGGATTCGAGTTGCATTTTAGAAGGATAACCGGCAGCAGGACAGAGGAGAGGAAGCCTGGAGGAGGGAGCTTTGTGGAGAAGGGGACAGCGTCCAAGTCCCCAGGCTCAGGCTGAGGGGTCAGGAGTGCAGGGGAATGGGGGCAGCCGTGATGAAGGGGACAGAGGGGGGAGATCACCCCAGCTTTCCTGCAGCAGATCTGTGTTCTGGGAACCAGCCAGCCTCTGTGGCCTCCACTTTCTCCTGCGTGAAGTCAGAAGGACGTGAGGCCCGAATGTGTGTGCTGATGCTCGGTGAACTCTGAGGAGACCTACCATTGCTCAGCCCGTGCTGGCACTGGGGAACGTGCCTGCACATTCCCCCAGCATTCATAGATGCTAAATAAAGCACCCTTTTTTCTGGGCCAGGATCTCAGGCCGTCACGTCTGTTTATGGGAGCTTGGGCTTCGGTTTCATGAGAAAAGTTATCTGTTTCCTCACCTGTAAAATGGGGATTTGAATAGGGTTAGTGCACCTCTTTCAGGCTGCAGAAACAGACCCGAGGCAACCTCGTGGGGTGGAGGCTGATGATGAGAAGGGAGGGAGCTGCAGGTGGAGGAAGCAGCAGCCTGTGGGAGACAGATGCAGCCACAGGCTCACTCCTTCATGCTCTTTCTGCCTCTGCTCACCCCCTCTCCCTCTGGGGACTGTCACAGTCCTGAAACAGCCCAGAGGCACCACTCCCAAAAGAGCACAGCTCACCAGACTTCTCGGCCCTTCAGTTGTTTGCCCTGATGTCCGGCTGTAGCCCAGCTGGGCTGGTCTCATGACCCAGCATGTATCCATTTTGCACAGGGAACCATGGGCGGCGTTTCTGCCAGAGGAGCAGAGCAAGGATAAATTCACTCATATGCGAAATTGTCATTCTGTCCTCATCAAGCATAGCCTGTCATGGATTGTGAGTTAGGAGACAAGTCAACTCTGCATGTGGACAGACTCAGTAAGATTTCATTAGGAGGACAGTGACCATCCACCCTGTGGTTCTCAATGGGAGGTCGCACAGCACCCCCTCCCTGCCCCCCACCACCAAGGGACACGTGGAATGGTGGCAGAGGGAGCCTTTTGGATTGTCATGACATTTTATGACACTGGTTTGCTCTCAGTTGTATATTTTCCTCACCAAATGAGTTGTGCTTCCTGTCTCATTTCAGTTACAGCTCTTGGTTGTGAGCAAGAGAAAATGACATTATTGTAAGGCTGTCAGGTGCCCACAGAATTGGCAGGAGGTAAAGACCAGAAAACAGGCAGAACCAGGGCAGATCCAGAAGGCAGAGGCAGGAGATCCCGGGCCAGTCCTTCAGCAGAGACAATTTGGCTAAGAGGATGCCACCGCCCCTGCACTTCACATTTGCCTCCAGGGTTGGTTCACAGATGCGCCCTAACCATCCCTTCCTCTGAGACTCACACGCACCCAATTCAGAGTCGGGGCCTGAACAGCTGACTGGCCAAGCTCAGGTCACATGCTCACACCTGGTCACCAGGGCATGAGCTGGGAAGAGGAGCACGTGGTCCTCTGGTTGCAGAGAAGGCTGCACGGCCTGCCTGCTGTTCTGCACAAAATGGGGAGCTCCCTCCACACAGGAAAGGAGAGGGTGTTGGATATGGCAAACAGACACACAGTCCAACGAAAGACAAATAGCAGCAAGCATCCACTGTGCTCTTTAATATTCCTTCTCCAGTGCGTGCTGTGTCAGTCACTTACGAATGTCAGAAACCCCATCTCCAAGTAGCTGAAGCAAAAAAGGCGGAAGGTATACGCTGTGTAACCTGGGCAGGGCGGGTGGCTTCCCACGGGGCCCAGCTGCGGGCCCCCAGCTCCTTGCCACTGGGCTGTGATGGCCAAGCTGCCACACTGTCGGCTTGGCTTTGCTCTCCAGTTAGACCCTTTCCCCACATGTGCTGAGCATGGTGGCCCCAGCGGCCCCGGCCAGCTCAGAGCAAGGCTGGCCTCTGAGTGGTTCTGACACCAAAACTTCATCCTGTGTCTCCCCACGCCCCAGGAGAAAGGAAACCCCAGGGATGGGCTCCTGTGGGAAAGGGGGATGCACTTTCCAGAAGAGGGAGGAAGCTGCTGGATGGAAATGACCTCATCCTGCACTGGACTCCAAGGAGGCCCTCAAGCTAGGTCTGTCACATCAGACTGTCCCCTCCAACTCCAGCACATAGTCCTGGGATTTGGGATGAGCTGCAGCTGTTCCTGTCTTTGTCCCACTGCAGGCCCAGAGCCTGCACACCTATGTCTGGACACTTGTGGTCAGGGCAGGCAGGGTGGGTGGCATCCGTGGGGACAGGAGGGGAGGCACCATCCCAGGAAGCCTGGGTGTCTTTTTCTGCCTCTCTGAGCCCATCCAGGCTGGCTCAGATTTGAGCAAGGACAGGTCGCTGTGAGTGGGAGGAAATCTGTTTTATTGGCTCATTCATTCCACAGCATTTAAAGAGAGCAGCATTGTGCTAAGTACTGGAGGGTCCAGCATAAAAGGCTTGGTTCTCGTCCTGAAGTTGAGAGTCTGCTAGAGGCGACCATTGACAAAGGCCCTGGGTGTAAGTGCTGTGGCTTAAGAGGGGCAGTAAGCCCAGTGGTTAGGGGCCAGCTCAGAGCTAGACTGCAGAGGTTCAAATCCCAGCTTCACCACTTATAAGCTCTGTGGCTTCAGGCAAGGTCCCGAACCTGTCTATGCCTCAGTCTCTTCATCTGTAAAATGGGGATGATGATACCCCAGATTCATAGGGCTGTTGTGAGGATTAAATGTGTTAATACATGTAAAGCTTTTAGCACCACAGCTCGTGTGGTGTGCTGTAAGCATTAGCTAATGTTGCGATGACATAATTGTTTCTCTGATGTGCTCGGGTTGTCCTGGGTACACACAGCCCAGCCTGGGCAAATCAAGCAAAACTTCCCCCAGGAGAAAATCCCTGAGAACTGAACTAAGGCACAGAAGGGAGTGAAGGGCTTTCCAGGCTGGAGGAAAGCTTGTGCCGAGTCAGGGGTGTGAAAGAGCATGGTGTCCGGCGGGACAGGAGTGCTGGGTCGGGGTTGGAAAGATTGTGTCTTATGGAGAAGAAACGAAAGGGTTCTAGTGGAGAATGCGAGGCTGGAAGGAACAGCAGGAGCGCGTGGTGAGAGGAGGTGTGGAGGGGATGGGTCAGCAGTGCCTGCGTCTTCCCCTGCCCTTGGGAGCCCATCGAGGAAGTGGATGTGACCGTTTTCCAGGTGAACAGATTAGGTCATAATGAGACAAGGTGTTGGCTGAGCTGCCCCCACCTGGCTCCTCCAGCAGCCAGAGGAGTTAGCTCATGGTTGGCGAAGGCTCCTCCAAGGAGCCGCTGTGGGCCTGGGAGCCAGGGAGCTTGTTGGAACAGCAGTCTCTGTGTGTGGCATGGGTCCTCGGCACTGGCACACAGAGCTGCAGAAAGGCTGACGCGCCCCCCCAAGGGCTTGTCCCCACTGCTGCTGGGTGGCCTGCCTGGCGGGGCGTGCCTGGGCCTGGTGGGATTACAGGGTCTGATGTCGTTTTTCTAGACACCCTAGGTCCCAGGTCTGGCAGCGTCCTTTGGCTTCCTTCTCCGGCCCCTCCACCCCTAGGAACGACCCAGGTTACATGTAAAGAAAGCCCGTTTGTTTAGAGTGTTGGGGGGCTCTTCCTCCCGGGGCCTGGGCCCCAGGAGTCCCTGGTTTGTCAAGCGAGGGGAGGCCTCCACTGCTTTTCCAGCCCAGGAAGCTGCCCAGTGCTGGCATCTGTTCCCCGGCACCCGGCCAGCACCTCTCTGCCGGCTCAGGCCGGGTCCAGCTCAGTGCCCAGTGAGCAGTGACAAGCTTTTCTGCTGTCACGTCCCTGCGCCTGTGTGGGTGACATTCCAGCTGAGCTCCTGTGCCTAGTGGGAGGGAAGAAACCCCTTTGGGCTTGTTCAGGCACCAGGGCACCCAGGGGGACAGTGCTCCCCAAACACTGACGACCAGGAAAACACATGCTGCTTGAGCAACTCCTCGCGGTCTGACTGTGCTGGGGGCAATCCCATTCCTGCAGCAGCTCCTCACCATCTGGCTGTGCTGGGGGCAATCCCGTTCCTGCCAGCTACGGGTGACCACCTGCTCTAAAATAGTGACTCCCCAACTCAGGCCTCTCCACATTGCACACACGCCTATTCAGGTGGGTACAGCTCTTTACAGTTTAAAGAGAGCTCTCACATACCAGGTTCCATAGATCCTCAGCCATTGCACAGATTAGGGAACTGAGGCCACGAGGAAAGGACTGAGCCTGGGTGCTCGGCTTGTCAGCAGTGCTGGGACCAGAAACCAGGCTTCTGGGGCCTGGCCTTGGTCTGCCATGCAGAGAGCACAGGGTGGAGTCTCTCCAACACCCCGAGCCGTGGGCGGGGCATTCACAATGTGAGCAGAGAGGGAAGGGAGCAGGCATGGAATGGTTTTAGTAAGTGGAGCTGTTCTCTCCCTTCTATGGCAGAACAGACTCCACTAAGTTTTGAGACCTGAAAATCTGGGGGAGGTGGGATCAACTGACTTCGTGTCGTTTGGTGTCCAGGGAAGGATGTGAGGGGGCAGGGATTGTCTTGGGCCACCCAGCAGGTCAGAGACCAACAGAGTGTCTGCTCAGTGCAGTTGGAGGGTCATGATCTGTCATGTGACGGTGATATAACTCTGATAGGTTATGTCATCTTAATAATGACATTTTAAAAACCATGACTAAGGCTACATGACTATGTCTAGGGCTTCCTGTAGACCAGGCAGTGTGCTGAGAGCTCACATTTGTAACCTTATTGAATCCCTGATTAGGACTTACGAGGTAGATGTTATTATCCCCAGAACTAGCCTCATGGCTGTGGGCAGTGGCACAGGGCCCCTCGTGTGGGTTCATGCTCTGCTGTCCCTGTCTTGAAATTCTTAGAACTTTTTTTTTTTTTTTTTTTAAGACAGAGTCTCGCCCTGTCGCCCAGGCTGGAATGCAGTAGTGCGATCTTGGCTCACTGCAACCTCTGCCTCCTGGTTTCAAGCGATTCTCCTGCCCCAGTCTCCCAAGTAGCTGGGATTACAGGCGTGCGCCACTACGCCCAGCTAATTTTTGTATTTTTAGTAGAGACGGGGTTTCACTATGTTGGTCAGGCTGGTCTTGAACTCTTGACCTCGTGATCCACCCGCCTCGGCCTCCCAAAGTGCTGGGATTACAGATATGAGCCACGGCGCCCGGCCAATTCTTAGAACTTTTTAAACAAGGAGCCCCGCATCTTCGTTTCATACTGAGCCTTGTGAATTATGTAGTCGTTCCGGTTGTTCTCATTTCTCAGAAGAGGACACAGAGGCCCAGAGTGGTCATGAAGCAATGTGCCAGCGTCACAAAGCCAATGGCTGCCCTGGAGCTCTAACCCAGAGCCCACACTCTCCAGAGTAGAAAGAGGCTGAGACAGAGTCAAATGACTGTGCCCAGGTCCAGCTGCTGGCACCTGCCTGTGACCAGGAGGTGAGGCACTTCACCTGCCCTAGCCTCGATTTCTCCTTGGTGAAATGGGGTGATCCCGCCTGCCTCTGGGGGCTACTTTGGGGCTCACATGGGCAGATGTGCACACTGTGTTTTCTGCACTTCACCAAGCTCAGCAGATCTGAGGACCATCACTAGCTGGTCACAGTTCACAGGGGCTAATGCCCGTGCCACCAGATGGTCCTGACATGGTCTATGCAGGCCTTCACCTGAGGTCAGCAGTTCCAGACCAGCCTGGCCAAGGTGGTGAAACCTTGTCTCTACTAAAAATACAAAAAATTAGCTGGGTATGGTGGCAGCTGCCTGTAACCCCAGCTACTCGGGAGGCTGAGGCAGGAGAATCGCTTGAACCCAAGAGGTGGAGGTGGCAGTGAGCCAAGATCACGCCATTGCACTCCAGCCTGGGTGACAAGAGTGAAAACTCCGTCTCAAAAAAAAGAAAAAGAAAAGAAACCAATAATTGAAATAAATTGTCTGCAATACAGTTACAGACTTGTAGCAGTTTCCTACCCTGAGAGGAGCCCCTCACCCAGCAGTGGTAGCCCAGTGGGATGCCCTCACCTCTGCAGTGGGAGCCTGCTGGTGGGGGAGGGGGTGGGCCACCAGGGCTCCTCATCCATGTTATCTCCTCACAGAACTCAGGGCGGGAGGGTGCTGCTCATCCGCCTGCAGTTGAATCCTCTCCAGGAAGCTTTGATGGATCTAATCAGAGCTCCCCTGCCAGGGAGAAGGAAGCCCTGTAGGTGCAGCTGCCCCAGACATGCTCAAAACAGATCCTGGCACCTCAGCAAAGAGGCAGACGGCGCCTGGGAGGGGCCCCAGAAAGCAGCTGATAAGTCTTTAGATTTGGACAGATTCTGACCGTGAAACTGCACAGGAGACTCCCATGAGTACATTTCGCATTTGCGGACTTAGCGTGCTAAGTCTTCAGAGAGTGCCGGTGAATTTTAGTTCTGCCAATCTGCTAGAACATAGGAGGTTGGTATTTATCACTCCCATTTTACAGATGAAGAAAATGAGACTTAGCAAGCCTGACAAGACGTAGAGCTAGGCCATCTGATCCCAACTCTAGTGTCTGCATCTGGAGACAGTGGTTCTCCACCCCGGCTGCACACTCGGATCATCGGGGGAGCTGAACACTGCTGTCTAAGTCCCATCTCTCGACCAATTGAATCAGAATCCAGTTCCTCAGGGGGATTCTCGCTTGCTCCAAGCAGAGCTGGAGGTGACAGCGGGTTTCTCTGCTTACCAGTTGGGGTGGACTATTCCTTCTCATTCTCCATGGATGCCCCTTGCTAGGGCAGGCTCGTAGCCTAGGGCGGCAGAGGTCGGGCAGCAGGACGTCCTCCATTCACATCCCCACCACAGGCTGGGGCTGAGGAAAACGTCTGGACTGGAAAGTTCTGCTCTCCTTTCTTAAGCGTCTGCGTGCCATGTCGGAGAGGAATCCCAGGACACCGCGAGGTGGTCCTGCTGCCTGTTCAGCTTTTGCCACCCTCATCTTAATTCTTTTCCCTCCTATCCTCACCTCCCTTCTGCCCAGTTCCCCTCACTCCAAACAAGTAATCATGACTATGGCTATTCCCTTCCTTTTTTTTTTTTTTTTTTTTTGGCCGGGATGTTTTTAGGCATTTACAAGTCAGTAACAATCCCTCTTTCTTTCTCCTTTTTCACCCCAAGGGTGGCCTACTCTCCAGGCTGCTGAGAATCTTGCTTTTCTTCATTTAAGCTTTATCTCAAACATCATTCCATATCAATTCATTCTTTTTTATAGCTGCATGTCCCCCAGCACAGATTTTTTTTTTTAAAACACACCCTTAAAATCCAGGGCTTACCACCTGGGTCCAAATCAGATGTCTCCTACTCTGATTCACCCATGTCCACTGCCCACCCCATGGACCTCGGACCACAGAGTCTGGAGGCTGCGGTCTCTTCTTACTGGGAGTTAGATTTCTACCCTGTGTCTGATGTTATGGGGTAGGAGCTGGGGCTTATGCCTCCTCTCTGGAGATGGGGAGGCCACATCAGATCCCATAGCTGAAGTCTTTACCAAACAGGTGCTGCCATGCGGGCACTTAGGTGAACACGAGAAGCCTCGTTCTAGAACAATGAGTCACAGCCTGCTTGTTTAGCCATCCAGCCCAGGTGCCACCGCCTTCTTCCCTCCACAGCTGCAGGTTTATTTGCTTCTGTCTCTGAAGAGGTGAGGTAAGGTGTTGTTCTTGGAGGAAGAAGCTAGGAGCGTAGAGTAAGACCTGGATGTAGAAACGGCTGCTGGAGGACAGGACCTGTGGTGGGTGGAGGTGGTGAGGGGGCAGTGGCACCTGGACGGAGCAGACCCACCTTAGCCTGTGTGGGGTGCGGTTTCCCTGCTGGCTGGCTCTGGGGACCCCCCGGCTGTTGCCACAGAGAGGAAAGACCTGTGGCCTCAGATTCAGACAGCCTGAGCTTGTCCCCACAACTTATTGCTGGGAGATCTCGGTGAGTCATTTAACTTCTAGGATATGTGGGTTCCTCGTGTGTGAAATGAGAATAAAAACAAATCCCTGCAGACTTGCTGGGGGCATTAAATAAGATAGTAGAGGCGGAGTCGTTTTTATATAAATGGTAAAACACTGCACAATTTTTCAATTGCTCATTAACTTCTCTGCATTGAATTAAGGCATTAAAATGATCTCACTTCCGTCCCGGACTAGCCATGAGAAGCGCAGCCACCAGTCCACTCTGAGCCTCAGTTTCCCCTCCTGTGGAGTGGACGTGCCCGCCTCTGAGTGGCAGGGCAGGGATCGGGACTGATGCGGTTCTCATCCCTCCCACAGGGTCTCCAGCCACCTGCCCTTCCCGAGAAGAGAGAGCTCTGGGCCTTCTTCCTGCCAGTCTGGTCTTCGAGTGCGTTCAGGACAGATAGACCTTGGCACAGGCTGCCCCGAGATTCCTGCGACGCTGTCTGTTCCTGCCTTCTGTGGAGCATGGCACCCACAGGCTTCCAGGACGGATCATAGACCCGAGCCTCCAGGAGGGCGCCCTGTGCGGCTCACTGCGCGGTCCCTCTCAGCTCCCCTGCCACCCAGCCTCTGAGGCCGGCTCCTGTCCCGGAAATGCCCTCGGGCACCTGGATGAGGCCATCCCAGAGCGGGACCCAACTGTGCCACCCACCAAGCCTCCCCCTGCGCCCCCCGTGCCCTCGCATGTCCGGCTGCCAGGGCAGACTGTAGAATGTCTGTGCCCCAGATCCACGTGGAAGAAGTGGGTGCAGAAGAGGGGGCGGGAGCAGCCGCACCACCCGATGACCACCTCCGGAGCCTGAAGGCCCTCACCGAGAAACTGAGGCTGGAGACCCGCAGGCCCTCCTACCTGGAATGGCAGGCCAGGCTGGAGGAGCATACCTGGCCCTTCCCGAGGCCGGCTGCGGAGCCACAGGCGAGCTTGGAGGAGGGGGAGCGTGGGGGGCAGGAGCCCTTGCTCCCCCTGAGAGAGGCTGGGCAGCACCCCCCTTCTGCCAGGAGTGCCAGCCAAGGTGCCAGACCCCTGTCCACTGGCAAGCTGGAAGGCTTTCAGAGCATCGATGAAGCTATAGCCTGGCTCAGGAAGGAACTGGTGAGTGGCTGCCCCCAAGAATCCCCAGAAAAGAGGAGATGCCACCGTCTCTCTGTGTCTTTTTCTGTCTCTCTCTGTCTGTCTCCCCACCCCCACCATGTATTTCTTCCCCTCTCTCTAACCCCCAAGTGCACATCTGTAATCTTCCCGTGAGTTGAAGGCAGGCGTCATTTGTATGTGGCTGGGGGGACCCAGGTGTCATCAGCCCCTAATTGCAGACACTAATGAAGGAAGCAGGTGTTTTCTGGCAGAACCTGAACCCATGTTAAGGTGTACCCCCCTCCCCCCAACACCGCTCCCAGTACTGGAGTCTGGCTCCTGGGGTGTGACTGCCCCTCCCTCTGTGCTGGAACCTCCCCACCCTGCTGTCCACCCCAGCTGCCTGCCACTCCGGGGACCACTCTTCTGCACGTGAGCGGCCTCTTCTTGTGCTGGGCGCTGGCCGGGTGGCTCCATGGGGCACAGTGGCTGGGGTGTGGCTGTGCAGGGCGCTGCTGTGAGGAGCTGGCTCGGTGTGGAATGTGCTCGAGTGGTGAGGAGTTGTGGAGCTGCCCAGAGTCGGCGGGATGGGTCCTGCCTGGGGAGAAGCTCGGTGAGGAGGCTCAGAGGAGGAGTTGGCTCAGAAGTCAGGGCGGGGCCAGGTGTGAGGTAAAGGCACATTGTGTTTGAGCTGGGACCGCAGCGCGGTCACTTTCCTGCTCATAGGCAAAGCAGATTCCCAATAGGAGCATCTTTTGTGCATGGTGACTCAGCCTGAGAACAGGGTGGGGGGGCAGAGCTGGGTGCCCTGTCCCCTTCCACCCCCCCAGGGGAGAATCACCCGTGTCTGGCACGACAGCCTCTCAGCAGCACCAGGCATGAAGCTAACCCTACCCCAGCTCTCAACCCCTGCCCCACCCCGTCCCTGAGGCCCAGGTGACACCTGCGAGTCAGGCCACTCTGGCCACAGGTGAGCCAGCCATCAAGGGCAGCTGCCTTCCAGAGCCGGCAGTGGCTCTTGGGTCAGCTGGGTAGGCTGAGGCCTGCTTGGTTTGTTTTGCAGAATCCCGAAAACTAAATCCCCATGAGGCCTGGAATGCCTCAGGGGCTGAGAGAATCCACTGGGGTTTGGAGTGGGGCAGGGCTCAGGGACGCAGGGATCTGACTGATTAATTGGAAGCCTGTTTGCGTTTTAACACTTGATACCGAGAGTGCTTCTCAGAACACACCATTCTATTATATCCGTCTTTAGTAACGAGAGGGTGCATGTGCTGTCGGCTTCGGAGAAGATGAGGCACCTGCGGGTTTGAGCCATATCTCTGGGGTGCTCTATCACCCCTGGTGCTCTTGGTGGGGGGTATAAGAGGTGAGGGGAGATGCACAGTGCCCCAGGACAGACCGCGCACAGCCCCCAGCTGCTCTTTGAATGGCTGAGGCTAAACTGCTTTGATTTGCTTTCTTAGGAAGGAACAAAAAACATTCTTGTTCATCAAAGATACTATTTGTTGGTTTCGAGTTCGAGATTTTATTGCCTGTGGGAGCTGAGGCTTTTTCTTTTTAAGGAAGTTAGCATTCCGCATAGCGCCCACTAGGATGGAGTTTCCTAGAATTTGTCCTGCTTATCGTCCTTTAGTCTCCTCACTCTGGCGTGTACCGTAACCACCTGGGGAGCTTTTAGGATTCCCAAAGCCTACGCCACACCGAAGACCAATCCAATGAATGTCTGGGGGTGATAACCACACGTGTGGTTTTTAAAGCTCCTGCGTGCTTCTCATGTGCAGCCTGGGCCTCGAGTCTACAAGTCATGCTCACATCTCCTGCCAGGCCTGTGAGCCAAGCAGCATGAAGTGCCCTGCCCAGTGTGCTGGCCAAGCGAGGAAGGTGGCCCAGGGTGAGGCACAACCGTGGGTGATGTGTAGAGCCAGGCTCCATAGGCCAACAGCAGAGCAGAAATTGTCAGGACTAATCTGACTACCAAAGGCTGTCGTACATAGGGTAAAGGGAATATTAGCATTATTAAAAGTGCTTTATATTTGCACTGTTTCCGCTCCTCTAGCCACTTCCCTGTGCCACCAGGGGTGTGTCCTGTATGCCAGGCACTTCGCAGGCATTACTCACCTCTTCTAATTGTCGGATGACCTTCCTGGTACCCCTGCTTTTCCTGTTTGATTCCCAAAAATGTAAATCACAAAAATGTCAGCAGGCAACAGAATGCATGGGGGTGGGGGCAGAGAGAGAAACAGGACTGAATGAGTTGCAGCCTCATTCCGTGATCTCTGATTCTTACAACAAGACTACATGATTGCCCTCACTGTGTCCATTTCATGGATGGATAAATTGAGGTCCACAGAAGTCAGGTGACCTGCTTAGGATGACATGATGAGTGAGCCACAGAGCCGGGGCTGGAACTCATACAGGGTAGAGAGCTATGGGGAGAGAGGTAGCAGGTGAGGCTCGTGAGGTGGCCCAACGCAGAGGGTTCCACTGGGCATGCTCAAAGAGCAGCGACCAAGGAGATGCATGCTCCAGAAATCATCCTCATCACAGGATAGAGAATCTCTCAGAGCATTGACTGCCAAACTCTAATGTGCATGCAGGTCACTGGGGCTCATGTGCAGATGAAGATTCTGGTCCCTTTGGTTGGGAATGGAGCTTGTGCTTTCGAATTTCCAACAAGCTCTAAGGTGACACTATTCTGTTAGTCCCTGGGCCACACTTAGGGTATCAGGGAATGAAAGGAGGGCGAGACCAGGGCCAGGGGACCAACAGGGGACCTGAGAGGACAGACCCAGGGATCCCCAAGCGGGAGCTCTGAGCCCTGTGTCTGTCATAACTGCCCATGTGGCTTGGGGCTCCTTCGGTGAATGGGCCTCAGTGAACAAACCCACAGCATCCCACCCTGAGTGGTCCAAGAACCACACTCATTCAGAAGATTGCGACTCTGAGGCCCAAAGTACACCAGACACAGACTGGCTGGCAGGTAGGCAGGCAGGCTGGACGTGCAGTTCCGCCTGCTGCTGGGATTAGAAAGCAACTTGCAAAAACCCTTTGATTGGATTGAAAACTGAGAGTTCAGCGTTGGAGAACAAACACATTCTGCTCTATTTAAGTCTCAGTCAAAACGTTAAACTTAATGCCATGGTTTCCCTCATTCATCCTCTTAACTCATTGAAGGTACCTTTAAAAATTAACCTATTTAACTCAGTGAAAGTGATTTGCATAACCTTTTCTGTCATATTTTAAGCCCAGAAGGTGGTTTTCTCTACACCTGGGCAAGCCCTTCCTACAGATTTGTTAGGCTCAAGTGCAAATGTGTTGTTTGTTCTCACGTGGCCAAGGAAATCGATTAGAAATCTGTAATTCCCTTAGTCGTGTGGATATTTTCTGTAACTTAAAGGGAGTTTTGACTGCAGGAGAAGGCAGACTCTAACCTGTCCTCTGACCACCTAGCAGCTCTCCCAGGAGGCAGTGGTCAATGTCACCTCAACCAGAGGCAGGCAGTGCTGGGTCTGGAAGCATCGTCTTAATCTGCTCCCGCCTCCTGCAAGACCAGCTAAAAGGCAGAATGATTGCCTGACTGTGGCTGATCTCTGAGGCTGGGAGGATCCTAACAGCTCTCAGGGGTCAGCTCTCCCTCTCAGCTTTCAAGGAAATGACTGTCACTCCTGACGCCCCCCAGGGATCAGCAAGTAGATCAGATTTTCCTTCAGGCTAATGTGTTGGGGATTCAAGGCTGATGGAGATCCTCCAAGCCTCTTAGTGCGACTCCCAGCTAAGACGGCCTGACCTTGGGCTCCCCGGGGCGGAGCTGGAGATGTGTGGCTCTCTGGCTGTGGCAGGCAGGGCTGCGGCCACCTGACTCCTCCAGGCGAGGCCCAGTCTCGCTGCTCCTGGGACACTGGCTCAGGGGAGTGGCCGTTGTGCAGCTGCAGTTCTAGGCTGCTCAGGTCCCCAGAAGGTCACAGCCCCCAGGTTTCACCTTCCAGGCAGCCGAGTAGCCTGGGTGGGAGTGGGGGGAGGGCATTGCTTGAGGAAGTAGGGGAGCTAGGAAGAGCATGATCTGGAGCTGTGGGATTCTCTCCTCTCTAGCTGAGTCCGGAATTCAGAGCATTCACACACGCCTCTGCCCGGGCTTTGGTCCATCAGCCAACTCCCTGGGATGGGGCCCTGGGCACTCAGCACAGGGGAGCAGGGACCCTCCTTTCTGTTTTCTCTCTTCATTCACACCCACAAGTTCCCCTTGCCAACCTGGAAGACAGAGAAAAGGGGCAATAAAGTCTTCCACGTGGTTTATGCAGTGCCAGGATGAAAACCAAAACCTTCCGGCTTCCTAATGGGCAGTTTGTAGTGAGAAGCCCTGGGCACCCACTGATATTTTTCTTCTAGTTTCACGCAGGTGTGTGATCCCTGCAGACACCCTCCTCCCGCAGTCTCCTCCCTCCCCCCGCACCAAGGAGGTGTTTATGGCTGTTAGAGAGAGAGAAGAGAACCTTGACAAGTTTTCATCACTTAGGGCCTGTCATGGCAGGAGGCCTGTGACCTAAACTCAGCTGGCCCCACTGTGGCCACAGCGTGGCTTCGAGGGGGCTGCCCTCTCCCTGTTAACCCTCTGTTGCCTGTGCTGCCTGCTTGGTATGCACAAGACTCTGGTATGTCAGGGGACAGCCCTCTGAGGCAGGTGTCATCCATGTGTGCTAAGCAGTGTGGCCAAATGGCAGGTCATACTCACCAGTGTCTTCCGACGGGAAGTGGGCGATACAGCCAGGTTGATACCCCCCATCTAGGGAACCTTCCATATACACTATCCTGCAAGAAGGCTTGGAAGTATTTGCTATTCCCATCTTACAGAGGAGAAGACTGAGGCTCAGAAAGGTTGTAGAACTGAGGGACAGAAAGTTTAAAGCGACTTGGCCAAGGTCATATGCAAGGATGTGGCTAAGCCACGACACAGACACACATCACTTGGTTCTGGATCCAGATCTCTTTGTTCTGGGCACATCAGATGTCCAAGTCAAGGGGCCCTGAGCTGCCAGAAAGCCCGTGCTTAAACCCTTCAGAACAGGGTACTTGTAAAAGGTCACACAGGAGGTTGCTAGCACTGCCTCATAACAACCATTTCCAGGGACAGGGCAGCTGTACTGTTTCAGGATGAAGGTAGCAAGTTGCTCGGAGCCATCAGCGAGGCACTGGCTGAGCGGGGATTTGGTTCACAAGAGAATTCCTCGTCCCAGCCTCTGTTCTCCCAAGGCTAAGTCTTCTCTGCATAGCCCGGTGCTTTCAGCCTGTCTGGCACCAGCCCTGCAGGAGGAAGATTCCTGTTCTATTCATCTGGGCAGATACGGCCTCGTGGGGGTTACCAAAGAATGTATAAACAAAAGAACCAGGAAAGGAAATACACCAAAACTTGATGATCTTTATTTCTGAGTGGTAATATTATTCTTTTGACTTTTTTATAGTTTTCGAAGTTTCCAAAATAGGAATATATCATGTATAATCAAGGGGAAAGACATTATTGAAAGACCAAAGAAGCAAAAGTGCTAGCACCAGGCTCTTCTCTCCCTTGCCAATGTAATCGGTATGCATTCTTCACCTTGTACTTCTGTAGCATAGAATCTCCTAGAATAAAATAAAAGTAAGGCCTTCAATCTCCCAACATTCAAATAAAAGTAAGGCCTTCAATCTCCCAACATTCCTGTTTGATGTGAGAGCTGATGAGTTGGGGCTGCTGGCCAGGGAGCTGCAGCTGACCCCAACCGGGAGGTCCTGCCTGCTCTCCCTTTCCTGGCTGTCTTGCAGGGTCAAGGAGAAGGGAGTTGGAGGATCCCCACAGCAGCACCTCACCGGAATAGCAGCTCATGGCGATTCCGGGGCTGAGAGAGGCAGGCGGAAGTCTTTTCATCCAGCCCCATGTCCATTCAGCACTACCGGCCTCCACTGGCCGCCTGGCTTCCGTGCTGGGGTGGGGTGAGGCCAAGGTGGATGGGTCAGGGCTCCTGTCTTTGTGAAGTTTCCCTTCGAAGGAGAAGACAGGCACATAAACACAGTGGCATGGTGTGACAAAAGTTATAATAGAGATGCAGTAAGTTGAGTTCTGAGATGATCTGGTGAGCTGAGGGCCGTGCTGAGTGGATGATGGTGGATGATGAAATTAACCAAAGGGAAATACGCAAATTCCTCACTTCCTTGGCAGCCAGATCCATGCCTGTCCACGTAATTGCATTAAGTTTCTCCTTATTTCCCATTCACGTTTCTTCTATAATAATAAACTCAATTCCTCTGATGGGCACCCTCCCCATTATAACAGCACACGACGGTATGGGGTAGTGACTACTGGGTGAGGCACCTAGAGCGTTTGCTAAAAATGCAGATCCCTCCCAGCCCTCCATGGAAATTCAGATTCCATAAACCTGGGGAGGTGTTGGGGTTTTAACAGGTATCTGCAAGTGATTCTAATACAACTGGCTCATTAACTGGTCAAGAGTGCACTGGAAAAAGCATAATATGTGTAATTAGATTCAACTTCAAGTCAGATTCTACCATATCCTAGTTGTGTGCCTTTAGGTAAACCAATTAACCAAGACTTCTTGGTTTTGTGATTGTAAAATGATAAATCCCTACTTGGCAGCGCGTTGAGCAGGGAGGAGGGGAATGAGTGGCATTAGGACACTGAACAGTTGCTGGGCCCCTGGGATGGTTGGGTACTGTATTACGCATGTTTATACACACGCCTCACATCATTCAGTAGCCACAGCAATCTTTCCGGGTAGGCACGATTACTATCCCCATTTCACAGATGAGAAAACTGAGGTTAAAAAACTTGCCCAAGATCAATCAGCAGAGCAGGAATTTGAACTCAGATCTGCCCGACCTCAAAGCCCTGCAGTGGGTCTGGATTCACCCACCATGCTATAGGAAACTGTGAGGCCCCTGGCAGCTGAAGCCCAAAGCATGTTCTTCCCAAGAAGACAGGTACCCGAGTAATGGAGTATGAAGTGACTTTGGAGAACAAAACAGCCTCAAACTTGCCTGGAGGCTGGGGCAGAAAATAGATTTGCCTCACTTCCCTTTGGAGGCGCAGGCAGGAATCTATAGCAACTGCAGGTGCCTGGGAGCCCTATTTAATCCCACAGGTCCCCACTCCAGCAGCTCATGTCCTGTCCTCAGCTCTCCCTCCCTTGAGGTTAGCAGCCTACTGACACCTTCCTAGCTGGTTCTCGCTCAGCATCAGATGTGAAGCTCCCGCTACATCTGTTTCCAAAGCAGGGGATAGAGAACCCAAGAAAAGCCCAGAAATCCCAACAGTTGTGCCCCAGGGGTCTTCTGAGGGCTCTCAGGTGACCCCAGGGCACTTCGGCACTCCATTTCCATAGGACAGTTATCACCTTGGCTAAAGCTTCCAGTTTCATGTAATGCAAGCCCCAATTCCTGCCTGCAGATGGGGGAGGCCTTCCTGCAGGTGGAATTGAGAAGGCCGTGCAGGGGAGCTCCTGTCGGAGCAGGGAGACAGCCCCTGCTAGGGGGTGTCTTCTCTCCCTCCGCCGACTGGCCCAGAGACCCCCAGCAGCATGGCCGAGCTCACAGAGGTGAGGGAGCCAGCCCTTCCTGCAGGTCTTGCCGGGGGCCCAGCAAGAACAGCCGTACCTGGGCCATGCTCGCAGCCTGGCAGGGGCAGCAGTCCTGGGACTGGCTGCTTGGCCTCACGAGGGCCCCCACTTGCTCTCCAGGGGAGTGGCAGGGAAGTTGAGGAAGGCCTTGGCCCCTAGTGGCGGGCCTGGCCCTCCTCATGTGCAAGCTAAGGACACCCCTGAGTGGGAGGGTCCCCACCGCATCTCCAGTCTGAAGTGTATTGGCATTACCAGCCCTTTGACGTTGGCAACACTTGGTGATAGAGACAATAACACAGCCCTACCCAACCCCGGACCATGCTTGGTGACGTGTGACAGGCAGTACAGTTGTCAGCGATAAGGGAGCGCTCAGTAAAGGTGGGTGAAGCTTGGGCTGGGGACCCGCCCTGAGCCAGGCTGTGAGGAGCAAAAAAGGCTCTGGCAGGGACCCGGCACCCAGGAGCTGGGGCAAGCGCCACATGGGAAGTAAAAACGTAACTGAATGGTTTGCTCTGTGGTTCTGTGTATGAAGACGGGATATGGTGGAACTAGTAATTCCGGAACTCGATGTCCTGTACAAAGTGTGTGGATATGGGCTTATTTAATTCTCATAAATGATCAGTAGTGTGTGCCCATTTAATTACGGTCAATTATTATCAGTAAGTGGGTACTATTATGCTCATGTAGCAGATGAGGAAATTGAAGCTTAGGTGTGGGGTGACTTGCCCAGGGTGGCGTCACCAGCAAGTTGAAGAGAAGGACTTTGAACCAGGGGCTGCTCCTCTGTCCTTTCTACTGGCTGCCTCTCCACAGGCCTGGGGGCAGTGGGAGATCCCAGAGGGTGGCGGTCAGCCCGGGTAGCAGAGGGAGGAGTGAGGTCTCCAGGACTGTCCCAGCCGTGGAGACAGGTACTGGGTAATGTAGTGTGGAAAATCAAGACTTGGCTCTGGGGAAATTTAACTAACGGATTGATTCATTGATTCATTCATCTAACAAATGGCTTTTGAGCACCAGAGCATGCCCTAGGCACTGTGGTGGCCCCAGTCTCTGTCTCTCCTCTGGTGTTTTGTCATCTAGACACATGATAAAAAATGAAACCAATGCCCAACACGTGGGTGCCATGGTGGAGGCCGCATGGAGGGGCAGTGGTAGCAGGCGCCCATGGGGCTGTCATCCCCTCTGCAGGGAGAGGGACAAAGGCTGAGCTGGTCCTGAAGGGTGACAGGTGGAGAAGGGACCACAGGGGAGGGGACAGAACCTCAGTGTGGCTGCCCTGTGGGGGCAAGGGCATCAGAGTGGGAGAGGAGGCTGGAGAGGTCAAGGGAACAGGAGGGTCCCGTGATACCTTTGAAAGATTTGAAGAAGCAGGGAGACCTGCCCATCAGCCTCTTGAGTGGAGACAGATTGAGTGAGGGGGGGAGGCAGGCAGGGAGGAGGCCCAGATGCTGGGAGCTGAGGTGCAGAGGACCCAAATGCAGGGGTGGGTGCCAGTGATGCTGTCCTCTGGGCCTGTCCTCACCCAGCCAGCAGCAGTCACATCTCTCCCACTCTCTCTCCGGCACAGAATGTCTTCCTTGGGTGTACAGCTTCCAGAACCTCCTCAGTTCCAAGATGCAATCTGATGGGAGGGGAGGAAGGTGATCAGCATCCTCTCTCTGTGTAGGGCACATGCCACCTGTCCAGAGTCATCATGTCATCAGAGGCTGCACTAGGACTGGAACCCAGAGCCCCTAGTGGCAGATCTAGGGGCTCTTCGGAATGCATCACTCTGTCCTTCCCAAAGGCCAGCCTCACCCCTGAAGGTGTGTAGTTTGGCCCACACCTTCCAAGTTTGAAAAATTAAAGGCCTGATCACAGGGGTAGAGCTTAACTCTTCCTGTGGAGTCCTCGGCAGGGCCCGAAGAGCCTCCTGCTCTATGCCTGGCTCTGGGGCTGTCGTCTCTCCCTCCCAGCAAACTCACCATTCCCCAGGGGGCACAGGAGCCCCTGGCAGGGAGGATCCCTGGAGGCCTGGCTCAGATGGACTCATCTTGCTGTCTCCTTCCTGCATGCAAGTCAGCCCAGTGACAGGAGCCATTGCACCTGCCCCCCTCCCATCCACAGTCCCAGGCCAGGGGCCTGAAAGAGAACCCAGGACCAGCCAGGCTCAGAGTCCCCGCCCTGCAGTCTCTGGGCTGCAGAGCGTGAGTGCGGCCTCGGCTCGCCAGGAGAGTCAGCTTCAGCTCCCTCCCGCTGGGCTGCAGCCTCCCCGAATAGAGACCTCTGGGAAAGAAACTCCAGCCTTCCTCTGGAAATCAATTCACAAGACCAACCTGGTTCCTAGGGGTGTTTGCGTTTCTTTCTTCACATTTCCCCGGAACCTCCAGTTGCCCTTCAGCAGCGTGTTTGAAGGGCACTCCTGCTTTCTTTCCTGCCAGCGTTAATCTGGCTCTTTCTCAGGGACCAAACCCAAGATCATGTAATACAATTTTACCCAGGCTTCTAAGTGGATTCTCCTGCACAACACTGACGAAAATAATAAGGCAGACCTGCAGGTGAAGTTAAATAAGATAAGGAAAGAGATTACACAAATTGTTTCCTGGGTTCAAGAACTGTGAGTCTCATTCCCAAATCGTCGGACAGTGGAACATGTTCTGGGCCTGCACACACAGCTGGCAAAACAGCCTGGATTTTACACGCACCCTCTTTTCAGCATGCATCAGAGACTAATTGTAGCTATTAGGCTGGGATAGGAGAGATAAGAGCCTGACTTTAAGGGACCAGACAAAATGCCCTTCACCACCTTGGCATTCTGTCTGCCTGCCCAGTTCTGAGCTGATTACCACGCTCTCCAGGACACGCACTCTTTCGCCTCTGGTTGGCCCCTGTGCACTGGGATTTCTCTCAAGCCAGCTTTAAAGATGCATCCAGAAATCTCTGCCCCAAACATGTTTTCAGATTTGCTGCCATCACAGCCCTTATTTCACCAAACTAAAAGAACAGAGGGTTTCGTAAGCCAAAGTGCACACAGCCACATTCTTCAGGAATGGAAGCATTAGACGATAGAAAAAAGACAAACTATTAATAGGGTTTCGGGTAAGACTTTTGTTGGAAAGGGGAGGATTTGTCTGGTGGTCCGTGCATTGCCTTTATTTTAGGAAGCAGAAACCATGGTAGGTTAAAGGTAACACCTTCATAGAGTTGCTCCTTGTGCTTCCAATGGTCGGACAATTACATGTTCTTTTTTATTTTTTATTTTTTTTTATCATACTTTAAGTTCTGGATTACATGTGCAGAATGTGCAGATTTGTTACATAGGTATACACATGCCATGGTGGTTTGCTGCACCCAACAACCCGTCACCTACATTAGGTATTTCTCCTAATGTTATCCCTCCCTACCCCCCAACAGGCCCGGGTATGTGATGTTCCCCTCCCTGTGTCCACGTGTTATCATTGTTCAACTCCTACTTATGAGTAAGAACATGCCGTGTTTGGTTTTCTGTTTCTGTGTTGGTTTGCTGAGAATGATGGTTTCCAGCTTCCATCCATGTCCCTGCAAAGGACATGAACTCATCCTTTTTTATGGCTGCATAGTATTCCATGGTGTATCTGTGCCACATTTTCTTAATCCAGTCTATCATTGATTGACATTTGGGTTGGTTCTAAGTCTTTGCTATTGTGAATAGTGCCACAATGAACATACGTGTGCATGTGTCTTTATCATAGAATGATTTATAATCCTTTCAGTATATGCCCAGTAATGGGATTGCTGGGTCAAATGGTATTTCCTGTTCTACATCCTTGAGGAATCGCCATACTGTCTTCCACAATGGTTGAACTAATTTTCACTCCCAACAGTGTAAAAGCATTCCTATTTCTGCACATCCTCTCCAGCATGTTATTTCCTGACTTTTTAATGATCACCATCCTAACTGGTGTGAGATGGTATCTCCTTGTGATTTTGATTTGCATTTCTCTAATGACCAGTGATGATGAGTGTTTTTTATTTGTCTGTTGGCTACATAAATGTCTTCTTTTGAGAAGTGTCTGTTCATATCCTTTGCCCATTTCTTGATGGGGTTGTTCTTTTCTTGTAAATTTGTTTAAGTTCTTTGTAGATTCTGGATATTAGCCCTTTGTCAGATGGATAGATTGCAAAAATTTTCTCCCATTCTGTAGGTTGCCTGTTCACTCTGATGATAGTACATGTCCTTTTTTAAATTTTTAATTCCTAAAATCTTTGGGCCGTTTTAGACCCATAGACATCAGTCCGTGGGATCAGAGAAAGTATTGGAGCAGATCTCATTGGCAACTAAGAGTATTTGCTTCCCTTGAATGTGAAGAAATCACTCAGTGTTTTAGACCAAGCAAGTGAACACAGATCAGCCAGGGGATGTTGAGTAAGGATGCAAATTCCACAAAAATGCTGCCTTTCCCAAATGCACATCCTATGTTAGACTAGCCTTTGCCAGGGACAGCATGAAACCCACACTGAGAGTTGAGTCACCCCGGCCAGCCTCTCGGGCCTTTGGCAAAGAACAAAATCCTTTTTTTTTTTTTTTTTTTTTTTTTTGCCAATTGGTCCAGTACCCTCCTTCTGTGGCCCCCATCTCCAGTAACCCCCCAGAGAGGCCCTTCTACCTCCCAGACTACTCTTCAGGGTCTCATCAGCTTCCAGTGTCACTCAGGCTAGAGACAACATCACTGAGACCACCCTCCAACTGTCCAGGCTGGGCCCCCATTCCCCAGCACCTGCGGCCACGCTTGCTGCAGGCAGGCTGACCGGCCATCTCTATTTGCCCAGGACTAAGGAGGTCCCCTGGATGCAGTATTCTCAGTGCTAGAACCAGGTAGGTCCTGGGCAAACTGGATTGAACTGATTGCTCTAAATTTGCAGACTCTGCTGTTGTTGTTTAAATGTCAGTAAAATATGTATAATATAAAATGTACCATTTTATATGTACAGTTCACTAAATATATTCACATTGCTGTGCAGCCGTCACCACCATCCATCTCGAGAACTTCATCCTCCCAAATGGAAACTCTGTGCTCACTAAACGCTAACTCCCCATCCCCTCTCCCCAGCCCTTGGCACCACTGTCCTGCTTTCCATCACTATGAATTGGACTACGCTAGGAACCTCTTCTAAGTGGAATCCTACGGTATTTGGCCTTTAGTGTCTGGCTAATTCACTTAGCATAATGTCCTCAAGATTCATCCATGTTATGGCATGTGCCAGGATTGTCTTCCTTTTCAAGGCTGAATAATATTCCACTTTATGGATAGGCCACATTGTGTGGATCCATTCATCTGTGGAGGGCACTGGGTTGGTTCCGCCTATTGGTGATTGTGAACGTGGATGTACAAATCCAGGTTCTAGCTTTTGCCTTCATTTGTTTGGGGTGTGTACCTGGAGTGGCATTGCCATGTCATATGGTAATTCTGTTTAACTTTCCGGGACCCGCCATGCTGTTTCCCACACCTTTCTTAAGGCTTTTGTTTTATTCCACCCAGCTCCGAGGGTAGGAGTCAGCTCTTCTGACTCCCCAGGAAAATCCCCAGGTCCAGAGAGACCCCCCAGCAAACCACTGGCTTGATGCATTAGACTTTTCTATGATCTGAATGTCCTCGGCTGACCTTCCCCTTGCGTTTTTCCTCTCTGGGTCCTTCTTCCAGGGCCGCCTTGGCCGTCTCCTCCAGCCCCCTTGCCACACCCTCCCCTCACCACGTAAAGCTTGGAAGTAAGGAAATCTCTGTCCTCTTCCAGACCCATTTAATTACCATCTTTAGTGACTTAATCCTGCTCTTGGGGGTTTGCCTTCTACCTTGAGAAACAACCTGGCTCTCTCTCTTGCTCTCTTTCTTTAATTGGTGTTTAAAATTTTTCAAAATGACTTCATTGAGATAAACTTTACATACCATACAGTTCACCTATTTGAAATAGCAATTCAGTGGTTTTTAGTGTTTTCAGAGTTGTGCAACCATCATCACGTATAATTTTAGAACATTTCAACACTTCACCCAGGTGCAGTGGCTCACATCTTAACGAGCATTCTTGTCTGCCCCCAAAAAAACAAACATCTGTAGTACAGATCACAAGCACAGCTGTTTCAAAGGGGCCACGTGTGGCTGCCGCCCTTCCCTTCTTCCAAGCCTGGTGGGGACACCCTGTCACCACAGTGCTTGGACAGCCCCCGACCAATGACATCTCTTCCCTTTCAACAAGTTCTGTGCCCTAATTATGGGGTTGCTGGGATTACAGGCTGCACCTCTGAGAATTCAGCAAGTGCTTTTGTTCTCAGAGAGACACCAGGCCACGCTGGGAGCGGGGACTGGAAATTGGCACATCCTATGGTAGAGCCTTTGCCAGAGACAGCATGAAACCCACACTGAGAGTTGAGTCACCCTGGCCAGCTTTTCAGGCTTTTAATGAGGGCTTAAAACTGGGAGGTCCTTGCTGGGTTCCATGTTCTGTGCCTTGGCCTGGAGAGAAAGGACTTAAGTGATGGTGCACCTCTTACTTTGATTTGGCCAGCGTAGTTCATATTTTCTGCCATGCTATTTGTTGTCGAATTTCATTCTCACTGTCCTTAGAAGAGATGAGAAGAGGCCTTATCTCTTTTCTGTAGATGAGGACACAGAAGTTCCAGGTGGCAGTGACTTGCCACCCAACGAGTGAGGAGTGGAGCTCAGCTTGAACCTGGGTTCTAACCCAGGGCTGTGGATTTTCCCTTTCTGCCACCCCTGGGCCCAGCTCGCCTCTGAGCAGACAGGAGCCTGGGAGAGTCTTCCAGCTCTGGGTGCTGACAGGCCCGAGTGTGGTCCAGATGCCATAGGCTGGCTGGCCATGAGCCGTTCCTTTACTTCTCTGAGACAGTTTCCTTGTAAGACAGACTAAAATCACACCTGCCATCTAGAGTTGTGGGAAAACATGATGAAACAATCTATGTCAAACGTGTGCGGCTGCAGCCGGGGCTGTGTTGTCATCCCCGCCTCCAGGGGGCCCCTTGGCAGAGCTTGAAGGGAAAACAGGAGGAGGCACTCCAGTCCCAGCTCAGACCTGCTCTCCTGAACTGGCGCAGCCCTCTGTGCCTTCCCGGGCAACCGCCGTCCTCCCGACTAACTCCACACAGGACCAGCAAAGACATATCTTCATTGCAAATCTCTAAAAAGATTAATTTATAAAAAGCTTCTTAGCCATCAGAAACCAGAGGACATTATGCTAAGTGAAATTAGCCACTCACAAAGGACAAATACTGTGTGATTCTACTTCTGTGAGGTTCTTAGAGTAGTCATACAGACAGAAAGTAGAAGGGTGGGTGCCAGGGGCTGGAGGAGGGGGATGGGGAGTTAGTGTTTGATGGATGCAGTTTCTGTTTAGAACGATAAAAAGAGCTCTGGAGATGGATGGTGGTTGCGCGACAACGTGAATGTACTTAATTGCCACCGAGCTGTACACTTAAAAATGGTTAAGATGATAACTTCTATGTTGTATGGATTTTATCACAACTAGAAAAAAATTCTAGAAACAAATTAAGCCTCTTATTCTTGCACATTTTGCTCAGATTTCTTCAGAGTCTGTGGGAACTCGTGTGGATTTGGTTCAATTACAGCAGAGTGACCTCCTAATCGGGGCTCAAGTTAGTGTTTAAGGTGCAAAGTCACCTTTGCAAAATGTCTGTGTGGCCCAGGGAGCAGCCGAGCATGGGCCCAGCACAGCCAGGGCTCCCGCATCACGGGGACAAACCCTGTTCTTTGGGGCAGGAGATGAATTTGTTGATTTGTGTGCAGGGATCCCAACACACTATGTATTGTGAGCATCTAAATGTGAGAACCCATAGTGCATCCTAGCGAGATGCTCACGCTGTGAGATGCCCTCAGAACCAAAGCCCACTGAGGAAGTTGCAATTCCCAGCCCCCTCCTCATGTTCTCTCAGAGCGCAAGCAGGGAGACCGGCCGGAATCACCATCCCTGTTGAAGCTGCAGCTTTCTTTCTCTTTTCACCCTTACGCAGAATTGAATGCATGTGCACAGCATGGGCGTGCGAGGCAACGCCATCCAGGCGGCCTTTGTCCAGTCCATGGAAACTGACACAGGCCTTACTGTCAGCCCTCTTTCTAGCTGCCTCTGATGGGTCTTAAAGAGTAAATTGTTCTCTGACCTTTGACCAGATCTGTCAGCCACAGAAAAACAGCCCCTTCCTTCCTGCTACCCCACAGAGATGTGTCCGCCACAGCCTGCGTCTCACAGATAGTCTTAGACACCTGGCCACACCCCAAATTCCCCGACTTCAAAGGATCTTTTCACACCAAAGATGCAATTCCTGGGGCCAAAGCTCAAATCTTAAACCATAGGGTTCCTAGTTTTTCAAAAAGATCTATTGTCAAATTACAGAACACTCCAAAGAGAAGTGACAGATGACTGTACTAAGGCAATGGGTGTTCGCAGACAATATCTTTCAGGCAGGTTTGACCCCCATCTCCTCAGAAGGGTTTAGGTAGCACCTAGCTCCGTTCCAGGCTCAGTGAGGGACACCATTACAAAACAAATGACCAGCCACCCTATCATCATTAATTTGGTGCTATTCTAGGTCAATAGAATTTAATTAGCAATAAATTTGAGTTTCTTCAATGCTTGAGGCCCAAGGATTGAAAAGTAAACTAATGAATGTGGCTATGAACTTTAATCCCAATTTTGCCATTAGATACCTTGCTGACTCCCAAGCAAGACTTTCTATCTTGATTTTTCTTATATATGAAATCAGGAGAAAAGAGATCTGTACAAGTGCATAAAAAACGAGAGAGGAAAAAAAGAACATTGAGATGCTCGCTGGCAAGGTCACTTAATTTTTCTACCCTGCAATGTGCTCTATTATAAACCTAACAGGGAGAAAGTGAGAACACTGCCTTCATTTGCATAACTACAGGGCATCTCAGGGCTCATTTTTCTAATCAGTTTGGCTCCAGGCACCAGGTAAATGGCACAGCCGAGCATGTCGCAGAAATACTAAATAACCACTTACAAGTGGAGACAGAGGAAATAGTGAGAAGGATTCAGATCTCGAGTCAAGTAGGAGCAGCTGGCAACCTGTCCCAGTGACAAAGTGCTGCTTACAGAAGGCGCTCTGCACTAAGCCAGTCCCTATGTACCATGTCACAACTGAGAAACCAGCCCTCTGAGCTCCAGCTAGCATGCTGGCTGGTAAAATATGGAGCCAGACTGTCCTGCTGGTACCTCAGGAGTGGCTGTGAGGCCCATCAAGGTTAAACATGAGCAGAAAATACATCTCAGGACTCCACAATCACTAAGCCAAAGGGAAAAGTCAAGCTGGGAACTGCATCAGGCAAAGCTGCCTCCCATTTTATTTCTAGATAAGATAGCTGCAAAGACAAAACCTACATACCTCCCTCACAATTGGCCCACAAAGAACTTCCGTGTTGGGCCCCCAGACCTGTACCCTAAAACAGTTCTGTTGAATTTCACCCTGGCAATGTAAATTGACATCTGATCTTCTCAGGTGCGGGACAAAGGACAAAACTCAAAGTCATCCCTCTGCTCGCCTGAGACGAATGCATACCTGATTGCTTCACGTGCCTTGTGTTTATGTTATCTTCTATAAAAATGCAGATTCAGTGAGCCAGACTAAGACACAAGTGACTTTTCCTCTACCCTAAACAAACATGTAAATTGTGTATTCGGTTGATCAAAGACTGATCAACCAAAGGCTGATCAAAGACCCAAAAGAATGCAATCGTTTGTCTCTTATCTACCTACACCTTTAAAAAATTTCTTCCTCTTCCCCCAGTATCCACTCCTTCCCCTTTAAATATTAAGGCCCTCAAAATCATCTTTGAGGAAAGGCATAGACCTGCCTCCCAGGTGTGCATCCTTAACGTCGGCAAAATAAACTTTCTAAATTGTTGACACCTGTCTCAGACACTTTTGGTTTACAGTGGGTTTGGGAAACTGGGAGTGTGAAGCCAGGTGAGAAATAATTATCACATCTCTTTGTTAACAGAAGAAAACAAACTCTGTAAAATACTTAAAGAGGTTTATTCTGAGCCAGTGTAAGTGACCATGGGCCAGGGAACAGTCTCATGAGGTCCTGAGAAAGCTCGCCCTAGGTGGTCCAGTTACTGTTTGGTTTTACACATTTCAGAGAGACAGGAGTTACAAGCAAAGACATAACTCAATACACAGAAGGTATACCTTGGTTCAGCCTAAACAGGTGGGATATCTTGAAGGGGCTTGGAGGGTGGGGGTGCTTACAGGTCTTAGGTAGATTCAAAGATATTTTTATTGCCAGTTGATTGAAAGAGTTAAGTTTTGCCTAAAGACTTGAAGTCAGTAGAAAGAAATGCTTAAGACAAAGGACAGTTGTGGAGGCCAAGGTTCTTGTTATGTAGATGAAGCCTCCAGGTAGAAGCCTTTAGAGAAAATAGATGGTAAATATCTCTTTTCAGACCTTAAATTTGCCAGACTCTCATTTAATCTCTCCTAGATCTTGGAAAGGCCTAGAAAGGGAAGGCTTGATTGCATTAATGGAAATGCTCTACAGATGTAAGTATCTCCCACAAGAGATGGTTTTGCAGGGCCATTTCAAAATATGTCAAAGAAATATACTTCAGGGTAAAATATTTTTATTTTCTTCAGGGTTTGCTACCTGTTATGTGACGCTATACCAGAGGCAGGAATTTGCTACCTTACTGCCACAAAGAGTCTGTTTTGTCAGTCTTATATCTCTATTTCAATGTTAATGCCGATCTGCTGTGCCTAAACTCCAACAGCAAGGGGGGGTATAACAAAGCATGTCTGAACTCCATTCCCATCACGGCTGGGAATTCAGTTTTCAGGCTTCTCTGGGGTCCTCTTGATGAAGAGCGGGCTTGTTCAGTCAGTTGGGGGGCTTAGGATTTTACCTTGTGTTTACACATCAATAGGAAACATCAAGCCACTAAAAATATTAGGAACCTTCTACAAGGTCACTAAGCACTCTGCTAGCTCCATACACCACACTGCAGCTCGTCCTTGAGCAGCAGAACTTCATTGTCAGTCATTTTGGTTCTGGAGTCCAGCTGTCCGGCTTCCTCATCCCAGCTCGGCTGTGGATGAGCTTTGTGAGCCGACACAGCTAATTCCCTGGCTGTGCCTCTGTGTCCTCCTCTATAAGCTGTGGGTGATGATGGTGACATCACTTCACAGGTTGTAGTGACGGTTAACTGTTGCATGTTAATAGACCCAAAGGCCTTAGAACTGTTTCATAATAAAACACCCAGTACCTAGGAACCAATTTTTGTTTGGCTGTTTTGAAACTTTACTAAGAAATATTTCAGGCATTCTAAAACGTTTAAAGAGTAATGTAACAACATGACACTCCCCAGCGTAAGAAAGAAAACATGGCCATCACAGTCAAAGCCCCCATATACCTTTCCCAATCACAGTCCCTCCTTCTCACCTAGAGGCAACCATCCTCCTGAATTTGATAGCTGTTACCCTATGTTTTCCTTTATACTCTTACTCCATCTAAATGAAACTCTAAACAATGAGAAAGCACTGGAAGTATCTTCTAGCCAGGACCAATATGCATGTCTTTCAGAAGGACTTAGATACAGCAACTAGCCTAGCACAAAGTATTGTTTTGCGACCGCACCCTCATTTGTCACCTTGCTTTCTGTGTCTTTTCACCTCCCTGAGCAGGGAAAGTGCTAATATTTCTAGATGGACCACTTAATGAACTAAGACATTAGTCAGGGCCCTGCTAACCAGTCTGTGCCTGTCAGGGACTCGAGCCACTCTCTGCTGACCCTGCCTGCTCCCCCTCCCTTCCAGACGGAGATGCGGCTGCAGGACCAGCAACTGGCCAGACAGCTCATGCGCCTGCGTGGCGACATCAACAAGCTGAAAATCGAACACACCTGCCGCCTCCACAGGAGGATGCTCAACGATGCCACCTACGAGCTGGAGGAGCGGGATGAGCTGGCCGACCTCTTCTGTGACTCCCCTCTTGCCTCCTCCTTCAGCCTCTCCACACCACTCAAGCTTATTGGCGTGACCAAGATGAACATCAACTCTCGGAGGTTCTCTCTCTGCTGAGGAGCCCTCAGACTGGGCGGAGGGGCTGGAGCGGAGGGCTTGGGCTGGAGGGGTGTCAGAGGAAGCTGAGGCCAAGTTACTCCAGTGGGTCTCCCGGAGGCAGGGGTCCCTGGGACTGGCGACTCAAGGGCCCCAGGACCTATTCAGTGGTGCTCTCCCACCCAGGGGCCCTGGGTGTGGATGCCAGTGTCTCTGTGACTGGCTCTTGCTTACTACCCAAAGAGCTCTGCAGAAGGGCCGCTCCAACCAAGATGTTAAAGGAGACCTGGGTTCCCACCATAATCCATCCCTCCACGGTCACGTTCCTGTTTCCTGGAATCACTGGTGCTATGAACTGGGATTCCCAAAGGGAGGCCCCCCAACAAAGCTGTCATTTTTGCAGAAGGCTGTCCCGCAAGGGCCTTGGGGGAAATTAGGCATGTCAGATGTGCCTGTCTCACGTGCTGTTGCTGTCCTCTAAGTATTGTCTCAAATTCACCCTAAGTACATGACTCAGCAACATTGACAGGGAGCTACTAGGAAGGGAAAATCGAAAGGCATGACAAATGGGCACTTGGGGACGCAGCCCCAGTGGCTGGCAGCCAGTGTCTCTGGTGAGCCTGACACTATAAGGCTGTGTAAATTGTAAATTCTGGCGTGTGCTGGGACATGTGATGGGGGCACTAGCGTAGCTTGGGTGCAACAAGCACAGATGTCCCCATTGTCTCCCCTGGCCACATGCATCTCCAAAGAGCCTCTTCACTGCCACCCACACCCCAGGGTGACAGCCTGGGAGACCACTGGTGACTGAACCAGGCAGGTCCTGAAAGCATTTTCCATAACTGAATTCTCCTGCAGGGGCGTGACCGGGGCCTCCTGGTGGATTCTGGTGGTGTCACCTTACTGCCCTCTCTGGAAAGACAATCTAGGGAGCCCAGAGGCCCATCCTGAGCCTCCTCTGAGATTTTGTGCCTGACCTAAACAACTAGTTTTAATAAGACTGTTACTGATGTGTTGTTCACTTGTTAGTAACTGATTTTTGTCCAAATGCGGAAGCCACTTGTGTAGGTCAACTACAGTGCGTAGGATTTGATTTTAAGAGTTTCTCCCTCCCAACAGGCTTGAGGATCAGCAAGTTAAGACCCCAGCAGGTTAGGGAGGTCAGTCTGGGGTCATACGGCATGGCAGGGGTCCCTCGGCCAGACCCGTAGAATCCTGAGATAAGGAGTGTTTCTGACCTTTGGTGTCATCTAGTCGAGTCCTCTCATTAGTAAAGGAGCAAAGTGAAACCTGGGGGAGGAGAAGGACTTCCCTCAGGTTGCACAGCTGTTTAGGCTATAGAATATTGATGTGTGAAACCATTATTGATAATGCCTAGTAGATCACATGTCAATGAACTTGAACCCCAAAGATGGTCGTGATGCTTTGCCAAACCCGCACACTGCCAACCCCTCTACTCTCCACCTCAGCCCCCACCCACATCTCCCAGAGTATTGCAATTCAGAACATTTGGGTCAAGGTGGAGCAAGGCACTGACAGTGGCCCCACAGGGCATGTGTCACTAATCACTGTCCCATGGTCTACGCACGGCATCTGGCTGCTCTGTCTACTGTGACTTCTTCCTGTGTAATCTCAGTGGGGCCCGTGTCCACCCACACATCGTGACCCACATAGGGGAGAGGTTGCTTTTCTTTTGTGGGCTGAGAGTAGGACAATGCAAATGAATGATCTCTAGTAGACAGAAAAGAACTTGGTCTCTTTTTTAAAATTTCAAAGAGCCAGAAGTTCTATGCCTCCTTCAAAGTAGGCAGAACAACGCAGCCAAGATCTACTGTCTGCCATGCTCTGTGCAATGAAGTCTGCAGGCCTGAGGACCATGTACTGCTGTCCTTCCTCAGAGCTCTGCACAAACACTGCCAAGTCCTGAAGACGCATTCCTTTCCTGCCAACCTCTTTCCAGATAAGCCCTTGAGGTCTCGGGCTGACCTACACACACACACACACACACACACACACACACCCCCACACACACACACACGACAGAGAACATGCCATAAACATCCTTGAACCCATGCAGGAAAGCCCATCCCATATTCTGAAAAAATGCCAAATTAGGTTTTTCTTTCTTTTTGGAAATCAGTCATTACAGTAACCGAAACCATTGGGTTCAGCGAAAATGGAAAGATTTAGCTGAATGTAGTCAGTCCAATTAAGTTGGATGCAACTGAGTGATTTAGTTGCTTGGGTAACCCAGTGCTTGCTTGCTTTCTTCATTCTCTGGGTGGAAACTAAGATCAAGACACATGTTTGGGGATAAGTTAAATGTCTGAGCTATTTTGCTCGGTTTATCCTAAGAGAACTTTATTATGGGATGAGGAGGTGACCCAAGATGAGAAGTGGAGGGGGACAGCGATGTTTTCTAAACATCGTCCAGTGTTGACTGGCTTCCTTACTTTGCACAGTGAACACAACTAACCACATTAATTCAGCTTTGTGAAGTCCCTGCTCTCTGTGGGTCTATGAGTCAGCAGCAACATTGGCCTAACCTCCGTCCCAGCCTCCTGGCTCACCACATGTGTACAGTGCTGTTTGCAGTTGTACTCATTATCCATCCATCTCTCTGCCATCCCCAAGCATCGCTGGGTGTAAAACGCAAACTCTCCACCGACACTGCCATGCGTGGTCATGTCTTGATGCCTTCAGGGGCTCAGTAGCTATCAAAGAGGCCTGGAGGGCCTGGGCAGGCTTGACGATGCCTGACCGAGTTCAAGACCCACACCCTGTAGCAATACCAAGTGCTATTACATAATCAATGGACGATTTATACTTTTATTTTTTATGATTATTTGTTTCTATATTGCTGTTAGAAAAAGTGAAATAAAAATACTTCAAAAGAAGATATCCATATAAAAATAAAAGGAGAGAAAAATGCTTGTCCTTTTAGCTTGTCCCTGTTATAGCACACACAGGATGGATGGATGGATGGATGGATGGATGGATGGATGGACGGATGGACAGATGGATGGATGAACAACAGATGGAAGGAAGGAGGGAAGGAAGATTTTTGCAACCAGATGGAGGCAGGGGAGGGAGAAAAAGATTCACCCAAATCACTGTTCTTCCTTGTATCTTCCCCTTGAGGAAGCTGCTTGGTGGTTGTTACTATCCGGAGTTCCACAGGTAAGCTGAGGTAGAATTAAAAAATGCAGGCTTGATTCCTGAGTTTGACAGAAGCCAGAGCCAAAGTAAACCCACTCTCCTCCAGTGGCCTTTTCCAAAGGTGATCATATTATGCTCTGAGATCTTATGCCTGAAATTTTTTCAGCCACTTAAAGCACCTCTTAAACCTCAAAATCGAGCATGCATGAAAGTCACCTGGGCTGCTGTTACAAATGCATATTCCCAGGAGAAGTACTGGGTTCCAGCCCCAGGGATTCTGGCTGTGTCGCTCCGGGCTTCACAGACGCCCCAGGTGATGGACACAGGTGGTCTAAAGACACTTTGAGAAACCTTTGGAAGACAAAGCAGGTGAGGGAAGGCCCTGTTTTTCACTGATCCCATCTCTGTGTTCTCAGCAAAGACCTAAGTCAGAGGGTCAAAGTGGGTGTCACTAATCCCATTTTGTGGAAGGAACCGCTGAACAACAATTGCAGATCTCTGTCCATCCCTTGAGATGATATCCCCTGTCTACACCAAGAGGAGTGCCTGTGATGTCTCTTTCCACAAAGAGCACACAGTATAAGCTGCTTGGGGGAGAGTGGGCGTGAGGTGGGTAGGGAGCAGGTTACTGGGGAATCTGCCATTGCCCTGACCATGTGGTTCAAAGGGCATTCAAGAAGCCAGGGCCTTTCCACCCTGCCGGTGGGACCACACATGCACTTTTGCAGCCCACAGGGAAATGAATGTGACCTCCAAACAAATCCAACCATTCTAAGTGCCACAGAGAAGATAAAATGTGAGACGGCGCCAGGTGTGGAGGGGGCTGCTTTTCCCAAGTGGTCAAAGCTTCCTGGAGAAGAGCTCTTCCAGTGGCAGTGGCAATTGTGCAGAGGTCAGGGAAAAGAGTGCTCTAGGAAGGAAAAGATAATCCCAGACCCCGAGGTCTGCAGAGGGAGGCCAGCGCAGCAGGCAGCTGCAGAGGCTGGCGGGGGCTCTCCAGCCTGGTAGGGCAGAGTCAGGAGCTGGGATTGTATTCGAGTGGCGCAGGAGGTTTTATAGGGTTTTTGAATGATACGTGATCTGATTTAAACTTTCATAAGATCGAAGTAGAAAGTACTGTGTAGAGAGTAAGTGGGGAGGAGGGGCAAAGGGGAGCCCAGAGGGCAATTAGGGGCAGGGACAGAGGACGTGAGTGTGATCTAGATGGGGCAGCAGCTGCGGAGGGGATGAGGAGTGATCTGATGGGTATTTGCTTAGGGACATCTTTGGGGACATACTTTGGGGACAATTTGGATGTGGAGTGTGAAGGAAATGGAGGACCTAGAGATGGCCCTCCTGCTGGCAGTTGGATGAAGAGGCAGAGGGGTGGCAGCAGTGGTGCTGGTTCACGGTATATTTAAATGTCAATTTAATACAAGTGGGGAGTGCGTTGGACACAGGGCCTGGAATTCAGGGAAAAGGCCCATGTTGGAGACACAAATTTGGGAGTCTGGATTCAGATGTTTAGATAATATTAAAAGTATCATACCGGCCGGGCACAGTGGCTCACGCCTGTAATCCCAGCACTTTGGGAGGCCTAGGTGGGTGGATCATGAGGTCAGGAAATCAAGACCATCCTGGCTAACGTGGTGAAACCCATCTCTACTAAAAATACAAAAATTAGCCAGGCGTGGTGGCAGGTGCTTAGTAGTCCCAGCTACTTGGGTGGCTGAGGCAAGAAAATCACTTGAACCTGGGAGGCGGAGGTTGCAGTGAGCTGAGATCGCACCACTGCACTCCAGCCTGGGCAACAGAGCGAGACAGTCAAAAAAAAAAAAAAAAAGAAAAAGAAAAAAAAAAACCTCTACCTGGGTAAACTCAGGAAAGGAGTGTAGGAGAGAAGAGGGCTGCGCACGGCAGCCTCGGGACTCCAGTGTATGTTTATTCATTTATTTACTTTCACTGGATATTGACAAATTCTAATTGTATATATTTATGATGTACAAAATGTTGCTATATGTACAATGTGGAATGATTGAAACAAGCTAACTAACATATCCATCACCTCAAATGCTCATTATTTATTCCTCCTGCCTAACTGAAACCCTGAACCCTTGGACCAGCACATCCCCACGCCCTGCTCCCAGCCTCAAGTCCCCTATTCTGCTCTCTGCCTCTGTGAGTTAGCTTGCTTTCGAGTCTATGTGGAAGAGTGAACATGCAGTCTGGGTACCCTGACATTTAAATATCTGACAGAGAAAGAGGCATGGTCAAAGGGTACTTAGGAAAAAAAGGTAGCTGTAGACCAAGCTACTCGGGAGGCTAAGGTGGCAGGATCACCTGAGCCCAGGAGGTTAAGGCTGCAGTGAGCTGAGATTGCTCCACCGCACTTCCAGCCTGGACAACAGAAGGAGACCTTGTCTCAAAAAACAAACAAAAAGAAAACTAAAAACAAAGCAAAACAAAAAATCCAGCTAGTAAGGTAGAAGGAAAAGCAGCTGGACAGGGCATCCGGCAGCCTTCAGGAAGAAACTGTTTGAAGGAGAGAGTCGTCTACACCAGCGCTGCTAAGACATCAAGGAAGAAGAGGACAGAGAGGTGGATGCTGGCTTCAGCAAGAGGGAGCCCCTCCTCCACCGTGATGGCAGTGATGGGGGAGATGGCCATCTCAGCTCAGTGGTAAGGCCAGGGTTGAGGAGGAGGCAGGAGATAAAGGCCACCTTGCTGCATCCATGTGCCATAAAGGGAGCAGAGACAAGGAGCTGGACAAGGACATAGATAAGGTCCAGAAAGTGGCTTGTGGTTTTCTCATAACGTCGTATAATATAATGAAGGTGTTGTCATGTGAGATAGGTCAGTGCCTGCTGAAAGAGAGACGATGTGCACAGGAAAGAGGGCAGCCACAGCACTTGCAGCTCTGGAGGAGGGGAGAGAACCCCCGGCAGAGTGCGAGTGGAGACCCGGCTCAGAGAACAGGACCAGGCACTTCCTCCTTGAGGCAAGAAGGCAGGGTGCAGCTAAAGGGGTGCCCGTTACTGTCAGGGACATTGGAACCAGGGCGACTGCGGCTCAAACAGGCTGGGGGAAATGAGGCTGAGACCTGCTGGGCTGCATCCCCAGGAAGTTAGGCATTCTTAGCCACAGGATGAGATCGGAGGTCGGCACAAGACACAGGTCACAAAGCCCCCGTAGATAAAACAGGATGTGGTGAAGAAGCCAGCCAAGACCCACCAAAACCAAGAAGGCAATGAAAGTGACCTCTGGTCGACCTCACTGCTTATTATTTGCTAATTATAATGCATTAGCTGCTAAAAGACACGCCTACCAGCCCCGTGACAGTTTACAAATGCCACAGGCAAAGGCCAGAAGTTACCCTACATGGTCTAAAAAGGGCAGGAACCCTCTGTTCCATTCCAGGATTTCCCCACCCCTTTCCCAGAAAATCCATGAATAATCTATCCCTTGTTTAGCATATGATCAAGAAATAACTAGAAATATGCCCATTCAAGCAGCCCCCGCCTGTGGAGCAGCCATTCTTTTCTTTCTTTCTTCATAAATGTGCTTTCACTTTACTCTGTGGATTCACCCCAAATTCTCTCTTGTGCGAGATCCAAGAACCCTCCCTTGGGGTCTGGATCAGGACCCCTTTTCAATAACAAATCAGTGGCACAGAGGAAGGGAGCCCGTGAGGTCGCTCCTATTTGTCTGTGAAATAGGGAAGTGAGTCGGAGGAGGTGGGATATTGGAGGTTTGCAAAGACATTTTTCAAATAATTACCTGAGAACGGGTGAGTTAATTAGGAAAGCGAAGATGGACCGTCTGGTCTGGTGGCGGGATTGCCCATTTGAGGCTGTGGTCATAAATGTGGGGTGTGTCCAGCAAGCCTGGTGGAGTGATTGATTTTTTCAGCAATATTTAGAAGTTCCAATACAGACAAAGACCAGGCAGACAGTGGGAGATAGGATTTGCCAAGCAGGTGACAGAGAACGGAAACAGCAAAAGTGAATGTTTTTTGCAAAGGAGCAATGTTAGTGTTAGACTGAGTCAGGAGGGAAGGACGACGAGAGGAAACGGGCCGGGAGAGCCAACGGAGCTGGAGGTAGGTGCATGGCCAGTGGTCTCCACGTGACCTGGGGGTTGCTAGGGTGAGTCCAGGAGAGATCAAGACTGAACAGGTGGAGACCAGAGTATGGGGAGAGGGGGAGCGACAGTTCAGATGTGGTGTGGCTTCTTCATTCAGAGACTCGGCCTGCTGCCACATTAGCTGCTGGTGCCCTGCTGAGCGTGGCCAGGTGCCCTGACCCATGGCTGGTGACGTCAAACTGTGGCTTCCTTGGCCTCCCAGAGATCTCGTCTCTCTTATGTTTGGAAAGGGTGTAAACTCCGTTTACACACACCCTTTTGACTTCTCAACAAGACCAGAAGCACTTCCCACTGGCTCCTTCTCCATGTCTAAGCCTGAAGTCTGTGGCCTAGACGACTTGGGGAAGGAGGCAGGCAGAAGAGGAGGAAGTTGGCAGTGACCAGAGCAGACAGGCCTGTGGTAACCAGACCCTATCTGATGGGAGCTGCTCAGCAGATTGAAGGTTTCAGACAGGGCTGTTTTTAAGTACCCCGTTCACAGGCTCAAAGCAAACAGCAAGGGAGACAGCTAGGCGGTCTCCAAAGGAAATTGATTAAGGAAGAGAAACCTCAGATGCGTTGGAACATTTATCATTTCTTTGAGGATACATGCTTGACGTGATGGATATTAATTACCCTGATTTGATCACTAGACACGGAATGCACAGAAACATCACTATATACCCCATAAATATGTACAATTATTATACATCAATTTTTTAAAAATTAAAAGGGAAAAAAGGTGTTTTAGCTAGGCATGGTGGCTCATGCCTGTAATCCCAGAACTTTGGGAGGCTGACATGGAAGGATTGCTTGAGCCCAGCAGTTCAAGACCAGCCTGGGTAACACAGAGAGACCTCATCTCTTTTTGTTTGTTTTTTTGAGACAGAGTCTGGCTCTGTTGCCCAGGCTGGAGTGCAGTGGTAGGATCTCAGCTCACTGCAACCTCTGCCTCATGGGTTCAAGCAATCCTCCTGCGTCAGCCTCCTGAGTAGCTGGGACTACAGGTGTGCACTGCCACAGCTGGCTAATTTTTGTATTTTTGTAGGGATGGAGTTTCACCATGTTGGCCAGCTTGGTCTGAAACTCTTGACCTCAAGTGATCTGCCTGCCTCGGCCTCCCAAAGTGCTGGGATTACAGGAATGAGCCACCATGCCCCACCCTTGTCTATTTTTTATTTTTTAATCATAAAAAAATGAAGGTGTTTGCAGGCTGTAAGAATCCGTCATCCACCACTCGCTGCCAGGAACATTCCCGCCTGCAAGATGGTTACGAGGAAAGTGAGGCTTGGTGCAGCTTTGCAGGACAGTAGGGTATTTCCTGAGCCATTTGTTAAACAGAAAGCCCTGCACTGCTCATTCTCTTACTCCCTTCTCCATGCAAAGACTACTGAAGCTAAGGGGCATTTGCTAAAGAACAGCCAGAGTCCCAAGGGAAACCTGAGTTAGAGATGACAAGCCACACTCCTTGGCTCGCTCCCGGAGACTCACCCACCCAGGTGGTCCTGGCCTAGGCCTGGAGGGAGGGCTTTCAGGGAGCTCACCTCTGCTCCCCCACCCACTGCACTCTCGGCCTCATCTGGGAGGGGTACCTGGGCCTGGAGCAGGACAAATGCGTCTCCAACCTGTCGCCTCTGCACCAGTCTGGGTTTGGTCAATAAAGTGGAAGCCCCCTCAGTCTTCCATGAAGGAAAGGACCTGATTCAGGAACTAAGGGTTCACAGAACCCTTAGAAGGGCGGGGACAGGCAGTGTCCGGGAAGAGGCTGTGAGAAGAGGTGACTCACAGAGCTCATCCCCAAAGTCGCCCGGATTTCACCCAGCTCAGCAGGGGGCCTTTTTTGCACCGCTGTAGCTGGAACGGCTATGGAAAGCTGGTGATTCTCAAGAGGTCTGTCCACACCTCTGCCTGCTGCCACCACCGGGAATAAAGCTTCACTTGCTATTGTGCACTGAATTATGACCCCCAAAAATTCACATGTTGAAATCCTGATCTCCAGCATCTAAGAATGGGACTATGTAAGAGGTAACTAGAGTAAAATGAGGTCATATGGGTGGGTCATAATCCAATCTGACTGACGTCTGCATAAGAAGAGGAGATTAAGACACAGACACTCACAGAGGGACGGCCACATGGAGACACAGGGAGAAGACACCACCTACAAGCTGAGGAGAGAGGCCTGAGAAGGAACCAACCCTGCCAGTACTTTGATCTTGGACCTCCAGCCTCTAGGACTGTGAGAAAACAAATGTCTGTTATTTAAGCCACGCAGTCTATGGTATCTTGTTATGGCAGTCACACCCAACGGGGATATTTGTTTTTCCTCTTTGACCCCTCTTCCTCTCCTCTCTACCCCACCCCCAGCTTTTAAAGCCCCCACCTGGAAGTGACTCATATCATTTCTGCTCACATTTCCTTGGTCTAAACAAGTCAGATGGCCAAACCTGACATCCAAAGTGTGGAGAAGTACCAGCTTAGCCTGGGCCCCCAAGTAGAGGAGAACTGCACTATTTGCAGATGGGATCTTAGTGATTACCTCTCATTCTTCCTCACCCCATCCAGAGTGGACCTGCAAAACCCCATCAGCCTGCAGCCCTAAGGACACCCTGACCAGCAGACTCTGACTTGCAGTGTAGACACGGGGCAGTACCAAGATGATGCAGCATGGAGTGAAAGGAAGAGAAGAGGCCAGGTGCAGTGGCTCCCGCCTGTAATCCCAGCAATTTGGGAGGCCGAGGTGGGAGGATCACTTGAGCCCAGGAGTTCTAGACCAGCCTGGGCAACATGGTGAGACCCTATCTCTACAAAAAGTAGAAAAAATAGCTACCCACATGCCCAGCTACTCAGGAGGCTGAGATGAGAGGATCACCTGAACCTGGGGAGGTCGAGGCTGCAGTGAGCCACGATCACGCCACTGCACTTCAGCCTGGGCCACAGAATGAAACCTTGTCACATGCACGCAAAAAGACGAGAACTTCTATTAATGTTTTAAACCTCTTCTTTTCTGCTTTCAATGTGCTCTAAATATGTATAATATATGGGTACAGACATGTATATTATATAAATCTGTTGGGGAATGCACAAACATTTTCACAGATGGAGGGCAAGTCAGACAAGAGTGAGGCCCGGCCTTTGCCTGCGCCACATTGGATTCACCCCATATCCAAGCCTCAGGCTGTGCCAAACTGGATGAGGGACGATGCTTCCTCATGCGAGGTGGCACGGGCACAGCCTCTGCCCAGTGTCCTACTGCCCCTGTGTGGCCACATATGGCGTCTGCACACACCTGAGTCGCTGGGTAAAAGGCACCATATTTCTGCCAATCTGCTCTGGGCTCTGTTCCCCTTGACAGACCTGTCACAGGACAAACCCCTAAACCGGGTTCAGCCTGGGAGGCCACATGGGTTCTTGGCTTTGCACAGGAAGAAATTCAAGAGTGAGCCGACAGAGTCAAGTGAAAGCAAATGTATTAGGAAAGGAAAGGAATAAAAGAGTGGCTACTCCATAGGCAGAGCAGCCCGGGACTGCTGGTTGGCTATTTCTTTATTGATCATATGCTGAAGAAGGAGTGGATCATTCATGAGTTTTCGAGGAGAGGGGCAGGGAATTCTCGTAACTGAGGGTTCCTCCCCCTTTCAGGCCATATAGGGTAGCTTCCAGGCATTGCCACAGCACTTGTGAACTGTCATGGCGCTGGTGGGAGTGTCCTTTTAGCAGCTAATGCATTATAATTAGCGTATAATGAGCAGTGAGGACGACCAGAGGTTGCCTTTGTTCCCATCTTGGTTTTGCTAGATTTTGATCGGCTTCTTGACCACATCTCATTTTATCAGCAGGGTCTTTGTGATCTGTACCCTGCAAAACAAGCCCTCCCCAACTCCTATCTCAAACCCACAATGAAGCCCATGTCAGAAGCACCAGGGGTAGAAAACAGAAGGTGGGGAGAGAGAGGGGGAGGAAGAGAGGAAGCAAGAGAGAGAGGAAGGGAGAGAGAGAAATGGGGAGAAGGCCAAGAAAGAGAGAAGGTGCAAGAAACAGTGAAACGCAGGAGGTTATTTTTAAGATGGGATATGGTCACCAAATGCAAGCACATGAACCAGCCTTCCTTTCCTGCACTGCCCCCATCTCCCCTTTTCAGAATGTTCTGGTCAAGTCTAAGAACAGGGCCTAGAAATCACAGCTTCTGAGTTTGAGGCTCAGGGGCAGGAGCAGATGCAAGACCCAGCAGCCCTGCAGAAGGCCCCAGTCCCTGACGCCCCATTCCACCACCCAGAGTGGCCTGCCATCACCCATTGTCCATGTGAGCCCAGAGCTAGCTCCAGCCAGGCGGGCGACTGCAGTCCCCTCTCATCTCTGGGCGGGCCCCTGGCAGGTCACCTCCACACAGCACAGCCCTTCAGGGGGCCCAAAGCAGGAAGGCAGGAGGCCCTACTGCCCACTTTCTGCAGGGGACAGAAGGACAGCGGGGTCACCTCCTGGATCCTGGCTCCCATCCAGCCACCTTGCTCTGCAAAGCTGCCTACGTGCTCTCTCTCTCTTTCTGTCTCAGAAAAGACACAGCTGATGGAACCATCATGAAAATGTTGCAGGGCACCCTGAGATGCAGAACTTGATTTCTTTTAAGCAAGAGAATTTGTGTTTAAAAGACTCCAGCCCCTTCTATTTCTAGCAGACGAGACAGTGAGTCTTCCTGAGACAGACGCCAGCATGGCCCCTTTCAGTGAGTGAGAGGAAAGGCAAGTCAGGACTCCTCTTCTTCTGCCGGAGCCAGACCCTCCACTCCCCACTGAGATTGCTAGGGAGGGATGGACAAGTGATTGTATTGGGGCCAAGAAGCCTTCCAGAAGAAAGGGCTCCTGGCTCCTTCCCAGATGAACGCTACTGAAGCATCTCTAACTGCCGGAACGCTGTGATCCCAGACAGGCCAGACTGTGGGACGTGGGTGAGCCCCATCACAGGGGCCATGACACTGGGAACCCAGGCCATGGAGGGGTGACATCCTCCACTTCAAGGGGCAGAGCAGACCTGTGAGGGGCAGCCCCAGGGACAAGCGAGTCTTGGTGAAAAAGGGAGAGGAGAAAGGTTTGTCGTGATGAAATGCGGCTCAGAATTATATCGCATAAAGTATTAGGAGAGGCATGACCTTATGTCGCCCCCGAGCTGCTGGGACACATGACTTAGAGCACGTGTCTCTTAGAGCATCTGGCTCTGCTGTCAGAGCCAGAGGGCTTCAGCAATCAGGGGGGTCTCCTCCTATGACAAGAAGCAGGTCCAGGCGCTGGAGTGGTCGGAACTGTTCATTCGCTCTGCCCTGCAGTGCCTCCTCCACCTACTCCCTGTCAGAGCCACAGTAGAGGAGGTCTGAGAACACATATCTGTCCTGGTCTTGCCCTTCTGCCTCTTAAACAAACGGTTTTTTCACTTTTATCCTGCGGACCCATGGTGTTAAGGAAATCCTAACGCGCCCCCTGCCGGAGACACGGAGATCTCTTTAGAGGTGCATTCTGAGAAACAGTTTGAAAAACGCCCGTGATAGTTGCTTGTGTTCTTGGCATTTGCAATTGCTGTCACTTGCCATGTTTGCTGGAAAATTAAAAGTTCAGATGCTGTTTTCTGCTCAAACCCAAAACCTATGGTTGGAGTGCTCTGTCACAATTCGATTAAATTCTACAAGTACTTTTTAGCATCTAGTACGTGCCAAGCCCGGTATCTGCTCTGGGAAACACAATGACTAGATGCTGAAAATGCATAGAGCGCTTTGGTTTTGCTCATGACATTTAAGCTGAAGTTCATGTTTTATCTTCCTCTGCAACCCAATTCTCTCTCTTTTTTTTTTTTTTTTTTTTTTTTTTTTTTTTTTTTTGACAGAGTCTCACTCTGCTGCCCAGGCTGGAGTGCAGTGGTGCGATCTCAACTCACTGCAACCTCCGCCTCCCGGGTTCAAGCCATTCTCCTGCCTCAGCCTCCCGAGTAGCTGGGATTACAGGCACCCACCACAACACCTGGCTAATTTTTTTTTGTATTTTCAGTAGAGATGGGGTTTCACCATGTTGGCCAGGCTGGTCTTGAACTCCTGACCTCAGGTGATTCACCCGCCTCGGCCTCCCAAAGTGCTGGGATTACAGGCGTGAGCACTGTGCCCAGCCTGGAACCCACTTCTTTATAAAGAAAATAAATAGCCATTATTAGCCTATTAAATTTCTTAATCTGTTACTTTGGGGCTTTCCTTCTAATTTTGAAAAGCTACGGTTCCTAAATAATGTAGCCATTTCCCCCATTACAACTGAAAAGCAAGAAACCCTTACATCTTTCTATCATTTGTTTTCATATATTAAAACCCCCCAGACTTCAGATTTCACCCTCTTGGCTTCACCCCCTTTCAAAGCTCTGGCTTTGGTCTTTATCAGCTTGCAGCTAAAAGCTTGGCTGTCTCTCCAAGAGGGACAACTGTCTGGGACCATTACCAAATGTTCCGGTTTGCCTCTTCAGTCTTCCTGGTGCCCATCTCTGTTGCTGCCTTTCTTCCCATGAATCAGAAGCAAACAGATTACAATCACAAAAGGCCATCTGTTCCTTATAATATAAATTTCCCGGTAACAAATTTTCCCCAATTAGATGTGTCTGAGTTCATCTTGTTATGGTCTTGCTTGCTTTTTATTTTGACCTTTAGGAGAAGATGCCTTTCTGGTTTGCTCCCCTGTCTCCAGATAGCTACCTTCCATGCAAACAACCAGTATTTCTGCACCTTAATTATCCCTGGCAACATGCCAAGACATAAATTACTCCTGTAAGCAAGGTCCCTGTGACAGATTCCTAACAGAGTTTGTATCCCTTTGACACGAAATACTTTTTAAAAAGGATTTCTTAGCTTAATATTAACTCAGGTTCAAGAAATAATGCAACTTATGTCAGTATTTTTTTCAAAACCTGAATAGACAAATGATTGGAACCAAAGAATATACAACAAAAGCCATCTAAGTAACGTCCACATCCTCAGGAGCTGGATGTGTGATGCTCTTTCTGGACCAGTCCAAATGCCAATTTGAAATTAGTTACCAAACTTTAAATTGCTAAGTGTAAACGTATCGTCTGGGGAGCTTTAAACATTTATCTATGCCAGAGTCCCACCCCCGGGCAATTCAGTGAGAGTCCCTGGGCAGGGGGTTTCAGCCATCCATTGACCAGTCTTCTCTCTATCTCTCTCCCTCTACCTATCTCTATTTTAATTTTGTCTCCGCCCCTTTGAACAGATGGTTGTCTTTTCCCATGTATATCCTGACTCCACAATTGGACTGTAAATTTCCTCTTTAGAGTCTCGATACCAATCCCAGCATCCAGAATAGGCAGACCCCTCAATAAATGTGAGAATGATGAGTAGTCTCAGAATTATTTCAGAAGTCTTATCCACCTCAGATATATACAAAAAGTGGCTCTTTTGGTCCTTGGGGTTGAATAGCACTGTTGCATGGTTACAATTGAGCTCAGCCGGAAGTGGACGTTCTAAAGCTGGATGGTGATGTCCCATTATCTGCACCACTGGCCCCCTCTGCTGGCACTTTTTCCGATTGTCCATAGAAAAAGCAAGTCACAAGCAAAGCAAGACTTGGCCCTTCAAGGTGTGGCCAGCCTCCAAGTGTCCTCGGTAGGAAGACATCACACCTGGGTCTTAGGGGAAAATAAATCAGGCTTTGAAACATGAGCTGCCAGATGAAAAGAAAAGTTCTGGTCTTACTGAGTCCTTGAGAGGGGCCAGAGGCATAAGAAGTAAACAGAGGGAGCCCTGTGAAGGTCTTCCTTTCTCTACGCTTCTCTATTTGAAAAATCTACAAATAACTGGAAACAAAAGAGTATACCACCAAATAGCAAATGGTTCAACAGAGATCCAATTAAAAAAAGGAAGTTAGAAAACATTTTAAACTAATTGAAAAATGGCTACATGATATGTTAAAATTTATATTGCAGGTAATACAATGAGTAGAGGGAAATTTGGCTTACATATTTACATTAAAAAGGAAAACACTCTAAAATAAATATTCTACCTTAAGAATTTATGTTAAGAACTTAGAAAAAAAGAGCAAATTAAAACTGAAGTAAGCAGAACTAAGAAAACAAAAATTTTTTTTTTGAGACAGAGTCTCACTCTGTTGCTCAGGCTGGAGTGCAGTAATGTCATCATAGCTCACCGTAGCCTTGAATTCTTGGGCTCAAGCAATCCTCCTGCCTTAGCCTTTGAAGTAGCTGGTATTATAGGCACATGCCATCCCACCAGGCTCATTTTTTATAATTTTTTGTAGTGATGGGTGTCTTACATTATTGCCCAGGCTGGTCTTGAACTCCTAGCTTCAAGCCAACCTCCCATCTCAGCCTCTTAAAGTGCTGGGATCACAGGCATGAGCCACTGTGCCTAGCCAAAAACAATAAATATTAATATAAAAATCAAGGAAATAAAACAGTTAATTGAAAAGGATATAGTTAATTGAAAAGATCAGTAAAAATGCTAAGGCTCTAGCTGCAGTGATCAAGAAAAGAGACACAGGGAGAATACACACACATTACCAATAGCAGGAGTGCAAAGTGATATCACACAGAGTCCTGTAAAAGGCATACTAAGGAAGCATGAGGAAAAACTTGACACCTATATTTAACAACTTGGATGAAATGGAAAAACTCCTTGAGAGACACATGTCTTGGTCCATTTGTGCTGCTATAACAAAATATCTGAGACTAGGTAACTGTTAAAAGAACAGAAATTAATTTATCATGGTTCTGAAGGCTGGGAAGTCCAAGATCAAGGCACCAGCTAACTGGCAAGGGTTCCTCTCCACTTCCAAGATGGAGCCTTAGCCACTGTGTCCTCTTGAGGGCAGGAATGCTGTGCCTCACACAGTAGAAGGTAGAAGGGCAAAAAGAGCCAAATGCTGCATGAAGCTACTTTTTAAGAGCCTTTATCCCATTTATAAGAGAGAGGCCCTCAAGGCCTAATCACCTCTTAAAGGCCTCACCTCTTAATACTATCACATTAGCTGGGGGTGGAGCCAAGATGGCCGAATAGGAACAGCTCCAGTCTACAGCTCCCAGCGTGAGTGACACAGAAGACGGGTGATTTCTGCATTTCCAACTGAGGTACCGGGTTCATCTCACTGGGGAATGCCGGACAGTGGGTGCAGCGCACCGTGCGTGAGCTGAAGCAGGACAAGGCATCGCCTCACCAGGGAAGCGCCAGGGGTCAGGGAATTCCCTTTCCTAGTCAAAGAAAGGGGTGACAGACAGCACCTAGAAAATCAGGTCACTCCCACCCTAATACTGTGCTTTTCCAGCAGGCTTGTCAAGCGGCACACCAGGAGATTACATCCCGCACCTGGCTCGGAGGGTCCTACGCCCATGGAGCCTCGCTCATGGCTAGCACAGCAGTCTGAGATCAAACTACAAGGCAGCAGCCAGGCTGGGGGAGGGGCACCCGCCATTGCCCAGGCTTGAGTAGGTAAACAAAGCGGCCAGAAAGCTGAAACTGGGTGGAACCCACTACAACTCAAGGAGGCCTGCCTGCCTCTGTAGGCTCCACCTCTGGGGGCAGGGCATAGACAAACAAAAGGCAGCAATAACCTCTGCAGACTTAAATGTCCCTGTCTGACAGCTTTGAAGAGAGTAGTGGTTCTCCCAGCACGCAGCTTGAGATATGAGAATGGGCAGACTGCCTCCTCAAGTGGGTCCCTGAACCCCGAGTAGCCTAAATGGGAGGCACCCCCCAGTAGGGGTGGACTAACATCTCACATGGCTGGGTACTCCTCTGAGACAAAAATTCCAGAGGAACGATCAGGCAGCAGCATTTGCGGTTCACCAATATCCACTGTTCTGCAGCCACCACAGCTGATACCCAGGCAAACAGGGTCTGGGTATCAAAAACCCATCTGTACGTCACCATCATCAAAGACCAAAGGTAGATAAAACCACAATGATGGGGAAAAAACAGAGCAGAAGAAACGCAAATTCTAAAAATCAGAGTCCCTCTCCTCCTCCAAAGGAATGCAGCTCCTCACCAGCAACGGAACAAAGCTGGACGGAGAATGACTTTGACGAGTTGAGAGAGGAAGGCTTCACAAGATCAAACTACTCTGAGCTAAAGGAGGAAGTTCAAACTAATGGCAAAAAAGTTAAAAACTTTGAAAAAAAATTAGACAAATGGATAACTAGAATAACCAATGCAGAAAAGTCCTTAAAGGACCTGATGGAGCTGAAAACCACGGCACGAGAACTACGTGACGAATGCACAAGCCTCAGTAGCCAATGCGATCAACTGGAAGAAAGGCTATCAGTGATGGAAGATGAAATGAATGAAATGAAGCGAGAAAAGAAGTTTAGAGAAAAAAGAATAAAAAGAAATGAACAAAGCCTCCAAGAAATATGGGACTATGTGAAAAGACCAAATCTACGTCTGACTGGTGTACCTGAAAGTGACAGGGAGAATAGAACCAAGTTGGAAAACACTCTGCAGGATACTATCCAGGAGAACTTCCCCAGTCTAGCAAGGCAGGCCAACCTTAAAATTCAAGAAATACAGAGAATGCCACAAAGATACTCCTCGAGAAGAGCAACTCCAAGACACATAATTGTCAGATTCACCAAGGTTGAAATGATGGAAAAAATGTTAAGGGCAGCCAGAGAGAAAGGTCAGGTTACCCACAAGGGGAAGCCCATCAGACTAACAGCAGATCTCTCGGCAGAAACTCTACAAGCCAGAAGAGAGTGGGGGCCAATATTCAACATTCTTAAAGAAAAGAATTTTCAACCCAGAATTTCATATCCAGCCAAACTAAGCTTCATAAGTGAAGGAGAAATAAAATACTTTACAGACAAGCAAATGCTGAGAGATTTTGTTACCACCAGGCCTGCCCTAAAAGAGCTCCTGAAGGAAACACTAAACATGGAAAGGAACAACCAGTACCAGCCACTGCAAAAACATGCCAAATTGTAAAGACCATCAAGGCTAGGAAGAAACTGCATCAACTAACGAGCAAAATATCCAGCTAACATCATGATGACAGGATCAAATTCACACATAACAATACTAACCTTAAATGTAAATGGGTTAAATACTCCAATTAAAAGGCACAGACTGGCAAATTGGATAAAGAGTCAAGACCCATCAGTGTGCTGTATTCAAGAAACCCATCTCATGTGCAGAGACACACATAGGCTCAAAATAAAGGGATGGAGGAAGATCTACCAAGCAAATGGAAAACAAAAAAAGGCAGGGGTTGCAATCCTAGTCTCGGATAAAACAGACTTTAAACCAACGAAGATCAAAGGAGACAAAGAAGACCATTACATAATGGGAAAGGGATCAATTCAACAAGAAGAACTAACTGTCCTAAATATATATGCACCCAATACAGGAGCACCCAGATTCATAAAGCAAGTCCTTAGTGACCTACAAAGAGACTTAGACTCCCACACATTAATAATGGGAGACTTTAACACCCCACTGTCAACATTAGACAGATCAACAAGACAGAAAGTTAACTACGAAATCCAGGAACTGAACTCAGCTCTGCACCAAGCAGACCTAATAGACATCTACAGAACTCTCTACCCCAAATCAACAGAATATACATTTTTTTCAGCACCACACCACACCTATTCCAAAATTGACCACATAGTTGGAAGTAAAGCTCTCCTCAGGAAGTGTAAAAGAACAGAAATTATAACAAACTGTCTATCAGACCACAGTGCAATCAAGCTAGAACTCAGGATTAAGAAACGCACTCAAAAGCGCTCAACTACATGGAAACTGAACAACCTGCTCCTGAATGACTACTGGAGACATAACGAAATGAAGGCAGAAATAAAGATGTTCTTTGAAACCAACGAGAACAAAGACACAACATACCAGAATGTCTGGGACACATTCAAAGCAGTGTGTAGAGGGAAATTTATAGCACTAAATGCCCACAAGAGAAAGCAGGAAAGATCTAAAATTGACACCCTAACATCACAATTAAAAGAACTAGAGAAGCAAGAGCAAACACATTCAAAAGCTAGCAGAAGGCAAGAAATAACTAATATCAGAGCAGAACTGAAGGAAATGGAGACACAAAAAACCCTTCAAAAAATTAATGAATCCAGGAGCTGGTTTTTTGAAAAGATCAACAAAATTGATAGACCACTAGCAAGACTAATAAAGAAGAAAAGAGAGAAGAATCAAATAGACGCAATACAAAATGACAAAGGGGATATCACCACCGATCTCACAGAAGTACAAACTACCATCAGACAATACTATAAACAGCTCTACGCAAATAAACTAGAAAATCTAGAAGAAATGGATAAACTCCTTGACACATACACTCTCCCAAGACTAAACCAGGAAGAAGTTGAATCTCTGAATAGGCCAATAACAAGCTCTGAAATTGAAGCAATAATTAATAGCTTACCAACCAAAAAGAGTCCAGGACCAGATGAATTCACAGCCGAATTCTACCAGAAGTACAAGGAGGAGCTGGTACCATTCCTTCTGAAACTATTCCAATCAGTAGAAAAAGAGGGAATCCTCCCTAACTCATTTTATGAGGCCAGCATCATCCTGATACCAAAGCCTGGCAGAGACACAACAAAAAAAGAGAATTTTAGACCCATATCCTTGATGAACATTGATGCAAAAATCCTCAATGAAATACTGGCAAACCGAATCCAGCAGCACATCAAAAAGCTTATCCACCATGATCAAGTGGGCTTCATCCCTGGGATGCAAGGCTGGTTCAACATACGAAAATCAATAAATGTAATCCAGCATATAAACAAAACCAAAGACAAAAACCACATGATTATCTCAATAGGTGCAGAAAAGGGCTTTGACAAAATTCAACAACGCTTCATGCTAAAAACTCTCAATAAATTAGGTATTGTTGGGACGTATCTCAAAATAATAAGAGCTATCTATGACAAACCCACAGCCAATATCATACTGAATGGACAAAAACTGGAAGCATTCCCTTTGAAAACTGGCACAAGACAGGGATGCCCTCTCTCACCACTCCTATTCAACATAGTGTTGGAAGTTCTGGCCAGGGCAATCAGGCAGGAGAAGGAAATAAAGGGCATTCAATTAGGAAAAGAGGAAGTCAAATTGTCCCTGTTTGCAGATGACATGATTGTATATCTAGACAACCCCATCGTCTCAGCCCAAAATCTCAAGCTGACAGGCAACTTCAGCAAAGTCTCAGGATCCAAAATCAGTGTGCAAAAATCACAAGCATTCTTATACACCAATAACAGACAAACAGAGAGCCAAATCATGAGTGAACTCCCATTCACAATTGCTTCAAAGAGAATAAAATACCTAGGAATCCAACTTACAAGGGATGTGAATGACCTCTTCAAGGAGAACTACAAACCTCTGCTCAATGAAATAAAAGAGGATACAAACAAATGGAAGAACATTCAATGCTCATGGGTGGGAAGAATCAATATCGTGAAAATGGCCATACTGCCCAAGGTAATTTATAGATTCAATGCCATCCCCATCAAGTTACCAATGACTTTCTTCACAGAATTGGAAAAAACTACTTTAAAGTTCATATGGAACCAAAAAAGAGCCTGGATTGCCAAGTCAATCCTAAGCCAAAAGAACAAAGCTGGAGGCATCACACTACCTGACTTCAAACTATACTACAAGGCTACAGTCACCAAAACAGCATGGTACTGGTACCAAAACAGAGATATAGACCAATGGAACAGAACAGAGCCCTCAGAAATAATGCCGCTTATCTACAACCATCTGATCTTTGACAAACATGACAAAAACAAGCAATGGGGATTCCCTATTTAATAAATGGTGCTGGGAAAACTGGCTAGCCATATGTAGAAAGCTGAAACTGGATCCCTTCCTTACACCTTATACAAAAATTAATTCAAGATGGATTAAAGACTTACATGTTAGACTTAAAACCATAAAAATCCTAGAAAAAACCTAGGCAATACCATTCAGGACATAGGCATGGGCAAGGACTTCATGTCTAAAACACCAAAAGCAATGGCAACAAAAGCCAAAATTGACAAATGGGATCTAATTAAACTCAAGAGCTTCTGCACAGCAAAAGAAACCACCATCAGAGTGAACAGGCAACCCACAGAATGGGAGAAAATTTTCACAACCTACTCATCTGACAAAGGGCTAATATCCAGAATCTACAATGAACTCAAACAAATTTACAAGAAGAAAACAAACGACCCCATCAAAAAGTGGGTGAGGCCGGGCGCGGTGGCTCACGCCTGTAATCCCAGCACTTTGGGAGGCCGAGGCGGGTGGATCATGAGGTCAGGAGATCGAGACCATCCTGGCTAACAAGGTGAAACCCCGTCTTTACTAAAAATACAAAAAAATTAGCCGGGCACGGTGGCGGGCACCTGTAGTCCCAGCTACTCGGGAGGCTGAGGCAGGAGAATGGCGTGAACCCGGGAAGCGGAGCTTGCAGTGAGCCGAGATCGCGCCACTGCAGTCCGCAGTCCGGCCTGGGCGACAGAGCGAGACTCCGTCTCAAAAAAAAAAAAGTGGGTGAAGGATATTAACAGACACTTCTCAAAAGAAGACATTTATGCAGCCAAAAAACACATGAAAAAATGCTCATCATCACTGGCCATCAGAGAAATGCAAATCAAAACCACAATGAGATACCATCTCACACCAGTTAGAATGGCGATCATTAACAAGTCAGGAAACAACAGGTGCTGGAGAGGATGCAGAGAAATAGGAACACTTTTTGTTTACACTGTTGGTGGCACTGTAAACTAGTTCAACCATTGTGGAAGTCAGTGTGGCGACTCCCCAGGGATCTAGAACTAGAAATACCACTTGACCCAGCCATCCCATTACTGGGTATATACCCAAAGGATTAGAAATCATGCTGCTATAAAGACACATGCACACATATGTTTATTGTGGCACTATTCACAATAGCAAAGACTTGGAACCAACCCAAATGTCCAACAATGATAGACTGGATTAAGAAAATGTGGCACATATACACCATGGAATACTATGCAGCCATAAAAAATGGTGAGTTCATGTCCTTTGTAGGGACATGGATGAAGCTGGAAACCATCATTCTCAGCCAACTATGGCAAGGACCAAAAACCAAACACTGCATGTTCTCACTCATAGGTGGGAATTGAACAATGAGAACACATGGACACAGGAAGGGGAACATCACACACCGGGGACTGTTGTGGGGTGGGGGGAGGGGGGAGGGATAGCATTAGGAGATATACCTAATGTTAAATGACGAGTTACTGGGTTCAGCACACCAACATGGCACATGTATACATATGTAACAAATCTGCACGTTGTGCACATGGACCCTAAAACTTAAAGTATAATTTAAAAAAATACTATCACATTAGCAACACCTTAATTCTGGAGGGAACACATTCAAACCATAGCAAATGCAAATCATCAAATTTAACTAAAGTAAAAATAGAAAATCCAAGTATTCCTATAGATGCTATAGGAATTAAGTTTCTAATTAAAAGCCTCCCCACAAAGAAAACTCTAGGTCCAACTGGTCTCATTGGTGAATGAAAAGAATACAAATTCTATTCAAACTCTTAGAGGAAGAAGGAACCATTTTCAACTTATTTTATGAGGTCTTCATTACCCCAATAACAAAACTAGACAAAGAAAAGTACAGGTCAATATCTCTCATGAATAAAAATAATAGTAAGTTGACTCTAGCAATATATAGAAAATGGAGTTTATCTCAGGTATTGAAGGTTGGCTACCATTTGAAAATCAACATAGTTCCCCATAACACTATAAAAAATTATCTCCATAGATGTAGAAAAAAAATTAAAAAGATTCTGAAAACATTCCCATTGATGTTTAAAAAAACTCTTAGCAAACTAAGAGTAGAAGACATCTTTAACCTAATAAATAAATGAATAAATGTGTAAAAAATCCAGAGCTAACATCATACCTAATGGCAGAAGACTGAATGTTTTCACCTCCTGTTTAGGAACAAAGCAAGGATGCCCAGTCTCGTAACTTCTCTTCATCAAGGAACTGGAAATCCCAACCTGTGTAATGAGGCAAGAAAAAGAAAAAACAGGCAGAAAGATTAAAAAGTAAAAAGCAAAACTCTTTGTTGCCAACTACATGACCATGTATGTAGGAAAACCCTAGGGAATCCCCCAAAAAAGCTCTTAGAACTAGTGAGGGTGATGCTGTCTCAGGTTGCAAAGTCAATACAGAAAAATCTTATATTTCTATGTATTCACAATGTCAGTGTAAGAAATCGAATTTTTTTAAAAATAGCACCCAAAAATATGAAATAATTAGAGGTAAATCTAACAAAATATGTGTAAGACCTAAATTGTTGAGAGAAACTAAAGAGGCAACATAAATGGAGAGACATACCATTTCCATGAATTGGAAGACTTAATATCCCTAATTAATCTATAGATAGAATACAATTCCAGTCAAAATCCCAGTAATTTTTTTTTTAAGATCTCTCTGTGCTCCTTATTAGATCCTGCTTCTACTATGGGAACTTCTCAGTCAACTGAAACTCCTCTTCTCAAACCCCTGCTGACTAGATACTCTACCTACCTACCTACCTACCTTCCTTCCTTCCTCTCTTTCTTTCTTTCCTTTTGACACAGGGTCTCACTCTGTCACCCAGGATAGAGTGCAGTGGCACAATCTTGGCTCACTGAAGCCTTGACCTCCTGGGTTCAAGCAATCCTCCCACCTCAGCCTTCTGAGTAGCTGGGACCACAGGTGTGTGCCACCACACCCAGTTAATATTTTTTTAAAAAGATTTTAGAGATGGGGTTTTATTATGTTGCCCAGACTGGTCTCAAACTCCTGGGCTAAAGTGATCCACCCACCCACCTCAGCCTCCAAAAGTGCTGGGATGACAGGCCTGAGCCACCATTTCCTTTCTTTTTGGCATGATTTTTGCAAACAATATTATGGAACTTCGTTGGCTTCTTTATGAAGCTTTAGATCTCCCCAAACTTGCTCCTCTAAGACCTATTCTTTCCATTTACTTCTACTCCTCCTTCCTCCTTGTGCCACCTTTGATCTTTCATCCAGTTACCTTGAATCCTTGATATATCTCCTTCAAGCCTTGACTTCCTACATTTGGTGGTCAATGAATAGAAAATTACTGCGAGAAAATGTCAGGGGTATGCTGGACTCTGGTTTCTATGGCCAAACTTTAGTTGAGCTTCTGAACCTTCTCCAAGGCTCATCTGTGTACTTTCTTATTAAAAAAAAATATCCTGTAGTGAATTACTATTTTATGTTATAAAATCCTGTAGTAAGTTGTATGTTGCTTCATTATCCTTTTTTGGCGTTTTTTGTGTTTTTGTTTTGTTTTGTTTTTTTAAGTGATGTGGTCTCCTGCTAGGCTGGCCCCAAAATTCCTGAGCTCAAACAATGCTCTCCCACTTCAGCCTCCCAAGTAGCTGGGACTACAAGCGTGCTTCACTGTACCTGGCTTTACCATCTATTTTGAATCTTCTTCTGTGTCTCATCTGACTGACCCAGACTCTCTTACTGGCCAGGGCTCTTCTGCAAACTGTTTATTTTGGTGGGGATAAACTGGATATAGGTCAGCTGAGAGCCACAAGAATGTCTGCTAGTATAAACAAATTTGCTGTGAGAGGGACCCTTGGCCACAGGTGGAATACTTAGGCATTAAGCCATCTGCCAGAATAAATAAGTATCCCATGAAAGGCAGACTGTAAAAACCCACCACCCCCTCCCCTGGAGACCCATCAGGGCAGGGCTAGAATTTATATCTAGAGAAACCTCAAGATAAAATTAGAGGAAAACGCAACAAATCCAGTTTTAACAAGAACCCTGGCAAGTCAGTTTAACAAGAACTGCCACCCTTGATACCTGATCACGTTCCTCACCCTCCATCCTTCTGTCCACCCCTGCCAGACCTTTTCCCTCCAACTCCAGCCCCGTGATCACTGGAACTTTAGGCCACTACCCTCCATAGAGGACTCTTGCTGGACTCCAGGTCGACTAAAAAACCTGAGGCTGGCCGGGCGAGGTGGCTCACGCCTGTAATCCCAGCACTTTGGGAGGCCAAGGCGGGCGGATCACAAGGTCAGGAGATCGAGACCACAGTGAAACCTCGTCTCTACTAAAAATACAAAAAATTAGCCAGGCGCGGTGACACCCTCCTGTAGTCCCAGCTACTCGGGAGGCTGAGACAGGAGAATGGCATGAACTCGGGAGGCGGAGCTTGCAGTGAGCTGAGATGGCACCACTGCACTCCATCCTGGGCGACAGAGCGAGACTCCGTCTCCAAAAAAAAAAAAAAAAAAAAAAAAACCTGAGGCTGAAAAGAGGAGAAATGGTTACTGGGAAACAAGAAATGGATGTTTCGTCCACTCATTTGGACTTTGGAAACATTTAGACAACTGCTAAATATCTCCTCAGTCACTAGCCTAAAATTTAGTCCACAGCCTCTATAAGAAAAACCTCTGAAAATAGGCAAATACGCTCCCAAATTCCTTTTTTGGAAGAAAAAAAAAAAACCCTTGCATTATTTTTCTGTGCCTTTGAGATGATTCCCTATCCTGTCTTCTCTAAAACCTGAGAACTATCATTTGGAAATACAAACTTCAGGGAAATGACTGTCATGTTTTTTAAAGGAACTATTTGGGAATTGGGCAAATAAAAATCTCAAGTCTTTTCCACAAACGTTGGTAAAAAAGCTCTTGCCATGTAAGCAGGTAAACTTAACTTCTCCCATCTTTGTCAGAAACACAATTCGGACAAAAATATAAATTGGAAATAAATCAATGAGTTTGTACTACTATGTTTTACTGACTTGTGACTAAATGTTAGAATGAAAGCTGTATTTGTCTGTAAGTTTATGTATGTATATTTGTATATTATGTATATTTAATATTTTTCCACCTCCGGATAGTGTTACTAAATTAATTTATAAAACCCTTAAAGGAGCTCTATTCAAATTGGCTTAGAGATAAACGAGTGCTCAGATAAATTAGGCATTCCTAAAACTCTCAGACATAGACTCTCATCCAAATTTTTTTTTTAAAAAATCACATGACTTGGCTAAGTCTTTGGTAAATAAAGCTAGCTTTTAAATTATTGGTAAAATAAAAGTAGGGGTATCTTCAGAATTGTAAGTGTGAAATATAATTCAGATACACATTTTTCCCTGAGTTTGCTGGCCACACAGGTTTGTGTTTTCCCTGCTTGACGTTTAAAAACATAAAACTAAAAACCCAACCTAAGAGCAGAACACACAGTAAAAATAAATTGCTTGACACATATCATTCATGAAAGTAAAAACATAGATAGATAGATAGATAGATAGATAGATAGATAGATAGATAGATAGATAGAGAATGAATTGTTTAGCTTTTTAGTTCTTTGCCTCTGTGATATTTTTGATACCTGATTTGTAAACAAAAATGAAATAAGATGATGGCTTTAAGTTCTTATAAAAAATGCCCATGAGACATCCAAGAATAATTGTTAAAAACACGTGAATTAAATAATGTACAAGTGACCTAAAAGTATATACATGAACTTTTCAATAATAATTATGTTTTATAAAACAGGTCTACTTAAAAATAGTTTCAGAAAACTTTTTTGGTAACTTGCAACCTTAAAGCTATGCTAAATTAAATTAAGTAATAAATACTCATTACATATCTGAGTCATTTCTTTTTCTTTTTTTTTCCCCCCGAGACTGAGTCTCACTGTTGCCCAAGCTGGAGTGCAATAATGCGATCTCGGCTCACTACAACCTCTGCCTTCTGGGTTCAAGTGATTCTCCTGCCTCAGCCTCCTGAGTAGCTGAGATTATAGGTGTGCGCTACCACACCCAGCTAATTTTTGTACTTTTAGTAGACACGGGGTTTCACCATGTTGGTCAGGGTGGTCTCAAACTCCTGACCTCATGATCCACCCGCCTGGGCCTCCCAAAGTGCTGGGATAACAGGTGTGAGCCACCGTGCCTGGCCATATCTGAGTCATTTCTAAGTCACTTAAAACATTGAAACATTAATTACTAAGCATAAATTTAAGTTTATATACATTGGCATTTTGTTTTTTATATGGTATAGAGAAGACAAAATTTGGATCTGTTAATAGACATGAAAAATTGTACTATGGAGAAGCACATGATTTTTAGAAATTATGGCTTTAATCTATGGAATGTGATAAACTACAATTGCTGAAGATTAAAATTCTAATTAATATATGTAATTAAAACTACTAGAAATAATAAGGGAAACAATCCTGTATGCAAAATACACGAGGAAAGCAAGATGTATTTTTGGTAAGGAAAATTGTAAGGCATGAAACTGTATTTTCTGTTAATGGAAAAAGGAGTAGTTAATTCTGTACGAAACTATGATGAGCAGTTGTTCCAGAATAAGAAAAAGAAAAATGCAGGAAGATAAATAAAGATCAATTTTTAAAAATATTTTAAAAGGGTTGTGGAAAAAGAATCTTTGGGGGAAAATGTTATGTGGTCAAAGCTGGCTAAAATGAGCTTAATTTTATTTATAAGGTTTTCTTACAATTAGCTTCCATATTACTAATACGATGATGCAAAACTAGAATTTCGTCCTCTTTGTCAAAATGGCCAAGTTTTCTTACTGTATCAGTCTGAGAATGTGAAGATTTTTCTTTATCGTTTAAGTTACTGTACTAGGACACAAAGATTTTTTTACAAAAATGATTTCTTGTGCTTCACGTTGTTTTCTATCAGGTCTTTGATTACTTAAGAAAAGCAAGGCCAGGTGCAGTGGCTCACGCCTGTAATCTCAGCACTTCGGGAGGCCAAGGTGGGCGGATTGCTTGAGGTCAGGAGTTCAAGACCAGCCTGGGCAACATGGCAAAACGTCATCTCTACAAAAAATAGAAAAAAATAGCCAGGTGTGGTGGTATGTGCCTGTAGTCCCTGTTACTCAGGAGGCTGAGAGGGGAGGATCAGCTGAGCCCAAGGAGGTCAAAGCTGTAGTGAGCCACGATCATGCTAGTGCACTCCAGACTAGGTGATGAAATGAGATCCTGTCTCAAAAAAAAAAAAAAAAAAAAAAAAAAAAAAAAAAAAAAAAAAAAGAAGAAAAGAAAAATGAGTCTTCTCAATAATAAAGGAGCTGATTTATTTTTTACAATTCTGTAACCTTCTGTATTTGTCTTTACAATTTTTTGTCATTTTGGTATTGTTTTATAGTGATCTGTGATTCTCTTCAAACAAATGTCCTAAACCTTTCAACGTCTTTAACAACTTCCGAACCAAATCAAATTATAAATTAAATGTTTTTGACCTCAAACTAATTTTGGAACATTTCAGAAGGCCTCTGGAAAGTTCCATAGGATTTGTCTCTCACCTTGTAAAAAAGAGCGATTAAACTAATTAGGCTTACAGGATATGTTAAATTATATGAGAAACATCATCAAATAATAGGTGATGCTAAACCTTTATGTTATGTTTGTGGATATGATATTGATACAAGTGTTCCAGAAATTATACATAATTCCTAGAAATCTGATATGTCCTAGTATAATGCTATCAGTCATAATTTTAGTTATTGTATTAAAATGCAATATGCCACAGAAATAACCACATTTCTTTGACAATTTCATCATTATGATGGTGAACTCTCATCAAATCTTTAACCATGGCCATTGAATGTCTTTTTTCATCCACAGGCAGTTATTGTTTTACTTTGATTCTTCTCTGAAAGCATTTGTAATCAGCTACAGCCCAAAATTGCTTCTTCAAGGAGATTCATAAAAAAGGCTCTACTCTGCAATAAAGGTTTCTGATAACTTTAAGATCACACCATTGGATGGGGTACAAATTTCTAGAACTCTTATGAAGAAACTGGTGGTTTCATGAAACTGCTAACCAAGATCAAGAATATCAACTACATGAGACTACATGAAATGAAGGGGATAATTTTTATGACTTTTATTTGAAACGTTTCTTCTTTAAATATTTTGTTTTCCAGATTTAAGGAAAGCTTTTTTTCTTTTAAGCTACCTATAACTTACAGCAATTTAGTATATCGTTAACAAAATTAGAACATTTCGTTTTTTTTCTTCCTCCCTGATCCCTCCAGAATTTAGAAACTATTTATGAGTACTCTTATTTTTATGACAATTGTAGTTACTTGCACAAGTTTAGTAAGTATATTCTCCTTGAAACAGGACAAAAGTGGAAACACTGATTATATGACCAAGGCTTTGACTGGAATATTATATTTTCAGACATGACCAGACAGTTTTAAGGAACTAAAACCAGTAAAGTTTATTTACTTTACTGGAACCAGTAAAGCCCCCATTGGAAAAACTGGCCTGGCTTAAAAGAGTTTCTAACCTTACAAGTGAGTAAGTAATGTCACTTTCTGACAGGCCCAGGAACTGTAGAATATTTGGGGGATCCTGAGAAGAAAGGAATTCACCCAGATCTGTAGGTATTGCAGGCAAAGTCTGATGGCAAGTTAGTGGCCTGGCTTCTGGCCTCAAGAGGCTATTAAAAGTCTAACTTGAGGTTCCTTATCAAAAGTTCCAGTAAAGCAAATTTTGAAAAAGCCTATATAGTCAATCACTATTGTTGCGGCACTTGCACAAATAATCATTACTTTTGCAAACATTACTTTGCGAACAAATTAGTCTTACTTTGATAATCTTTGGTAGAAATGGAAATGACTATAGAAAGAAAAATATTTCAGAAGAAAACTATATGCACTCGTTATTAGATTCCAGCTCATTGTTTTTGAGGTTTTTGTTACTCACCTACAATCTGGACTGGATCCTGAATTCTTCTCGTTTCCAGAAATGTCTGGCTACAGGTCTCCAAACTAATATTTTTCTCCCACCCTTCTGGTTTGGAATCACTGAAATGAGAACTGCTCTATTCCTGAAGCCCTGCGAACGAAAACTGGATGACTTGACACAAGCCGTAGAGAAAGCACAGCAACTTATGTATGCGTGGTCCTCACGCCTGCTGCTATATGGACTACTCAGAAACGCCCCTGGAACACCTGATGCAAACTGTAAAGTGGGGAAACCTGTCAAACTGCCACGGCCTGCTCCCACCCCAGCTGAAGATGCTTTCAGCCAAAACCCAGAAATCTTCTCACCTGGCTGCTTTCTGAGCTTAAAAACCGAGTTTCTAGTTTATTCTAATTACTAACATTGGTTTTTCTTTTGTTCTCATAGAAATGCCTCTCGTGAAATACTCGCGCCATATGGATGTCTAACTTTGGTGGCAGCCCACCTGTAACACTGCTGCCCGAAATAAGATGCAACTGTTGACAGTTTAGCTAGACTGACTGATGCTTGGGACTCAGAGACAGGTTCGGTGGTGTAGGAGACAATCCACCGACCCAACTTCTAGATTGTTAAACTTGTCATGGAGCGGAAATACAAATCTAGTGTTTGATTTGCTCAGATATGCACTTTTAAAGCTCTGAAAAGATGCATGAGAAACTAGAATAAAGTTTACCTAGGGAGGTGTGGGAACAGGGCAGATGGAGGCCAAGGGTGAAAGTGATATTGGTCACATATCCTTTATTAGAAGTTCTAATTCTCTGTAAACAGGTCTCAGAAATTCCCAGCTGCTTATGGAAAAGCAGAAATGTCTCGTTCCAAAGGCTGTATAATGGCCTTGTGAACTTCTTGGAATGATAACTCTTCTGGCTGGCTTTACCTTGACCTGTCCTTGACCAGTGACTTGTTTTCTGTCTTATCTCACTTGGAACTTGGCACAAGTCCTCAGGCCACCCAGTATAGCAGTGGACTTGAGGGCTGTGAGCTAGCGTAGCTGGGAGCCTTCTCTCTGGGAGTAATTCCGTCTTCCCCTCGGCTCCCATCGCCTTAAAGGACACTCCTCAGTGACCCAGCACTAGCAAGTCCCCAGACCTGCCTGCCAAGGTCCTCTTTGTCTAATCGGAGGAATCAAGGGCGCCCTCTCCCAAGCTTTAGCTGAACGACGGACTCTCCTGACACTGTCAGGGAGAAGTGAGGGGAAGGCATGGTGAGGAGGGACTCTTGGGGAGCAGAGCAGGCTTCCTCTTCACCTCAGAGTACCTGCTCTGTGTCTCTCCTCCCACGTTCCCTGCCCAGCAGGGTGACCTCAATCCCCGAGTCCATTCTCTCCCTGTCCACCGTCCAGGCTGGCCCTCCAGCCCTGCCGCCCACCCCTGTGGCCAAGCCTCCCCCTTAGCACCTGCAGAAACAGCGCTAGTGCTGTCAGGCTCCAACACGCCTGGGTTTCATTCTCGCTCTACTGCCCACTAGCTGTGTGGCCCTGGGGGAGCCATGTGGCCCACCTGCATCCTGGTGTCCTCATATATAAAATAGGAAAAAGCATGCCCACCTCACAGGACAGGTGCAAAGCTTAAAGTCAATGGTGCGCCTGTGCTGCCTCCTGCAAGATTTGTAGATGCTTCTGCGTGCTGGCAAGGTTCTGCTTCTTAAGCTAGTTAGGGGCTACACAGGACTTTGCCTTACAACTATTTGTGAAACTGTCCATTTTTGTTTTATGCACTTTCTATATGTATGTTTCATTATACCATTTCTTTAAAAAACACTTATAAAAAAGCAAATCTGGTGCTCGCTTTGGCAGCACATATACTAAAATTGGCACGATACAGAGAAGATTAGCATGGCACCTGCACAAGGATGACATGTAAATTCATGAAGTGTTTCTTTCTTTCTTATTTTTTTTTTAAAGCAAACCTGTAGAAGAAAATGTTAGATGCTGAAAAACATTTAGTTATTCAGGCTGGGGACGGTGGCTCATGCCTGTAATCCCAGTACTCTAAGAGGCCAATGCAGGTGGATCACCTGAGGTCAGGAGTTCGAGACCAGCCTGGCCAACATGGTGAAACCGCCTCTCTACTAAAAATACAAAAATTAGCCAGGTGCGGTGGCACATGCCTATAATCCCAGCTACTTGGGAGGCTGAGGTAGGAGAATCGCTTGAATCCGGGAGGTGGAGGTTGCAGTGAGACAAGATTGCACCACTGCACTCCAGCCTGGGCAACAGATTGAAACTCCATCTCAAACAAACAAACAACAACAACAAAAACCCACATTTAGTTATTCAGGGGAAATTATTCTTCCCCTGATAAGGATAGCGTTCCCTACTTTAACACCATCTCAGTTCTCTCCTTTCTGAAGAATCTCCCTGATTCTCTGTTATTTCAAATAACTGTCCTTTCCCAGCCAAGCTCCTAAGATGGCTATTCTAAAACCGCCACCTCCCCTTTCACTCCCCTTTCCCTTCTGTGAGCTGTGGCTGTCAGGCTGTGCCGCAGCTGAGAATGCACCAATGGCTTCCAGCAGCAAACCCATCTCCCTTACGCTTCTGAGACCCGGACCATTGCTCCCTGCCATCCTTCTCCCACTGCAGGGAGCTCTGCCTTCCAACCTGCATCAGTCGTATCCCAGTGCACGAGGGTGCCCTGGGTACAATTCCAGGGTCAGGTACTGTAAATGACAGGGGATAGTATCACCTGGACTTGCATCAGAGGTAGCTGAAGTTTCTGAAAACACCCATTCCTCAGCCTCACTCCAGACGACTTGTCAGGAAGGAGTTCCAGAAGGAGGACGGTCACCCCCAGCGCCTCCCATGGGCCAGGCACTGCCCATGCTTTGGACACTTTAGTCCTTCCCCAGTTCTAAAGAGTGGGTGCTATAATTGTCCTCATTTTGCAAAGGAGGAAACTGAGGCTCAGAGAAGCTGAGAAACATGGAGTGGGTCCTGTGGGTGGGAGTGGTGGGTCAGAATTTGAAACCAGGACTGTGCGGCTCCCCTGCCCACACTTTGGCCGTGCTTTGCTAACCTAGTATCTAGAGCAGCAGCGTTTCTCAAACTTGTCTGCACACATGCATTGCCCGGGGGTTCTCATTCTTTCTGACCCAGCAGGTCTGGGTGGGGTCTGGGAGGCTGCTTTTCTAACAAGCTCCTGGGTAAGCTGATGCAAGAGGGGAGACAGAATTGGAATAAATGTGACCCACCCCATCACCAGGCTTTCCCTGCTTTACGGTAGGTCAGCTAAGGTTGAGGAAATAGATGGGCCTCTCACCACCATCCTCGCCAGAGCCAGCCGCAGCCTGGAGGCCCCTCACCCGGAGGGGCTGCCTCCTTCCTGCCAGTATAGATCAGACACAAGGCTCAGCTTCTGCCCAGACTGCACAAGAGCTTAAGGCTCTGAAAACATCACTAAAGGTGGGAGGAGATGGCAGGGAGCAGCTCCATCTCAGGGTTAGGGCATCGGGCATCTGACCAGCTTCTCTCAGCTCTGCAGCCTTCCCAGAAGTGCACACTCTGGACATGCGGTCCCCCTGGGAGGTGGAGTCAAGTCCCTGCTCCAGAAGTTTCCCTACCTGGGAGCAGCCTCCAGGCCCCTCTGCCTTTGCCCAGCCTCTGGCTTTCTGGGAAAAAATTTTGTTCATCACATTGCACGTTCCTCAGAGAAAAAGTATTGGCAGCCCTTTGCAAAAGTTTCTGTGTTGTTCTTCTTTTCAAATGTAAATTCTGTCCTTATGGGCCTGAGAAAGAGACGAAGCACCATAGATACTGGTCACTTCCAGGCCTTTTCCAACCAAGAGTCCTTCTCCTGAGGATGTGGAGGGGGCTCTTCTTTGAAGCTCCTTTTGGGGCACAGCTTCCCAGTTAAGCCTGTTGTCAGTGTCTCCACCTGTTTCACCGTGTGGCACACACAGCACATGACACTCTGCGTGCCACATGCCGCGATGCAGAAGGCCGCCGCCCCTGAGGCTGTGAGCGCACCTGGGGTCCCCTGGGGCCGAGGACCTCCGTACCTCACACACTCATTCCGTGTTCACAGCTCTGCAGTCGAGAAGTTCTGGATGGAGACTCTCACCCTCCCCTCCAGGACACTCACTGGCCACACATTCTGCCAGAAGGACAGAGGGCATTAGTAGAAGCCATCAGAATAGCCTGGTGAGACTGAGAAGGCAAGTGTCACTGAGGGGAGCCCAGCAACATTAGGGCTTTGAGGTGACCTGGAGATGGGGCTGAATTCTGAGCTGAGTCCTCGGAGCACAAGCCCGCCCTGTGTCTCCGAGAGGGTGCCCTACCTTCATCTCTCTCTCTCTCCATCCTCCTCCCACCCATCCCTGCTTCTCTCTCAGCCAGAATTGTTCATCACATTGACCCCTCCCTTGTTCCCCCACCTGAGCCCCAGGAGTATGTTCTCTGTGTGGGTACAGCCTGCTGTGAGCTGCAGCAGCACAGCAATGGGCAGAAGTTCCTGCCTCTGAGGCCCTGGCAGCCCGTACTTCAAAATCTGCCCCACTTGAACCAGTGCCTGTGAATGCCAGGGGGTGAACACTTGCTCGCTTGTTCTGCTCACAAGCAGTTTATGGGCAGGGTTGTCAGGCAAAGCAGCAGACCACTTGGGGTCCAGGGTCCTCTGCTTTCTGACCAGAGCTGAGGACCTGCTTGTCCCTGCTCCCTGGGATACTGCCGGTCGGGAGCTGAGTCACATCCATCGCACCTGCCCTCATCCAGTCTGAACAGGTGCCACCCAAGCTGACCTTTTCCAAGAATAATCAGCGTGGCCTCCCTCTCTCTCTTCTGAAACGGGTTTTACATAGAATGAGAAGCGGGGCCGTCTTTAGGTCTCTGAGTTTCCTGGGTGTGATTTTGCTGTCAATCACTTCCAGGATAACTTGCCCATCTGGCCTGATGGGCCTTCCAGAATGCATTCCACCACTTCTAGTCCTGCGGCTCACCTTTCTAGTCGTACCCACATACACAAGTGGCTTCTTTCTCCTGGTAGTGTGTGGCAGGAAACCTTGCAGCTCTCCCTAACGTGACATTTCCCTTTAAGCTCTGCTCACACAGGACTGAAGACCTCCGTGGTGTTGGCACCACATAGAATACCCGAACCTGCGATGCTCAGCTGGTCTCCATCTCTTACCCAGCAGTTCAGCCCACCCTGTCACAATCCAAGGATGTTTGCCAGACACAGGTCCAAAGCCCCCTCCGCAGGTGCTGAGTCTGCATTCTCGCCCATGCCTATGGTTCTAGAGGCACAGGGGCCCTGCAACGCTCCCTACCAGTGATGAATAAGAAATGTCTGGGGGACTAAGACATCAGACTGAAGAAGGGTGAGGAACATTGAGGAACGGTGGATGTTCGCTACAGATCTCAGGGAGCCTGAGGCAGGAGGGAGATTATGCCCTTGGATCCGCTGCCCTCAATAACCACTGCAGGGCCTTGAGAGGAGAGAAGATAAGGAGAACAAGCCAAAGGGGCCCGTCCCGGCGAAGGCTACACAACTGCCAGCCCGGTGATAACATGGCATTCGACCCCCTTCCTGAGAATGGCTGCCAGCTTCCCGGGCCCATGGCTGTGTTGACTCTGGAAAGAGGGAGGATGCTATCAGCTCACAAGGTCTGAGCCTCAAGACCCGAGCAGAGCGGCCGGCCGATAAGCTAAGTGGGGCCTGTAACTGCTCCAGCACAGGTGCACGACCCACCCTGTTTTCCTCTGGCACGAGCACTGCTGGCTTGTCAAAGACTGCCCTGCTCTCAGGCCTGCTGCCCTGGGCAGGTGGTGGGAGTGAGATGGCAAGCTTGTACCCTCACACTAGAGCTGTCGCCCTTTAGGTGGACATCCTTTAGCATCGTGGTTCTTTATCCTTTGGGGTGGAAGGGGACCCTTTGAGAATCTGATGAAAAGACAGCACCCTCTCCTCTAAAAAAAAAAAAATGTAACATCTAGTGTGCAGTTGGGCGTTTGGATTTTAAAAGTTGGCAAAAGGCCTTTGATTCCCTGGAGGAAGAGGAGTGGGAATTGGGAGAAATGTTACCTGAGGTTCGACACTGAGGAGGAGAGAAAGGCAGGGTGCATGATCTCTCTAAGAGTGCCCAGGGAATGAAGAAAGGACACCACGTCCCTGAACAATAGACTCAGGCATTAGGAGAGCATTTTCAGGTGGTCCTGGCTTGATCACCCAGCTGGGGAAGATCACGGTGGGGGTTCAGTAAGATTATTCACAAGAAGCTTTGGGAATAACATGGAAGTATCTTCTTACCTCTTTTCTCTGTGGGTTTTAGTAAATAATTTTAAAGCACCATGATGGAATCTGTGCATGGCCGTCAGGATGCCGGACAACTTTCAAAGACGGCTGCTGTGACAGACACTGAGGTGGCATTTGTTGGGAGTGCATTTCTCCAGCTTCTCTAGGTATTCTGATATCTTGATTCCCACAGACTTAAGTCCAAGTCAGCTATTCCCAAGCAGTGGAGGTAGATAGGGTATCAGTACCTTGTCAAGAATAAAAGCCCTTGGTGAGCTAATAACTGGATTGACTCATTTCCCCAGGCAGGTAGCTTCATGAATGAGAGCCCAGCAACCTGTCGCCAAGGTTGGTTGGGCAGGAAAAAATGCATCCAGTCTCTGCAGCATCTGTCCTGGGAAGGGCCAGCCCTCTTGAGCTCTGAGTGTGTTTTTTTCATGTTGGTTATATCAGGTTCCTTGAGAGGCAAAAGTGAAAGGCAACTCTTGGGTCCTGGCTTCCTTGAGGAGGCTGGGGTGCCACTCCGTCCATCCAGACTTCAAATGGACCCACACTGATGTACATCTGCTCTGTTTCACTGGCACTGTTTCATTTCTGTCTCACAACAATCCTCTAAAACCAATACGACCCTACACAATTTTCATAGAAGATGAAATGCTTGTTTTCCTGGCATCTGGTTCAGTAATGAAAATGTGTTTTGAATGGAGGTGAGCAAACAGGGCTATCAGGAGAGCATCCAGTCCAATGGGCGGCAGGTGTGCAAACAATGACAACAGGTCTTCTTTCTTGGGAAGAAAGGTGCATGTGGATCTGGGGCCTCTGAGCAGGGGTGGCAAGATGGGATTTGCTATGTAAGAGATACGCTTGGACAAGTTCCCATGAGAAACATGGGGAGCTCCTCCTTTGTGAACGGAAGCCTCTCCCAAAACGTTTGATAATTACTGCTTTAGCAAAAGAAATGCTTTTTCCTTGAAAAACAAAAGCTCAGGCACAGTTGGGTTTCTCTCTCACTATTGCTCCTTGCATAGCTCCAACTACCATATTAATTTTTTTAACTCATACAGATTTATCTTAACCATATTAATTTTCATTACTAGCCAAAATGTCTTCTACTTCACAGAGAAAAATGGTGGGTAGAGAAGTGAGAACTGTTTATCTTAGACAAAGATTTCAGCAGAATAGCAAAGTTCATAACCAACCTTCTATAGCCACACACATTCCTTTTACGCCTTCTGAAAGTTCAAAAATGAGCAGTCATGCATCTGATCCCAAGATACAGCCTCTCTAAAGCACAACAAATAAAAAGCAATTGCATATAAACCTAAAATTATGTTGCATAATCAATGTTTTGTCATTTGATAGTATTTAGAGGTCATCTAACTATACAGTGATTATCCATTAACTCAACTTAATATCAGCCCCAAATTCTAAGTCATCTAAACACCTAGAAAAGTATCTTCCAGCTACAAAATATAATTGCTGTTGAAAGAAAAAGTTTGTCACCATAACGAATGAATTTAGTTGAGCACAAATTTCCTGGTTTAATGATCCTCAACATTATGTAACATTAAGTAATCGCTTATTTGATGAGTAAGCTTGTACGAGTTTAGGAAAGACAAACCAAATAAAATGCATGCTTGTGTTATATACATCGATAAATAGGAGAAGTAACGTGGCAATTTTTTAATCAAAATTATTATTAATAATATTTTGAGACAGAGTCTTGCTCTGTTACACAGGCTGGAGTGCAGTGGCACGACCTCAGCTCACTGCAACCTCCGCCTCCTGGGTTCAAGTGATTCTCCTGCCTCAGCCTCCCGAGTAACTGGGATTACAGGTGCGCACCACCACGCCTGGCTAATTTTTGTATTTGTAATAGATACAGGGTTTCACCATGTTGGCCAGGCTGGTCTCCAACTCCTGACCTCAGATGATCCACCCGCCTTGGCCTCCCAAAGTGCTGGGATTACAGGCGTTAGCCCCCACACAGCCTGAATCAAAATTATTAAACTAGTCTAGTTTGCCAAAGATTAATCTTAATTATGTGAACTTGGTTTCTGAATTGGTATTAGAAATTCAATTTTCTTATTTTCTGGGAATTTTAGAAATATTCAGTTTATATGAGCAATTGCTGAGTTGTATGGTAGTTGCATGTTTTGTCTTTTAAGCAACTGCCAAATTGTATGCCAAAGTGGCTGTGGTATTAATATTTTACCTTTTTGCCAGCAGTGTATAAATTATCCAGGTTCTATGCATCCTCACTAGCATTTGGGACTGTCATTTTTTTTTTTATTTTAGTGATTCTGATAGGTATATAATGATATTAAATGTGGCTTTAATTTGCATTTTCCTAATGGGTAATGATGTTGAATATTCTCCCTGTACTTATTTGCGATCTGTATATCTTCTTTGGTGAAGTCACTTCTTCATGTCTTTTGCTTGCTTTCAATTTGAATTTTTTGAGATTTTTTACTATTGAGTTTTGAGAGTTCTTTATCTTTCCTAGATGTTAGTCCTTTGGCAGGTATGTGATTTGCAAATATTTTCTTCCAATCTGTAGCTTATCTTTTCATCTTCATAACAGAGTCACTTGCAAAGTAAAAGTTTTTAATTTTGAAAAAGTACAATGTATCATTTTAGAGGTCATACTTTTAGTGTCAAATCTAAGAACACTTTTCATAGCCATAGTTCCTGAAGATTTTCTCCAATTTTTTTCTAAAAGTTTTAGTTTCATGTTTCAAGTTCATAATCCATTATGAATTGACTTTTGCATAAAGTATGAGACTTAAAGGTTTGTTTTTGTTTTATTTATTTATTTATTGCCTGTGGATGTCCAATTGCTCCCAGCACCATTTGTTGAAAAGGCTACTTTTCTCCATCAGATAGCCTTTGCATCCTTGTAAAAAATGATTTGAGAATATACGTAGGAGTGTGTTTCTATGTTGCCTATTCTGTTCCTTGGATCTATGTGTCTATCTCTCTGCCAATAGCACACAATCTTGGTTACTGTAGCTACAGAGTAAGTCTTGAAATCAAATAGACCACTTTGTCCTACTTCATTCTTCTTTTTCAAAACTGTTTCAGCTATTCTAATTTCTTCCTGTGCCTTTCCGTATAATTTTAGAATAATCTTGACTTTATCTTCAAAATAACTTGCTGAAATTTTAATAGGAATTGTGTTAAATCTGCTTATCAATTTGGAGAGAATTGACACTTATAGCAAACCAGAAATAGAAGGCACCTTCCTGAATCTAATCAACAATAACTATGAAAAGCCTATGGCAAATATTATACTTAATAGTGATAGATTGAAAGACTTCCTCATAAGATAGAAACACGTAAATATGCTTGTGAATATCTCTTCCATTCCACCACATGTTCAAAGTCCTACCCAGTACCAAAATGCAAGATAGAAAAACAAAAGGCATAAGGATTGGAAAGGAAGAAATAAAACTGTCAAGATTCACAAGTAATATGTTTTGTAAAAAATCCAAATGAATCTATAAATAAATGATAAAAAGGAATTGTTTTTTCTAAGTAATTTAGAAAGACCAATTACAAAAGTCAACTCTAGTCCCATTAAAAAAGAGGGAAAAAAAGTAAAAATGTTTAGGGATACTTTTTAAATTGCTTTGAAAAAAAACTGAATACTTAGGAATAAATCTAACAAGAGATGTAGAAGTACTCTCTGTACAGAAAGCAAGAAAATATTATTGAGAAAAATTCCAGAAAACCTAAAGAAATTAAGAGACATGCCTTATTTCTGAATTTAAAGGTTCAGTTGTAAGGATGTCACTTCTCCCCAAATTGGTCTATAGCTCTAATGCAATCCCAATAAAACTTCCAGAAGATATTTTGAGGTAACTGACCAGATGATTTTGAAAATCTTGTGTCAATTCAAAGGGCCAAGATTAGCCAGGACACTTTTAAAAAACAAAAGCAAGGTCGGACGATTGGTCTACCCGATCTCAAGACGTTTGATAAAGCTAAAGTAGTTAAGATGGCATTAGTGCAAGAAGAGACAGACTAATAAAACAATGCAGAGTCAAGGACCAGATCCACACTTACCCACTTGATTTATGATCACGGTGACACTGCAGCAGAGTGGGGAGTGCGTGGACTCTTCAGTCACTGGTGCCATGAATATGGTTCTATATCTACTGGGTCTAATGGGTATCCATAGAGAACCAAAAGTCAACCTGAAGTTCTGTCTCACACCATACTCACATCAATTCCAGGTAGATTGCAAGTCTAAATCTGAAAGGTGAAACAACAAAGTATTTAATAGACAACAGAAATCATCTATATGATTGAGGATAAATGAAGATTTCTCAAACAAGCCACAACAAGCCCTAACCACAAAGGGAAAGTGATAAATTAGACTTCGTTAAACTTAAGAATTTCTGCTAATCAAAAGGTTTCACTGAGAGTAAAAAGTCAATCTGTGCAGTAAGAGAAGACATTTGTAATACATATATCTAACGATGATCTTACATTTAGAATATCTAAATAGTTCCTAAAAATGATAAGAAAAACATAGATAACTCAATAAAAAAGTAGGCAATGCCTGTAATCCCAGCACTTTGGGAGGCCAAGGCAGGCAGATCACTTGAGGTTCGGAGTTCCAGACCAGCCTGGCCAACGTGGTGAAACCCCATCTTTACTAAAAATACAAAAAAAGTTAGTCAGGCATGGTGGCATATGTCTGTAATCCCAGCTACTCAGGAGGCTGAGGCAGGAGGATCGCTTGAGCCCGGGAGGCAGAGGTTGCAGTGAGCCGAGATCACACCACTGCACTCCAGCCTGGGTGACAGACCAAGACTCTGTCTCAAAAAAAAAAAAAAAAAAAAAAAAAAAGGAGGCAAATCCTTGAACAGACATTTTACTGAAAAAAGCATATCCGCAAATCAAAACCGCAATGAGATACCATCCCACACCAATCAGAATGGCAATTATTAAAAAGTCAAAAAATAACAGGTGCTGACGAGGTTGCAGAGAAAAAGAAACGCTCATGCAATGTTAGTGGGAGTATAAATTAGTTCAACCATTGTGAAAGACAGTGTGGCGATTCCTCAAATATCTACAGAACGACCATTCAACCCAGCAATCCCATTACTGGGTATATAACCAAAGGAATATAAATTGTTCTATCATAAAGACACATGCATCTGAGTGTTCATTGCAGCACTATTCACAATAGCAAAGACATGGAATCAACCCAAATGCCCACCAATGGTGCACTGGATAAAGAAGATGTGGTACATACACACAGTGGAATACTATGTCACCATAAAAAAGAACAAAGTCATGTCCTCTGCAAGAACATGGATGGAGCTGGAGGCCATTATCCTTAGCAAACTAACACAGGAACAGAAAACCAAATACCGCATGTTCTTACTTATAAGTGGGAGCTAAAAGATATGAACACATGGACACATAGAGGGGAGCACTACACAGTGGGGTCTATTGGAGAGTGAAGCATGGGGGAGGGAGAAGTTCAGAAAAAAGAACTAATAGGTACTAGGCTTAATACCTGAGTGATGAAATAATCTGTACAACAAACCCCCATGACACAAGTTTACCTATGCAACAAACCTGCACATGTACCTCTGAACTTAAAAAGTTAAAAAAAAAAAGAAAGAAAAAAGCATATCCCAAAATGGTTCACAAATGTATGAAAAAGTGTTCCACTGTATCAGGGATATAAAAAATTAAAAACACAATGCAATATCCATACATCTCTCCCCACCCCCGAATGACTAAAATGAAAAAGAAAGGAAAACATGAAGTGTTAGCAAGAATGTGAAACCACTGGATCTCTCAAACTCTGCTGATGGGAATGTAAATTCACACAACAACGCTGGAAATCAGCGTGCCTGTGTCTACTAATGCTCTATATACACACACATTCCCTATGTCCCAGCAATTCTACACACTGGTATATACCCATATAAATGCATGTGTGTATTAAAAGACATGTGCAAAGATGGTCATAGCATTATTATTCATAATGGCCCCAAACTAGGAAACTCAAATGCCCATTTAAAGGCAAATGAATTTTGATATATCCTTACAATGCAATATTATCTGACAATAAAATAAAAGTATATTATATTGAGCAAGAGAAGCCATACACAAACTGGTACATACTGTACGATTCCATTTATGTGACTCTCAAAAACAGGCAAAACTAATTCATGATGTTAAGTCCCAAAATGGTGGTTTACCTTTGGAGGCAGGGGCAGAAGACAAACTTTTGCAATGTTGGAAATACTCTATATCTTGATCTGGATGGTGGTTGCATGTGATATATGTATGTAAAAATGTATTAAGCACCAAGAAATCATTGATAAGCTGGACTTTATTAAAATTAAAAATTTCTGTTCTGTGAAAGACAATGTCAAGAGAATGAGAAGACAAGCCATACACTCAGAGAAAATACTGGCTAAAGGATCTTTGATAAAGAACTGTTATTCAAAATGTACAATGAACTCTTAAAAATCACCAATTTGAAAACACAATTCGATTTAAAAATGGGCAAAAAACCTGAATGACATTACAACAAAAATATACACAACAAAATGTATACTTAGGGAACTGACAATTAATTTTTATTTTTTTAGACAGAGTGGAGTGCAGTGTTCACTTCACCATCCAGGCTGGAGTGCAGTGTTGCCATCTCGGTTCACTGCAAGCTTTGCCTCCCAGGTTCAAGAGATTCTCCAGCCTCATCCGCCCAAGTAGCTGGGATTACAGGTGCCCGCTACCACACCTGGCTAATTTTTGTATTTTTAATAGGTATGGGTTTCACCATGTTGGCCAGGCTGCTCTCAAACTCCTGACCTCAGGTGATCCACTTGTCTTGGCCTCCCAAAGTGCTGGGATTACAGGCATGAGCCACCATGCCTGGCTCAGGAACTGAAAATGAAAGCAACAATGAGGTACCACTACACCCCTATTAGCATGGCCAAAACCCAGCACGGTGGTAACATCAAATGCTGGCAAGAATGTAGAACAACAGGACCTCTCATTCATTGCTGGTAGGAATGCAAAATGGTACAACCACTTTGGAAAAGAGTTTGGCAATTTCTTAGAAAACTAAACATACTCTTATACCACCCAGCAATCACCCAGCAATTATGTGCATTGGTATTTACCCAAGTGATTCGAAAACTTATGTCCACACAAAAACCTGCACACAGATGTTTATAGCAGCTTTATTCATAATTACCCAAACTCAGAAACAACCAAGATGTCACTTCCATAGGTGAATGGATAAACAGTGGTGCATCCAGACAAGGGAATAATATTCAACATTAAAAGAAAGTGAGTTATCAAGCCATGAAAAGACATGGAGGGACCTTCAATGCATATTACTAAGTGAAAGAATCCAATCGAAAAGGGCTAAATAATGTAGGATTCCACCTATATAACATCTGGAAGAGGCAAAAACATGCAGAGGATGTTAGGGCAGTGAAACTCCTCTATGTGATACTGTAGTGGTGGATACAGGTCATAATACATTTGTCAAAACCCATTCATCAAGAGTGAAGCTAATGTAAACTATGGATTTTGAGTGATAATGGTGAGTCAATGTAGGTTCATGAGTTGTAAAAAATATACCACTCTGGTGCCTGGTGCTGGTTTTAGGGGAGATTGTGCATGTGGGAAGGCAAGGGGTATATGGGAATTCTCTATACTTTCCACTTTATATTGCTGTGAACCTAAAATTGCTTTAAAAAAATAAGGTCTATTAAAGTGACAAAAAAATTAAGCTCCAAAAAACATTTAACAAAACTCTGCCCATAAGATTTGTGCACTCGTGTGCATTGTATCACAATGGAAATTTAACAAAGAAGTAAAAACCACAGTGAGATCCTACCACCCACTCACTTGATTGGCTAAAACCAAAGTCTCTAGCAATACATAATATTGGCAAAGACATGGAGCCCTGATGTCCCACTTATGAAGAATTGGTGTTTTGTTTTTTTGTTTGTTTGTTTGTTTTTTGGAGATGGAGGTCTCACCATGTTGCTCAGGTGGATTGCAGTGACTATTTATAGGTAAAATCCCACTATATTAGTTTGTTTTCAGACTATTATAAAGACATACCCCAAACAGAGTAATTTATAAAGAAAAGAGGTTTAATTGACTTATAGTTCCTCATGGCTGGGGAGGCCTCAGGAAATTTACAATCACGGCGAAGGCAAAAGAGAAGCAAATACCTTCTTCACTAGGCAGCAGGAGACAGCAGGAGATTGAAGGACTGCCAAACACTTATGAAACCATTAGATCTCATGAGAACTCACTACCACGAGAATAGCAGGAGGAAGCCACCCTCATGATCCAATCACTTCCTACCATGTCCCTCCCTTGACAAGTGGGGATTACATTTCGAGATGAGATTTGGGTGCAGACACAGAACCAAACAATATCACTCACTGTTGATCAGCATGGGAGTTTTGATCTGCTCTGTTTTCAACTTGGGCTGGTCCACCCACTTTAGGCAACCTGTTGGTCCCTCATTCCCGGAAGGTCACCATATTGGTGCCAAACTTAGTGTGGACACCCTATCGGCATAGTACACTGTAGCCCTGAATTCCTGGACTCAAGCGATCCTCATGCCTCAGCTTCCCAAGTAGCTGAGACTACAGGCAGGCACCTCCACACATGGCTGAAGAACTGTTAAGTAGGATATACTAAAGCTGAACTTATGCTACTACCCAGCGTATGCTACAGACCCTAGCTCTATACCCAGCAGAAATGCAAATGTATTCACCAAAAGATGAGTAAAAGAAGGCTCATAGCACTCCTATTCATAACAGCCCCAAACTGGGAAGAACTCAAATGTCCATCAAAGTTAAAATGCATTTTCTAAAATGTTGGTTTCATCGTATACTGGAATACTATACAGCAGTAAAAATGAGCAAACTATGACTGAACAGATCACATGAATGGATCTCACAAATATAATGTTGAGCAAAAGAAGCCACATACCAAAAAAGGACTATAATTTATCTATAATTCCAAAATAACAAAATTTACCTATAGTGACAGAAGTGAGGATAGTAGTTATCTCTGAGGCAGGGTTGGTAATGATGAGGCGGGGCATTAGAGTGCTGGGAGCTGACATATTCTGTATTCTTGATCCTGGGTAGCAGTTACGCAGATGCAGGTATCTATAAAAGTGCATTGATCTGTACACATAAGATGGACATATTATATGAGGTTTTACTTTAATAAAATTGTGGAAGAATATTGGGATCTAGTAAAATTCCATATGCATTTGCCCTCACTGGAGTCAATAACAGCGTCTGGCACACAGGTGAATACAATGAAGAAAGGGAAACAAGATTTTAAATGTGCATTCATATTTTTAAGTAAAAAGGGGAAAAATAAAATCAGTGTTTTAAAATTTCTATTGCAGATAAGAGAGGTACAGGTGTTATATTTTTTAAAATCATGAGGTCATTCTCAGTTCCTTAATATTTGCTGTGAAAAGTAATAGCAAAACAGAAGCATTTACTAAAGTAGATAGTCTCAGATTTACTATGGATCAACTTACCATTTTGGAAGCTGTACTTCGAGTACCCATAAGCCGTTATGTTTTTCACTTTTCATACAGTGTTCAATACATTACATGAGATTGTCAACATTTTAGTATAACACAGGCTTTGTGTTAGATGATTTTGTCCAACTGTACACCAATGTAAGTGTTCTGAGCATGTTTAAGGTGGACTGAGCTAGGATATTTGGTACATTAGGTATATTCAATGCATTTTTTATTTAATATTTACACAATATTCCCACCTTACGATACGTTTATCGGAAGGTAATCCCATCATAAGTCAAAGAACAGATGTTAAAATATAAAATAAAGAATACGGTTGGCACAAAGGAGTCTTCCCAGGAAATTGTAAACTGTCTGACCTGAACAGAAGCATTGGAAAGAGTTTCCACATAACTATATGAAAAACCTCATGGCCAAAATTTGATATTAACAGGGATAATTTTTGAGTCTTTTATTAAAAGATTCTTGAAATTTTTTCACTTCCTAAATACTTTTGATTCCTAAAAATCACTTCTCCCCCTCACACAGACTCCCATCTGTTTCAAGACCGAATAAATATGTCAGCACAGCAGTTCGTTTTCAGAATTTGGTGAACATTACAAAATTAGTTTCAATGCATATGGCAGATATTTAGCAAATGTTTGGGGTTTTTTCCCTCCAAAAACAATTATATGCCAACAAGGAAACTAGAAATTTTCAAACTGCTCCAGTATAATGTTCTTCCTATTTGACAGAATGGAAATCCTGATTTTAGCCATTAGACAAGTATGTTCCTCACCAAAACCACCAAATAATTTTGTTTTAATATGGATGTGCTGAATAATTTTAAGGAAAGTCATTTTCATTTTCATTTTTATGTTTTTGAGACGGGGTCTCGCTTTGTCACCCAGGCTAGAGTGTAGTGGCACAATCTTGGCTCACTGCATCCTCGACTTCCCGGGCTCAAGCGATCATCCTACCTCAGCCTCCTGAGTAACTGGGACTACAGGTGCGCATATCACCATGCTCAGCTAATTTTTGTATTTTTAGTAGAGATGGGGTTTTCCCATGTTCCCCAGGATGGTCTTGAACTCCTGGACTCAAGTGATCTGCCCACCATGGCCTCCCAAAGGGCTGGGATTAGAAGCAGGAAAGTCATTTTTAAATGAAGGTATTTTGACAACCGTTTATTTAAAGGGAAGAAGAAAATGGAACTATCAGGTGATCTTGCATTAGAACCTTAACATCGCGCTGGTAAAGAGGGAATGCTGTGATGTCCGCCTCTAACGAGCAAAACTGGGCAAGCCAAAACAGTGGCGGGGAGAGGAGGTTTTGTGGGAATGATCAGTTGTGAATTCACAGCAGTTTGCTTTGTTATCATGTTTAATAATTTACATGTTACAGCTGTTTCTTCAAATGTTCCCAATGTTCTATACTTTTTATTGAAAATAATTCAGTATGGGCAGAATTACCTGATTAAAATCACAGTTTGCAGGGTGGGGAGGAAGTAGTCTGTGAAGCTGGACTCTCATCGTCTCTTGCAGATGAGGAAATGAAAAGTCAAGACAAGAAGTGATTCTGTTAAGATTACACAATTTGGGGCAAAATGACAGCCAGAGTAATTTCTCTCCCAGGTGCAAAGCTTTCCCCCCTAATCAAACATCCCTCTAAAATCAGATTTACACACTTTTATACTTGTTTGGGAGAAATACAGATTTTCAGTGCGCCCAGTAGGCTCACGTTCAGAGATGCCAGTGTCATCAGAGAAAGAAGGAAGATAACATTCTTGGTATTTGCTGGGCTTCGAGTCTACTTGTGGGCTCCATGGGTCATGATTCATGGAAAACTGAACTTAGAGATCCAGGAATAAGACAAATGCTGGCTGCAGGCTTTAGTGGTACTGACAGCTGAGAGCTGCCTAGAAGAAAAAGCCAACAGCACAAAGTTCTAGATACATAAGTGAGTGCTTATAAACAGCATCTGCACTTCTAATTTTTAATTTTTGTGTGTGTATGTGAATGTTTAACATGAAAGAATTTTCTTAAGTTCAAGGGTACATGTGCAGGTTTATTATACAGGTAAACTACTCATGTCATGGGAGTTTGTTGTACGGATTATTTCAGCACCCAGATATTAAGCCTAGTACCTACCAGTTATTTTTCCTGATCCTCTCCCTCCTTCTACCCTCCACCGTCCAAAAGGCCCCAGTGTGTGTTGTTCCCCTCTGTGTGTCCACGTGTTCTCATCTTTTAGCTCCCACTTATAAGCGAGAACATGCAGTATTTGGTTTCCTGTTTCTGTGTTAGTTTGTTAAGTATACTGGCCTCCAGCTCCATCCGTGTTCCTGCAAAGAACGTGGTCTTGTTCTTTTTATGGCACCATAGCATTCCATTGTGTATATGTACCACATTTTCTTTATTCAATCTGTCATTGATGGGCATTTAGGTTGATTCCATGTCTTTGCTATTGTGAATAGTGCTGCAATGAATATACACATGCCTGTGTCTTTATGATAGAACGTTTTCTATTCCTTTGGGTATATATGCAGTAGTGGGATTGTAAATGGTAGTTCTGTTTTTAGGTTTTTCAGGAATCACCACACTGCTTTCAATGATGGTTGAACTAATTTACACTCCCACCGACAATGTATAAGGCTTCTTTTTTCTCCACAACCTCACCAGCATCTATTGTTTTTTTAATTTTAGTAATATCCATTCTGATTGTTGTGAGATGGTATCTCATTGTCGTTTTAATTTGCATTTCTCTAATGATCAATGATGTTGAGCTTTTTTCATATGATTTGCCACATGTATACCTTCTTTTGAAAAGTGTCTGTTCATGTCTTTTGCCCACTTTTTAACGGAGTTGTGTTTTTCTTGTAAATTTAAGTTACTTATAGACGTTGGATATTAGACCTTTGTCATGTGCACAGTTTGCAAAAACTTCTCCCATTATGTAGGTTGTCTGTTTACTTTGTGGATCATTTCTTTTGCTGTGCAGAAGCTCTTTAGTTTATTTAGATCCCATTTGTCAATGATTGCTTTTGTTGCAATTGCTTTTGGCATCTTCGTCATGAAATCTGCCTGTTCCTGTGTCTCCAGAATGGTATTGCCTAGGTTGTCTTCCAGGTTTTTTATAGTTTTGGGTTTTAAAGTCTTTCATCCATCTCGTGTTAATTTTCATATATGGTGTAAGCAAGGGGTCCAGTTTCAATCTTGTGCATGTGACTGGCCAGTTATGCCAGCACCATTTATTGAATAGGGAGTCATTTCCCATTGCTTGTTTTTGTCAGCTTCATCAAAGATCAGATAGTTGTAGGTGTGTGGCCTTATTTTGGGGCTCTCTATTGTGTTCCATGGTCTGTGTGTCTGTTTTTGTACTAGTACCATGCTGTTTTGGTTACTGTGGTATAGTTTGAAGCTAGCGTGATGCCTCCAGTTTTGTTCTTTTTGCTTAGGATTGCGTTGGCTATCGGGACTCCTTTTTGGTTCCACATGAATTTTAAAATAGTTTTTTCTATTTCTGTGAAGTATGTCATTGCTAGTTTGATGGGAATATCATTGAATCTATCAATTGCTTTGGGCAGTATGGCCATTTTCATGATATTGAGTCTTCCTATCCATGCACACGGAATGTTTTTCCATTTGTTTGTGTCATCTCTGATTTCTTTGAGCACTGTTTTGTAGTTCTCTTTGTAGAGATCTTTCACCTTCCTGGTTAGCTGTATTCCTAGGTATTCTTTTTGTGGCAATTGTGAACGGGATTGCATTTCTGATTTGGTTCTTGGCTTCACTATTGTTGGTGTACAAGAATGCTGGTCATTTTTGTACATTGATTTTGTAGGCTGAGACTTTGCTGAAGTTGTTTATCAGTTTAAGGGGCTTTTGGGTAGAGACTGTAGAGTTTTCAAGGTATAGGATTATGTCATCTGCAAACAGGGATAGTTTAACTTCCTCTCTTCCTATTCGGATGTGCTTTATTTTTTTTCTCTTGCCTGATTGCCCTGGTCAGGACATCCAATACTATGTAAAGTAGGAGTGGTGAGAGATGGCATCCTTATCTTATGCCAGTTTTCAACGGGAATGCTTCCAGCTTTTGCCCATTCAGTATGATGTTGGCTGTGGGTTTGTCATAGATGGCTTTTATTTTGAGGTATGTTCCTTCAATACCTAGTTGATTGAAAGTTTTTAACATAGTGTTGAATTTTACTGAAAGCCTTTTCTTAATCTGTTGAAATAATCATGTGGTTTTTGTCTTTAGATCCATTTATGTGGTGAGTCACATTCATTGATTTGCATATGTTGAACCAACCTTGCATCCCAGGGATAAAGCCTACTTGATCATGGTGGATTAGCTTTTTGATGTGTTGCTCGATTCAGTTTGCCAATATTCTGTTGAGGATTTTTGCATCAATGTTCATCAGGGATATTAGTCTGAAGCTTTCTTTTTTTATGTGTGTCTCTGCCACGTTTTGGTATCAGGATGATGCTGGCCTCATAGAATGAGTTGGGAGGAGTTTGGAACACTTTCAGTAGGAATGGTACCAGCTCTTCTTTGTATACCTGGCAGAATTTGGCTGTGAGTCTTTCTGATCTTGAGATTCTTTGGTTGGTATGCTATTTATTAATGCCTAAATTTTGAAGCTCATTAATAGTCTGTTCAGGGATTCAATTTCTTTGTGGCTTAGTCTTGGGAGGGTGTGTGTGTCCAGGGATTTATCTATTTCTTCCGGATGTTCTAGTTTATGAGCACCTGCACTTTTAAAATTATGCTGGGAACATAGGCTTCCATCACTTTTCCATCTTTCACTAGCATCCTACATGTTTAGTCGTCATCAGTTCAACACACTTTATGATTTTCTGCCAAGATTGACAAATACTTTGCTGTGCTATTATCTTGATAATGGTAGATTATTCTTTCACATAGTGAACGTTTCAACATAAAAAAATTCAAAAGGATTACTTTGTCTTATTAATTTGGAATGGAACATAAACTATGAGTATCAGTAATTTAAACCGTGGCAATAATGAAGTAAGTACCCAGAAATTGATAGGTCGGTCCACTTCTAAATCAGCTGCTCCCAATTGAAAACAAGAAATGTTTATCCCACGTAGCTCTTTTCATAAAAACATCTCGGCAAGTTATCTCATAATTTTTTTTTTTTTTGAGACAAAGTCTCGCTCTGTCGCCCAGGCTGGAGTTCAGTGGCACGATCTCAGTTCATTGCAACCTCAGCCTCCCAGATTCAAGCTATTCTTATACCTCAGCCTCCTGAATAGCTAGGATTACAGGCACGCACCATCACACCCAGCTAATTTTTGTATGTTTTAGCCAATAAAGGCTTACAGCTTACATTTGCGATGAAGTTATTTGTAGCATTGTTTGCAATAGTGAAAGAGGGATGAGTCTAATTGTCCAAAATGAGGGAATCAGTTAACTATGCTTTTGTGCATCCGTACAATAAAAAGTGATGCAGCTTTTAAAATGAATGAGGTAGATCCCAAAAAACTGATGTTGAAAAGTCTCCTAGGTTGTCAAGTGAAAAAGGAATGTACATAATATTCATGCTTTAGAAAAATAAGGGAAATACACACACATACACACACACACACATAAATAGGTATATATGTAGCTGAATGTGCAAATCTGCACCCAGTCATGGTTGCCTCTGGAGAGGGCAGCTGAAGGACAGACACACTTTTCACTGTATTTACCCATTTGTGCTGCCTGAATTTTACCATGTAAAATTCTTACATTTAAAAAAATTAATTAAAAACTTAAAAAGAAAGTAGGTAGATACTTAAAATGGGACCTCAACCTCTCAGGTTGTTAATTTCAGATAATACTGAAAAAGTACTGGCCATGCACGGTGAATCACGTCTGTAATTCCAGCACATTGGGAGGCCGAGGCAGATGGATCACCTGAGGCCAGGAGTTCAAGACCAGCCTGGCCAACATGGCGAAACCCTGTCTCTAGTAAAAATACAAAAATTAGTTGGGTGTGGTGGTGTGTGCCTGTAATCCCAGCTACTCTGGAGGCTGAGGCAGGAGAATCGCTTGAACCTGGGAGGCAGAGGTTGCAGTGAGCCAAGATTGCACCATTACATTCCAGCCTGGGTGACAGAGCAAGACCCTGTCCTGGCGGGGGGAGGGGAGGGAAAAGGACTATGCAGCATAAATTTTTCTTGAAGATTTTTGGTTTCATCTTGACACATAATCTGAGATCTAGACGCCTTGGTAGATGAGCACTGTATCTTTAACAAAATATTCTAGAAACAACAAGTCTTTCTTCCTTTTATAACTCAGAAGACGGTGGTGTGATCAAGAGAGTGGGGAGCCCTGCCCCGCCTACCTACTCACGGTCCCTTCCAGCCCTCTGCAGCAGCCTCCGGTGCTGCAGCTCCACTAATGGGACACGAAAGCATCGCCTAACATTTTATGGAACAAAAAGGATGGATCGCATCCTAGGAACCACACAGGACCTAACCCCCCATGGGACAATCTGCTCTTCCCAACCGTTGTCTCCTGGCAGCTCATATCCCATCTCCTCTTTTCTCCCATGAGGCCTGGCACTTTGCTGCCAACCTTAGCAACTCCTTTAGTGCCCACCACATCTGCTAACGCCCCCCTCCCCAGCCATGCGAAAGGAAGGTGTGAGCCCTGCAGTGACCATCTACTGCTGAGCTTTCCTGGGATCGTTTCAGCCCTCGAGGTAGCAGTCTGAGCAGGGCGGGGACTGCCCTGGCACACTAGTGGTTGCAAATGCAACCACATCTCACCCTCTGCTAAGACTCACATTTTCTTCCAGATTTTTACGTATTTGAAATCAGGATTATCCTACAACTTCTTTTGTACAGGTTGTGATTGTAATAGTGCTAGCATTGCCTATTGGTGACATAGGCACCTTCCAAACACAGCACTGAACCCTGCGCAGTGGGTGTCAGAGGCCAGGAGAAACATTCAGCCATCATTGTAACTCCTAGGAACCAAAGAGTTTAAGGTTTTGGGCAAACCAAATAGAGTTAGCACATTCCTAAAGCAGGTGTCAAAAGTAGGCGAGATTGGCGTAACTATAAAGCTGGTTTACAGTGCCAGTGACTTTTAGGTTTTATGAATTCTTTTAAGGAGTGCTCTGACATAAAACTCATACTGGCACAGAGAACAACACTGGGTGGAAAAACCAGAGACACCAACCACTGAGTCAAAAAGTGATTCAGAAAAGCAAAACCCGAAGTTTCAGGAAAACAAACAAACATACATTTCTAGATCCGTTTCTACAGATGCGCAAGTGATAACATCTGCATCTAGCAAAGTCTCAAAGAGCTCCTCAATGGGATACAAAGTAAAAAGTCCAAACAACAAGAAAGCGTTCTGTTTCTTTTTTCTTTTGTTTTTTTCAGAGATAGGGTCTGGCTCTGTTGCCCAGGGTGGAGTGCAATGCTCTGATCATAGTCACTTCAGCCTCTGCCTCCTGGGCTGAAGTTATCCTCCCACCTCAGCCTCCCAACTAGCTGGGACTACAGGCTCACACCATGACACCCAGCCAATTTTTGTAGAGACAGGGTCTCCCTGTGTTGCCCAGGCTGGTCTTGAACTCCTGGACTCAAGCGATCCTCCTCCCTCAGCCTCTCAAAGTGCTGGGATTACAGGCATCAGCCACTGCACTTGGCCATTGTGTCTATTTAAATGCAAGTTTTCTTCCTTTCTTAGAACATAAAAATAATAGTGTGTATTACAAATAACAGCATATTTTAATAACATATTTTTAATGATACATTTTCTAGGTGCCTTGAATATTAAAAAATTGGGAAAGTACAACCTTGGAGGCAGCTACTTGTTCTGGTTCATTCTTTCATACTACAACTTAAATTACAAATTATATTTAAACTTCTTACAGCAATGTAGGTACAGAAGAATTGTACTTACAGCGTAAAGAAAGAACTGGGCAAAATAATTTTTAAATTTTTGACCTTTTAACAAAAGAGAAAAGCTTTTCTTAAGGACTTCAGACAAATGGATCAACAGACAAGGTATCACATATACTCCCAAAATAAGGCAGAGTTATCTCCCGAAACTATCCCCTTAGGGATGCTCACCTTATATTTGAAACATTACACTCTTTCAGGATATACTAAATGCTGTCGGTAACCTGAAAAGAATACAAGTTATTGTTCTGTGGAAACATTATTAGCCTCAAACAACCTTAAGCAATGCTAATATTGTGGCTGGTAGGATAAGTTGTAAAGGAGGCACATTAACAGTCACGGTCTCTAGGATTATAAAGCTACAGTTACAAGTATTTGGTGTCACTGGAAAGAAGCCTGTTAAAAATCGAAAGCAATGCTCTGTGGATTCTGAAAAGCAGCTGCCCTAGTGCTACCTACACACAGGCATACTTGTGGCTTGGGATAAATGTCCACCAACAGCATCATACATAGACCCCGAAACTGCTGCATCCCAAACAACTTAGAAAGAAAAAAGATCATCTGCTCTTAACCTATTAGGGGATGCCAAAGGGGGCACCAAGATCAAATACGAAGTCGGAGTGACATGCCTGAAATGCGAATGTGAAGAGGGAAAGCCCACATGCTGGTTAATAGATTAACAAATCTGAAACACCTGCAACTAATAGTACAGGTGTCTATTTTATCCTCTCATCTACAATCCTAAACTTTATATATGTAAGTTGGCTAAAAAAAAGTTTTCTGGGATCTTCACATTGGAAGGTAAGGGGTGGCCTGTTTAGCTACCTTATAGACAAACATACTAAAGCTATAAAAACAGTGCCATGAAATAATTTTTTTTAAAGTGACTACCCTAAAAAAAAATCATTAAAAAACAAGATTCCTTTCTCACCGGTGATTTTTGGAAGCAATTCACTGATTTAGAGGCAGTTATCATCCGGTTATGTGAGATCTAGGATTTATTCACTCACGGCTCTTGTATTAGAATGTTAAGATTCTCCAGCAAAAAATGAAGTTTATATTCTTCAAACCTTTTAGAAAAATAAAACTTTCAACTGATCCTGTTGCCTCAGCCTCCCAAAAGTGCTGGGATTACAAGTATGAGTCATTGCACCCAGCCACAAAAATAAAACTTTTCAACAAATGTAAACCATACTGAGGTCCATGAATATGTGCCAAGAGGAAGGTGTTGATGGTCGAGAATTTCATCACAAATTAATCCAACTCGTTCCGAAGATAAATTTGACCACATAAAATGAAGAGGCAAGTAGGTGTTTACGCCCTGTGACCCAGTAATTGTACTTCTAGGTTTCAGCAATTAAATAGAATGACATCATTATGATACTCCATTCAACGAGTTATGCAGCTATCTTTAAATGGCAAATGTTAAAACTACATGTAAGTTCTTTGTAACGCATAGAGGACTGGAGAATATTTTAAAACAGCTACCATGTGACATGGCAAAAATTGAAAGTGAGTCTTTTCCAAAACTTTTGACAATATTGTCTTAGCACTACTTTTATAGTAAAAGAAAAGAAAAAGGTTTCACCTTCCACTCCTAGATTGTATAAGCACAGGAGAAAATAAAAGGTATACACTAGTTTTTTTGTGTGTTGTTGTTTGAGATGGTCTCGCTCTGTGGCTCAGGCTGGAGTATGGTGGCGCAAGCATAGCTCATTGCAGCCTCAAACTCCTGGCTACAAGTGATCCCTCAGCTTCAGCCACGTGAGTAGCAGCTACAGGTGTGCATCACCACATCTGGCTTAAATTATTTTTGTAGAGATGAGAGTCTTGCTATGTTGTCCAGGCTGGTCTTGAACTCCTGGCTTTAAGCAATCCTCCTGCCTCAGCCTCCTAAAGTACTGATTACAGGTGTGAGCCACTGCACTGGGTCCCACACTACACTGCTAACATGTTATTGATTGGGTTTGGAGGGGAAGACAACTTTATTATATATCTTTTAAATTGTCTGAACTCTTAATAAACATTTTTTTAAAATGACAGAATTTAAAGCATTTTCTGAACACCCTTACCATAAAATACAATCACAAATTGGTGATTTGGCCTATGTGAATTAAAAAATACTAAATATCTCCCACCTACCATAGTAAGTGTCCAAAGCACTGCAGTAGCTTTCACTAATCCAGTCTGTTCTGGACTCCAGGCCATCTATCTTGCTGGCAGACTTCGGGATCGCTGTTTGTGTAGCAACACAAGGCACATCCCAGCAACGCCACACACAAACATGTGAGCAGAAAACTAATAACCACCGGTAGCCTGTGTAAAACATCAGAACAAAGCCAATCTTTGTATTCTTTCTTTTTTATTTATAAATAAACTATTTTTGTGGTTAAACCCACTTTTCCTTCAAATAGCTTTTTGGGTTATTTCCAAATTAATCATAAAAAACCCTTTCTCCCAACAGAACGGAAAGCATTTTACAGGAAAACATTGATGGGCTCCGGGATCCCAAGATGTGCACCAGATACTGAGTGTTCAGACAGAAGGGACAACTCTAATTCTAGTCTTGGAGTACAAAGATGTCAGTGAATAAGAATCATCCAAAGAAGCTGAAGCATTCATTATTTTTTCACTCTTATTTGAGATCTCCTGGAGGTGTGTTTACAGATTGGGAAAGATTCAAGGAACCTGTTTGGAACAAACCCCTCCAAATGATCCGAATTAAAGGTCATTCTAGGAGCCTGGTAGAAATGCTGGAAGGTTAGGGTCTAGGAGACAAAGGTCACTCGAGTTGCTGCTTCTTATCTTATGAAAGGGAAGAATTGCTTGTTCCTTTAAGATAACTGAGAATAAATTAATCAAACTTAAGAACTGTTTTTTAAACTATAAACAGTAAGCAATCATTTTAAAACTCAATTATCTACCCAAATGTTCACAGCAGCATTATTCATAATAGCTTAAAAAGTGCAAAAAACCTAAATGTCCCTCAATGGATGAATGGATAGAGAAAATAAGAGGATTACTCATACAATGGAATATTACTTAGCAATAAAAAATGAAGTAGTGATACATGCTAAAACATGGATGAACCTTGAAAATGGACTGCTTAATTAAAGAAGCCACTAAAAGACAACCACATTCCACTTACATAAAATGCTCAGAACAGACAAACCCAGGGACAGAAGAAGTACATTAGTGGTTGCCGAGGGTGGGAAGGGCTTATATAATATGATTTCTTTGTGGGGTGATGAAATGGCCTAAAATTAGATTATAGTGATGGTTGCAAAACTTTTTAATACATTGAAAACCACAGAACTATAAATGAGTGAATTTTATGGTATGTAAACTATATCTCAAACTTTCAAAAAAAGAATTCATTACTAACTTTCTGATTTTAAAAAATAAAATCTTCCTGCCTCTCAAGAGCAGCCCAAAAGAAAAATAACAAAAAAATAAAATCTACAAACATAAACCTTATTAAGTGGAGGAAAAAGCTACAGTAATGTAACTGTTAAACAATTCAATTACCTAAAAGTTCTCCAGTTAATAGTCAAATAGATTTTAAATCCAGTTATGCCTTCAAAAAAATCCACGCTTTGACCTAACAGTTCAAAACTCCAAATGCATAACATTTTGTTATTAAGCATGCAACATAAATAAACGCCTTTTAATCCTTGATAGCTGTTATCAAATATATCCATGATTAATCTGTGGAACTGGAAGTTTCACTTCCTAGTGATTTTACATGCAGTACATTCCGAGGTCGCTGGAAAAAAGTTAACCTGTACGTGTCTATACAGTATTGCACCAGAAATATTTTTTTAAATGACCGGATTGAAAGCATTTTCTGAACACACTCATTCCCTTACCATAAAATACAATCAGAAATTGATTTGGCCTAACTTCAACTTAAAAAGTTAACCTGTATGTATCTATACGGTAATTGCATCAGAGGGTTTAGAGTAGCCCTTCTGAAAGCTCAACCCAGGAATATCTTAAAAAAAAAAGATGCAACAAGAAAGTGCTCTTTAGAAAACTGCATTGGTCTAAACTGGTCTGACTAGTGGGCCTCAGCTGGATTCAAATAACCAGTGGCACCTGGCACTTAATGAGTGAATCTAAAGGGATGTAGCCCAGAAACCTGTGTATTAGACAATCTCCCTAGATGCTGATGTTGCCAGGTCAGGGAATTATGTTCCTGGGAATTACATTTAGCTCACTAATAGGAGGGCAATCAAAATAAGAGCAGGGCTACCCTTCGCTGGTTACATCATCTTTGAATTCTTAATTTCCCACAGATCTAGCATCTTACAGAAAAACCAGAAATTATAATTTTTGAAGCAGTGTCAAAATATCTTGAATGTGATAGACATGGGATGAATACACCAAACATGTTTTACTTTCGCTGGGATAGTAAAGAATACTTATAAATGAGGAGTACCTCTTTGAAAGTCCTTAAAATGTAATCTTTGGTCTTTAGTCAAGAGAATAATCGAGTCTTAAGAGGAATATTTAAATTGAATTTAATTAAACACAAATGTCACATACTCCCAGCTTCCCAGAAATAGTCACTTCATCCTAATTAAGGAAATGGAAACTAATGATGACTTAAGCCTTATTCTGTGGAATGTGTTTAGACAAGTTCAGGCAAACAGCAAAAACTGAAAAGTCCCACCACCATACCTACAACATTCTGAAAATGCTTAAATGTTAACTCCATTCTTTGTCTAGCAGTTCAATATGAGCTGCCAAAATTTAGTCCAATGAGTCAGTTCCAAATAATGTAGGCTCCTTGGAGTCTATAACCTTGGAGTTGTGACAGTTCTCCCTTGACAGTGGACCAGGACACAGGAGCTCCTCTTCCAGATTCTTTCAGTTGGCTTGGGCAACTCTGCTTTCAGAACCATGGAAGTTCAACATGGCAGTCACCAACTCTGGAAGATCAAAGTCGTGTTTCCACCCCCAGTCCTTCCGAGCATTGCTGTCATCAAAGTTCATCGGCCAACCATCCGCTAGGAAAAGATACGCAAGACTAGCTTAAGTTATTCAGGTTGTGGATTTGCAAAAAGGTCTTGACCATTGTATATAAAGGTCTACCGTACAAGGTACAAAACAGGAAATTCCTTCGAGTAAAGCAGAACCGCCATTATGCACAGTCACCCTCCTAGGGCCGAAGACTATTAACCCATCTTTCGTCAGGCACTGTGAATTTTCACACATTATCAAAATCTCACACAACTTCATAAGAAGTTTTATACTCAAAGAGGTGCTTCCATCCACAAATTGGCAAAGTTACAGTATTTGAAAACCTGGGGCTGTTTTCATACTACCTCTGTTGCTTCTATTTTTCCTTGCTTTATGTTTAAACTGTAAAAATGATGAAAGGCTAACAAGCTGTTTATTTGGAATGGAATGATTTCACCCACTTTAGATATCATTCCCCAAAATCAAAGCATCTGCTAGCTTGGGCTCAACAATTTCTTGGGCTAGGCTCCTTCTCCAAAAGGTGTCTGGACCCTTGGGAAGGATCTATGCTCTCTTCAACCTTCCAAGGTTTACATTCTCCAGGGACTCACAGTAAAGGCCTTTGCCACCGGGTACGAACCTATGGCCTGGCGAACGGCATCCACGTTGTATGTGATCTGGAATTCCGGCACGTGCTTGAGGACCTCCTGGGCCAGCTCCTCGGGTGTGAAGCTCATGGCGCTGACATTGTAGGTCCTCATGGAAAGGGACTCAGCTGGGGCCTCCATGACCTCCAGGGTGGCTCTGAGGCAGTCGTCAATGTACATCATGGGCAGTCTCGTGCAGGCTTCCAGGTTGCACTCGAATTTGCCATGCTTTGTGGCATCATGGAAAATCTGGACTGCATAGTCTGAAAGGGAATCCCGTATGTAGGTTATAACAAAACAATGAATGAGCCTCTTGGATCAAGGCAGCAGTTCTCAAATGTTCTAGTCTCAGAGTCTTTTTATAACAGATTCTTAAAAATTAAGAAGTCCAGTCAAGCTCAGTAACTCAGGCCTGTAGTCCTAGCACTTTGGGAGGCCGAGGCAGGCAGATCACCTGAGATCAGGAGTTCAAGACCAGCCTGTCCAACACAGTGAAACCCCAGCTCTACTAAAAATACAAAAATTAGCCAGGCGTGATGGCACACATCTGTAATCCCAGCTACTTGGGAGGCTGAAGCATGAGAATCGCTCAAACCCAGGAGAGATGGAGACTGCAGTGAGCTGAGATCACGCCACCGCACTCCAGCCTGGGTGACAGAGCAAGACTCCATCTCAAAAAAAAGAATTGAGAACTCCCAAAGAGATCTGACTAATGTGGGTTATATCAATATTTACTGAAACAGAGTTAACTGAGAATTGTTTAGAATATTACCTTTTTAAACGACAATAAGCCTATCACATATTAATATGTATAACATTTTATAGGAAAAAGGGTATATTTTCTAAACAAACAAAATTTACTGAGAAGGATGGTCTGCTGTACATTCTAAAAATCTCTTTAGGGTCTGGCTTGATAGGGGTCCGCTGGAGCCCCCATCTGCTTCTGTATCCAGTCCGTTCTTATCTCACACGCCACACCACCTCTGGAAAACTCTACAATGCATTTGTGAAAGTAGAGTGAAAAAGGCCAGTAACGTCTCCATATTGATAAGATTTTTGACCCCCAAGACCCCTTGAAAGTGCTGGAGGATGACCGGAGCTCCCCAGATCACACCTGGAGAAGCACCATATTAAAAAGCAGAAGCTTTTTAAGGCCTGCTTCCAAATCCCTCTGATGCGGTCAAGTACCTTCCATATTCATTCTCAGGACCACAGATGTGGGAAGGATACCTGATGTGGGACTTATGAAACAGAATGAGTGTTTGAGTCCAAAATAATAATCATACTTATGTTCCTTTCACATACACAATGCCTAGAGTCTATTTTAATAGGGCTCTCTCTGCGTGTTAAGAAACGAGAGGCTGCTGCTTGCTGGGGGTCTTCCTACACTGTGAGTCACAGATTTGTTGTTGAATATTACGTTTTATTCTGCCACTGTGGGTGGCCAATCCCGAGCTGAACTGACAACGCTGGCATGTGCTACCCTTAGTGAGTGTAAGCCAATTGGGTTCACTGTGCTTTTAAAATGCATATCGGGAGATATTACAGAAAAACTCTGGTCAGCATACAGCTAAAAAGATAGCAAATTCATTTACTACGAAGACAACTCCACCTAGCAATAAGTCAGTCTATTTTTTTTTTTTTTGGTGGGTGTTTTTTTGTTGTTGTTTTTTATTTTTGAGACAGGGTCTCACTCTGTCACTCACCCAGGCTGGAGTGCAGTGGCACGATCTCAGCTCACTGCAACCCTGGCCTTCCGGGCTCAAGAGGCCCTCCTGCCTCAGACTCCCCAGTAGCTGGGACTACAGGTGTGGGCCATCATGCCTGGGTAATTTTTGTTTATTTTTCATAGAGACAAGGTCCCACTGTGTTGTCCAGGCTGGTCTCTGGCTGGAGTGATCCTCCTGCCTCAGCCTCCCAAAGTGCTGGAGTTACAGGCATGAGCCTCCGCACCTGGCTGGAAAGCCTATCTAACATATAAGAGACATAAGAAATAGAAAACACTTAACCAGTTGTTCCTCCTCCAGGCTGGGAGTCAGCTGAAATGATTCCAGGATATCTCAGGCATCAGAAATCTAACCCATACCGGTAATGATAATACCATGAAAAAGAGAAAACGTATTCAAACACAAATATTTTAAATCAGATAGATGCAAAAAAAACAAAAACAAAAAAAACCAAAAAACACCCTGCCTTTTTCTGAAATCTCATTCCATGCAGTTATATTTAAATACTCCTAAAGAAAATAAAGACTCCTAAGTTTTTATCTTTTAAAAGAAATCAACTTTTAGGTGGTACATCAATGCTGTAAATGACACATTAGTCTACAGTAGGCATTTCCAGCCACTCTTTGGAAAGGCGCCACTGATCATCATTCTGAACGATTCAGCCTGAGTGCATTCCCACAAGCAGCACGGGGAAAAGCAGAGGAGAGAACAGTGGATGAGAGGGCCATGGCTATGACAGAACTGGAGGAGCAGGCAGCAACTCGAATCTACTAGAGTTATAAAGATAAAGAGTATTTTGCAGTAGTTCACACCTATAATCCCAGCACTTTGGGATGCTGAAGTGGGTGGATCACTTGAGGTCAGAAGCTTGAGACCAGCCTGGCCAACAAGGCAAAACACTGCCTCTACTAAAAATATAAAATTTAGCTGGGTGTGGTGGCACGTGCCTATAATCCCAGCTACTTCGGAGGCTGAGGCATGAGGATCCCTTGAACCCAGGAGGCGGAGGCTGCTATGAGCTGAGATCACGCCACCACACTCCAGCCTGGGTGACAGAGCAAGATTCTGTCTCATAAAACAAACAAACAAACAAAACAAACCCAAGATGTTTGAGGTTTTAGAGTTACTACCAATGGCTACCAATACTAGGAGCCAGAAAGAATGGTGGAGTACAAGACAAGCAGCAAATGAAGAGATCGGGGCTGGGCACGGGGCACCCAGGAAGTGCTGAGTGTTCCCATATGGCTGAGGAGGTTTCAGGAGCTGGAGACACCTGCTACATGGCAAACCCAGTGAGTTAAGTAAGCGACTCTGGGGCTGGGATCCAAGAAGAGGTAAAGTTCCTCCAGGGATGAATCACCAGGCCTTGGAGGCAAAACGAATGAGAAAGCAAACAGCAAATCGTGACAGCCAGGGCACATTCAGCAATCCAGCTGAGTGATGCTTACTTCTCCCATGAGCTCCGCGTGGACCTTGGACACCCCATAGATGGTCCTGGGTCTCTGAATACAGAGATCGGGGGTTGGGTTCCGGGGAGAGGTGGGTCCAAAAGCCCCAATCGTGCTAGGCACAAACAATTGCAGATTGTGTTCCGCAGCGACATCCAGGATGTTATGCAGGCCTGAAATGAACAGACACTATCAGAATCTGAAAACATCTCTTCTTAAAGAACTAGAAAAACTGGCAAATAAATCACATCCAGCCAGAGCCAGATGCTTACCAGTTATATTCACTGCTCTCGCCAGGGAAACATTTGCTTCTCCAAAGGCGCTGAGCAAAGCGCTGTAATGAAACAGCCAGGTGATGCGGTTGTTTACCACGATCTCCCGAAGATTCTTGTAATCCAAGATATCAGAATAAATGAATGGACCTGCAAGGAACATAAATTGAAACCACGAACGTGAAAAGGGTTGTGAACTAAATGGACCTTTCCCCTTTCCCCCGTTGACTTGTGAATTTCACTGGTAGCCACGCAATAACTAAGACAGCTGGGCACTAGGCAGCATTTTTCTTACGGAAGAATCACAAGTCACAACCACCCCGCGCCAGGTAATGACAGCAAATGCTCCTATAGGACCTGCCTGGGCCAGACCCTGTCCTAAGGACATAAGTCCATTTCTTTCCCACACAGCCTTGGAGGTAAACACATTTTACTGATAAGGAAACAGGCACCGAGAGGTTAAGCAACTTGCCAGGATCAGAGAACAAGTGGAGGAAATGGGGCTGCAGCTAGGCATCGGGCTCCAGAGTGGGTGCTGTTCCTCCCAGCCCTGTATACACAGAGTGGCTTCACTCTGCTTCCAAGGTGCACATTTGAAAAGGAATAGAGAAACGGACTTATTCACCACCACCACCACCTTGGTATAGAAAACCCACAAACCATGAGTTTATCATACTTAATTACACAGAGGTAAAGTTGATCTTGCTCTGTGCCAATTTTCCCCACTTACAGCAAACTGTCACTCTTCCCCATGGTGAGCAGCAAAAGGCTGATGCTGAACCAGGAAGGACTGGGGGCATTACAAAACCTTATTTTTGGGGCAGCGGGGACAGAGTCTTGCTCTGTCGCTCAGGCTGGAGTGCAGTGATGCAATCATGGCTCACTGCAGCCTCCATCTAGTGGGCTCAAGTGGTCCTCCCAAGTAGCTAGGACTACAGGCACGTGCCACCATGCCCAGCTCATTTTTAATTTCTTGTGGAGACAGGGTCTCACTATATTGCCCAGGCTAGTCTTGAACTCCCAGACTCAAGTGATCCTCCCACCTCAGCCTCCCAAATTGCTGGGATTACAGGTGTGAGCCACCATGCCTAGACATAAAAACATTTTTGAAGCAGTAAAATCCTGATTAGAAGAGCTTGAGAGGTGTGTGTGTGTGTCTGTGTGGATGTGTGTGTATGTGTATGTGCGTGTGTGTGCGTGTATGTGTATGTGTGTGTGCGTGTATGTGTGTGCATGTGTGTATGTGTGTGTATGTGTGTCTGTGTGTGTGCGTGTGTGGGTATGTGTGTGCGTGTGTCTGTGTATGTGTGTATGTGCATGTGTGTATGTGTGTATGTGCGTGTATGTGTGTATGTGCGTGTATGTGTGTGTGAGTGTCTATGTGTGTGTGTGTGTATGTGTCTTTTCGTTTCTATTCTTGATTTTTGTTTGTATTCTCTCCAAGTCAATAAGTTAACTTAAAACACAAAAAGACAGGAAACAAAGTTTTCATTTCCAATAACATCAAAATATATTATTCCAAAAACTTCAAGGTCAAAAGAATTCTTCTGTTCTTTTATCACTTGAACAAGCAGCAGCATTAAAAATATATATTTTTTTATTATACTTTAAGTTTTAGGGTACATGTGTAAAATGTGCAGGTTTGTTACATATGTATACATGTGCCATGCTGGTGTGCTGCACCCATTAACTAGTCATTTAACATTAGGTGTGTCTCCTAATGCTATCCCTCCCCCCTCCCCCACCCCACAACAGGCCCCAGTGTGTGATGTTCCCCTTCCTGTGTCCATGTGTTCTCAATGTTCAATTCCCACCTATGAGTGAGAACATGCGGTGTTTGGTTTTTCGTCCTTGCGATACTTTGCTCAGAATGATGGTTTCCAGCTTCATCCATGTCCCTACAAAGGACATGAACTCACCATTTTTTATGGCTGCATAGTATTTCATGGTGTATATGTGCCAAATTTTCTTAATCCAGTCTATCATTGTTGGACATTTGGGTTGGTTCCAAGTCTTTGCTATTGTGAATAGTGCCGCAATAAACATACGTGTGCATGTGTCTTTATAGCAGCATGATTTATAATCCTTTGGGTAAAATACGTATTTTTAAGTGAAATACCAGTGCCTCAATAACTTCTCTTTGAGTCATAAATTCAGCTATGAGCTGCTGCACGCACCAATTTCACGAGCCACCTCTTTGTGCCTTGAAAATTAGAGATAAAAATAAAAGCAAGACCTATTGATCTCTTACCACTGTGAAAGACATGATCGGGGGGTTTCCTTATGTCAGACAAAATCACACTGTCCTTTCCAAATCGTTTCCTAAAGGGAAAATTAACCCACACAAGTTGGCAACATCTAGAATGCAATGAGTCCTGTGAGAAGTCTTTTAAAATAAGAACTGTAATTTTCTGCCAGCCTCCAAATCTCTACTTCCTCTTCATCCTCAATTCCCACACCTTCAATTCTTATCTCTCTCACACTCAGGCCTCTATTTCCCTGCCCACGACTCTCTCTTCTGTTTCTCCTCTCACCTGACTGTTAACCCTATGCTTGTCACCGGTTTCTTCCCATTACCCCCCAGAGTTTTTACCTCTTCCTCATCATTCTTCTTATCTTCTCTCCCCTCTTCTTATTCTCTTACCCCATTCTCTCCAAATCCCACACTCTTCCCTTCCAGTTTGCACCTGTACTTCCCTTGGTTCTCAAACAACTAAAAGTCAAAGTGATTCACTGGGAGATGTGTGTCTCACTTTGCCTAAGTTAGGAAACAGAAAGAGAGCAAAGGACCAGTCTGGAGATGTTAAGTCAAGGGCCTACGACAAGTCTGGGATATTCAGAGGCAAAATAAAATGTATTTTAGGCTGGGCACAGTAGCTCACATCTGTAATCCCAGCACTTTGGAAAGGTGAGGTGGGCAGATCACTTGAGGCGGGCAGATCACTTGAGGCCAGGAGTTAGAAGACCAGCCTGGGCAACATAGCGAGAGCCCATCTCTACCAAAAATAAAAAAAATTAGCCAGGCGTGGTGGTATGTGCCTGTAGTCCCAGCTACTCGGGAGGCTGAGGCAGGAGAATCACTTGAACCCAGGAGGTGGAGGTTATAGTGAGCCGGGATTGCACCACTGCACTACAGCCTGGGTGACAGACTGAGGCTCCAACTCAAAAAAAAAAAATCTGTATCTATATCTATATCTCTATATATCTATATCTATAGCTATATATAGCAGTTATTTAGATATATCTTAACAATGGTAAGGAGCAAGAGGAGAGAGAAAAGAAGTTTAAAAGGCATCCCAATGAGCTCCATATACTTAACAACTCAGATTTTAAATTTCAAGTTTTTAGGGCTCTTACCTCAAAAGATTAGCAAGCCCCACTCCCAGCTGGCCAAGAGCCCCTAGATGAAGAAGAAAAAAAAGTGAAGGTTTAATGCAAATCTAAACAGTTCAATTATTCCCAGAATGTAATAACTGAGTGAGACTAGTTTTCAGTCTTAGCTAACTACGTAAGTCCTAGGTTGCACTGATATAACTGCTGCTTACTTCCAATCTTCCCAGGAACGTGGTGCAGCGCTTAGAAATGCAATGATCTCCCCCATGCTAGGACAGAGACCAATACAGGTAACATTCGTTTCAGAGACAACACTTACCAGCATGGAGTGGTTCCGAGAAAGAGGAGAAGCAAGGGCATTAGAAGAGAAAAATCTCATGAAAGCCAGACACAGGTCTGGAATTTCTTGGGGCAGGAACTCAATCTTGGCCTTCATTATTTTCATGAACTTTGAAGCTTATCTGCTATGGGTGACAAAATCATTCAAAACCAGTATGAACAGATTCATATCCACCTCTGGTGACATGAGGCAGAATCCCATCCTCCATTAGAAGTGGACTGGGATATGAAAGGGAAAAGAGGCAGGGAGAAACCAAGAAGTCATTTGAAAAAGGGGCAGACAACTGAATCAACAAGGCACCACTGAGAAAGTTAAAGTGAATAGTGCAGCTTCTAGTTTGAAGAATTAAACATGCCACTGATAGAAACGGGAGGCCAGTGGGCTAGGAGCACATTTGGGTAAGGACAACAGTCCATTTCATTTGAGAGAAACTGATGAGGCAGGAAGATATAAAAGTGGGACTTCCTGTAACCATTTGTTAACTTGGGAATAAAACCAGGACACCCTGAAAGATGCATCATTAGGGGAGGTGAGAGGGAATAAAACAAACACTCGGACAACACGATGGGTGAATCCGAGGAAAGGCAGAGAGGGACATCTACTAAGCTTGAAACTTATTTCAGCACCAGAAGTGGACAAGGCAGTCAAAGAGTACACACACACACAGACACACGAAAATGAGAAGGATAATGCTGTAAAACCAAGGGAAGAAAGCCTGGCAAGAAAGAGAAAGAAGTAAAACATGTCCATCAAACTGGAGGTAGGTTTGGGCTGGCTGGAAGTGACAGAGTAAAGTCTGGAGTGAGAAGGATACAAAATCAGGGGCTGAACATATTTGAGGTGAGGAGGTTCAGGGAGCGAGTCACTGGCAATGATGACCTCAATGGCAACAATGAGCTCAAGGGCCATGATGGGCTCGAGGACAACAATGAACACTGCAGCAACAAGTCCCTTGACCAGACGCTAACTTACCTTCTCTATTTCCAACATGCAAATGTGCAATAACAGTTTGGGATTAATGACTCTGAGTTTAGGTTCAGGACTCTGGCCAAGGAACAGCGTGCCTAACACCAGAATCAATGTTCTAGCCCCAGCACCCTCCTGTCCACTAGCCTTCACTCCCCAGACTGATCCTAATATGGAAGGAAACCAAGTTCCAGAGCAGCTATTTGGCCCCCAGTTTCCTAGATTCCTTCGAACAACAACAAAAATTACGGCAGGCAAAACCAAGTGCTGGCAACAGTGATGAAATAAGGATTTGGATTTGCAAAATTCTAAGAAACAAACAAAAAAGCCAATAGTGAAAAAGACAGTGTCTGATCAATAAGATCAGCTGCTCTAATTTAAAACTTTTGTATTATAAAATACCTCATTCTGAAATCCTTTTCATAGTATAGAGAATAGATCCAGATTCTGTCATCTGGCCAAGCCTGTTTTTGCTGCATTATCGGCTACAGAGACAGGCAGTATGGTTCAGATAGCATATTACACATTCCAAAAGCAAAGGCACAGACACATAGCACAGGAAAGAATCAAGCCATGCAAATAGAAAAAAGAAAAGAAAAACTAACCTGTAATTAAGACTCGTGGATGGTCTGTGTCAGAGAAAGACGCAGAGTGGAAGTTAGCATCTGCTGGAATTTGCCGAGGGGAGATGCCCAGAAAGCGGACCGGCAGGACAGGCGTCCAACAGCCACAGGCTGGGCTCTGCCCCGCTCGCCTCAGCATCCTAATGAACAGCATTTTCTTTTCAAATACCTTGTGAGAAAAGAGCAGAGTTAAAGATGTGAACTTTTATCCCTCCAGCTCTTCAAAACAAACTCTTCAGCTAAAATGAACGCTAAGATTGTCAGCGAATGAGCAAAGCTATGCTTTTATTTTATTTTATTTTTTTAAAGCTATGCTTTTAGATTCAGGAATCGAACTAAAGAGACTGCTGAGTTCGCCGATAGGAAGCCAGTCAAGGGCCTCCTGTGAGCCAGGCCCTGTGATAAAGGGATAAAGTGTTGCTCACACAGAGTCCAGCCAAACAAAGGCCAAACTGAGATTCAGAACTGACACCGCACAACGCTGACACCAGCTGGGATCTAATGCAAAAGAGGCGGTAACTGCACAGAGAACGCGCATATCACAGAGACAAAGTCGGTGGATCCTAGCAAAGGCTTTAAGTCTTGACTGCAACTGTTATCAACTTGTCCACACAACGTCTGAGGATACAAATGGGTCCCAGATTAAATACAAAGTGCCCTGTAAATCTTGTGTTAACACTCACGTTATGATGAACCAGCCTAGAAAAGCAGAGGGTTAAGATAAAAGGATAAAAAGTCCCGCAGCAATATTTAGTAAGCTGTGAAGGATTTTTGTTTTTCCATCATCTCTGTAGAGAGGGTCACGTAGAAAAGTCATTTTCTTATTGTTTCAAAGATCACATAATTTAATTTAGTCTACCTCCTCCTCCTCATCAGCTTCAATAGTACCAGCTGACCATGAAATCAGCCCTGGCCTTAGAGGTCAAGATGGTCCAGTCACATATGGCTTCAGACTGCCATGTTCTTCAACGGGTCCCCAGCACCCAGGCAGGCATGTCTTGAGAGTAAACCAGAGCTGCCCAGCTTGCTTTGCTGGTTCTAACAGCAACCCCCCCACCCTCCCTACAGGCAGGCCTACCACATACTCACACTGACCTGTGGCCTCTACTCACTCGCCCCCTGGAAGAGGAAGTCTCTTCCAACAGAAAAGGCAGGTGAGCTTCAAAGCCAATTCAGGTGTCCAGTCCCCTCAACCATCTTCTATTCTGCATTATAAAGGGAAAAAAAGTAAACAAACCACAGTTAGAGACATTTCCTGTAAGATATGAACTTACAGGAAGGTACTCAGTGCCTCAAGTAGATTTAAGACAGTGATTCCAAGTTAAATGCCGGAAGTAGCAGAAGCTTTCTTGCAATCCCTAATCATACCAAAACCCAAATTACAGAAAACAAAAGGAAAATAGTGTCTTTTCAAAACATACGCCTTTTCATACCTTTCTGGGTCATGAGGGTTTTGCTCTTTACTACTCCAAGACAAGACAGGTGGAACCTGCCTGGTGGCTTCTGTGGGGTTAGTGACTGGACCCACCAGGTGCCCAGCATCTATAAGACACCTAAGGCCCTTCACCCCAGCTAATGTTCTCAAATAAGCGAGTAGAAGAGAACCTTCTCACCATGGCACATCTCTGCTTTTACTGCACAGGCCCAAAGTGATGAGGCAGGTGTCCAGGATGGGCCACATTACGGGAAAGGCCTGAGCTTTTCCTCAAGCAACCCTTACAGGAACACTAACTGTAGCCACTGCTGGCACCTGAAACCAGGTAAGCACTTGGATTCTTTTTCTTTTTTTTTTGAGACGGAGTCTCGCTCTGTCGCCCAGGCTGGAGTACAGTAGCGCGATCTCGGCTCACTGCAAACTCTGCCTCCCGGGTTCACGCCATTCTCCTGCCTCAGCCTCCCAAGTAGCTGGAACTACAGGCACCCGCCACCACGCCCAGCTAATTTTGTTTTTTTTTATTTTTTTTAGTAGAGACAGGGTTTTACCATGTTAGCCAGGATGGTCTCAATCTCCTGACCTCGTGATCCACCCACCTCGGCCTCCCAAAGTGCTGGGATTACAGGTGTGAGCCACCGCGCCCAGCCAACAACTTGGATTCTTACAGTCACTTATTTCAGCAAGTGCAAAGGGATATTGAGGAAGCCCAGAGACAACATTTCCCAGAACATTCGAGACTGAAAGACAATTCCAATTCCCGAAAGCAAAATAATGAATGGTCACAGTTAAAAAGGCTTTTGTTTTTTTTTTTTAATTTAAAAATTGAAAAGACTGGAACTGCGGGGGAAAGGAAACCCTAAAGATATAAAACAGGTACAAATGTATTCATCTCTTTCTCCACAAAGGGAAAGCATGAAGGAGGCACCCAACAAATTGTTAATTGAATGTGAAGTTTTAGTTCAACAACACGGACAGTTCGTAATGGAGTTGGTTCTTCTTATTCCACTATTATAAGTACCTAATATTTTTTGCTGTTTATATGCCAAAAGCTGGTGAGTGCTTCACAGCACTACCGCAAGCACCACTCCCCTAGAAAACCTACTTCTTAACCACCGCGCAGCAATACTGCCTCTATTACAGAATCGCTTTAACAATACATAGGTATTAAAAACAAAAATAAATTTAAAAACCCTCCAACCATCTACAGCATGTAGCTTTTCCTCTTACTCCTGCCAAGTTAAACTTAATACTCTTCAGGCAGAAGTTCTCTAACTTTTTGATCTTAAAACTCCTTTATACTCTTAAAAATGGAGAACTCCAAAAAGCTACTGTTAATGTTGGTTATATCTATTAATATTTAGTGTTAGAAAACAAATAAATGTTTAACACCTTTATTAATTCATTTAAAACCGATAAACATGTTAACATAAACATCATTATGAAAATAACTATATTTTCGGGAGGCTGAGGCAGAAGAATTGCTTGAACCGGAGATGTGGAGGTTGCAGTGAGCCGAGATGGTGAAACTGCACTCCACTCCAGCCTGGGAGACAGAGCAAGACTACATCTCAAAAACAAACAAACAAACAAACAAACAGTTTTCCAATACAAAAAATATTCAGTGGAAGGAGTGCCATTATTTTAAACTTTATACTTCTCTTTGATAAAATAAAAAAACTGGATTTTCATATCTGCTTCTGTAACTTGTTGCTCTAATTGAAAAAAAATCCAAACAGCAGTGAAAACAGGAAATGGTATTTTATTCATTTTTTCAAATAACTCTGGATGTTTATCTTTGCTACCACTCCAAAACTGAATGCATCAGTCTTCTTAAAGGTTAGTTGTGATGCAGAATCTGAAACCTTATCAATGAACTTTTTGTACTTTTCTACATTAAAACTTACTTTAATGCTTTAAAGCAATGGTCTCCAACCTTTTTAGCACCAGGGACCAGTTTTGCGGAAGACAATTTTCCGTGGACTGGGAGGAAAGGGGGTGGTTTCGGGATGATTCAAGCACATTCCATTTATTGTGTACTTTATTTCTATTATTATTGCATTGTAATATAAAATAATTATTGGTTCAGCAACTTATGCACATTGTCCAAATATTAACACACTTCACTATATAATATTAAAAAGTCCTACTAGGTAATATCACCACTGGTCTCATCAGAAAATTCCTAAGTATGGGGAAGCTGTCAAGCTCATGGTGGTAAATAGAAATTAATTGGCAACAAACACTGTTAGTTGTTTCCTTGAAGTGACAGGCTCACTTCGTTCATGTTTTAGAATATGTCTGGCAATGATCCAAGTATGAATACTCATTGTTTGTCAGTCTGTCAAGCAAAAATGGTTTTCTATTAAGAAAAGTGGCCAGTTCAGCTCACAATTCAATCACACACTGCTTTACCTGAAGACAACCATCACACTTTGAAATATGTCACAGAATGCTTTATGGGCACTTTCCTACACTATACAGCATATCAAAGAGATGCATACTCAGAAGTCAAGATTTAATCCAGACAGTCATTTTTACTGTTTCATCGGGACATTCTTAAGTCAGGCTGGCAATTTTCTCTTATTTTTTATTGAAAGCACAGGGCAGTAAAGAATACAGTGACGACTAGAACAGCCTGGTACCATCTGCCTTGATTTGCACAAAGGCACCAGGAGTTTTACCCAGCATTGCTCTGGCACCATCAATGCAAATTCAATGCACTTGTTCCAGAATGAACCACTAAATTCAAAAAAGTTATTCAACACTTTGAATATCTCAGCACTACTCATGTTTGCTACCAAGCATTCACTAAAAAGATACTCTCTATTGTAAAGATAAAGGATTGTATATTGTATTACATATTACAATAAAAAGATTATCTAAAAAGGTATTGATTGGTTTGGTGCTGATACCAGAAGAATACAAGCAAAATGGCACCTCTAGTCTTTCTTCCATTTGTAAGGCAGAAATACACTTCTACAGTCAATATACTAACTGGGTCTTCACGTTTCAGCTAAATCTTTAATTTGGCAGATTACTGTATCATTGGAAAGTTGAAGTGCTATGAGCTCTTTCAATGCTTTTTCATCTAAACAAGCCTTTATCGTGTGTTTCTGCGACCAACGCAACTTGATAATTTACCCTGCTTTATGCTTCAACTTTGTCGGTTTCAGTTTGAAAAGCTATGACAAAAATTTCTGGCTTTTAAAAAGCTCATTACATCCACACTTAAACGATTCAATTCATTTTTCTTTAGAGGACTCTGAATGGTTGGTCTCAAAATCATGCTACTGGCACCATAATACCATTGAAAATGGTTCTCTGGCATAAGATTCATAAGACCAATTACTAACAGCTATAAAGCTGAGGAAAGCTTTCACCTTGCCTTAGTTTTGCCCATTTCTCTGGAGTAAATTCCTCCCTTTCATGATTCAGAAACTCTGACATATTCATTTCATTTTTTCAGCGTTTTAGGCATAGGTAGTGCACCTGGGAGCTGAAAAAAATCAACTTTTCTAATATCCCCCTGTTAAGCCAATAATCTATCCTTAAATACAAAAATACACAAATATCCTTTTATTTTAGAATAAAATATTACATTCAAAAATAATTTTATACCATTTGAAATTTTAGAAAGGCTTTCCAATCAAGACTACAGAGTGTACTTTTTGTTGTGTTTTCATATAGGCACAGAAAACTCTGGGACTTCAAATTAATAACTTATTAAAAGAAAATGAGGTCACAGATATAACAGGTCTAAGTGAAGACAGCCAGTGAGTGCACAGTAGAAATACTAAGTGCAAATTGAGTTCATCTCTGAAAATGCAGATACTTTTATCCTAACCCTAACACCTTAGAAGACTGAGAAACAGAAGAATACACAAGCACAAATCCCATTAGTCATGACAGGCAAAGCTCTTTGCAAGTCATGTAATCTCTGGGCAACTCACTGCACACTTGTGAGAGAAAGAATGAAAAAGGTAAATAACACCTTAGTATTCTTTTCAAAAATAGTTTTGTCCTCATGGACCCTACAAAAGGTTTCAGGGATCCTCCACAGTTCCCCAGATTACAATTGGAGAGCAGTTGTTCTGAAGTAAAACTTTCTTTGCCAAGCTACATACTAAATTTACATAGAGAAAGCCATCAAAGATGATTTTCAGTCCCTCCTACCTAAAGACCAAATGATAGCCCATACTTTCTTTCCCAAGCACCTTGTTTACTTTCATTGCAAGGGACAAACAGGAAAAGGTTAACATAGTCTTCTCCACAAATAATGAAGCACTTTCCCAACCTGGGCCTCTCTGGGTTGGTCATGGAAGGTCATGACTTCTTCCATGCCCCTGCATATCCACTTATCTGCATTAACAGCAGCAGCAGTCACACAGCAGCGCCATCTGGAAATGAGGGGGCGATACAGATACTGACTCATGGCTCAGCTGGCTTGAGTGATTGCTTCCACATGGGTGGGTGGTGAAGGTGTCAAGAATATGAAGGTCTCTAATTTGGGCGCTGCAAGAATGGGCTTTCTAGAGAAGCAGCAGGTCAGGTGAGAAGACAAGTGAGTTTGGTTGTGGACCTGCTGGGTTTAGGTGCCTCTCCCGGGAAGTTGTGAAGCGTGTTCGTACTCACTCAACGCTGTGTCTAAGAGGCAGACAGTAAGGGGAAACCATCAGAGGTTTACATCTCAAAAAATCAAATGATCCTGTTCTCAGGGGAAAAAAGTTACTTCAGTTTATTGGGGTGTGGCGGTGGGGGGTGGGGAGGGGACTTAATTCAACTATGATTGCTCTAAAAATAGATAATTTTTTAGATATTAAGGAAACTTCCACCCATAATACCGAAGGCGACTAGATACGCAACATCAGTTTTCCTCAATGTTCTTGCTGTCATGAGATCTCCTAACATTTCTGGCTGTAATTACTCTTAGGGATGGAGATAGTAAAAGATGTATTAAGTAATGTCTTTAACAATTAAGCGGGAAACTAAGATATCCAGCCTCCAATAGATGAACGGGTAAAGAAAATAGGGTCTACAAATACAATGGAAGTTTTTCAGCCTTAAAAAAGAAGGTGATTCTGACACTTGGCTACAACATGAGTGAAGCTCAAAGTCATTAGGCTAAGTGAAATAAACCAGTCACCAAAGGACAAACACTGTATGCCTCCACTGACGTGCATTATTTAAAGCACTCAAAAATTCACAGAAACATAAAGCAGAAAGGTGACTGGCTGCCAAGGGCTGGGGTAGAGGCAGAGAAATTAGTGTTTAATTAGCGCAGAGTTTCAGTTTGATGAACAAGCGCTGGAGATTGACTGCACAACAGCGTGAATATACTTAACGCTACTGAACAGTATGCTTAGAACTGTTTAGGATGGTAAATCTAATGTTACGTGATAGGAATCACAACTACAACCTACAATAGAGAAAAAGTTTTACAGTGTTCAGCACCAAGAAGTGACCTGCATGCATATATGTATATATGTATCTGAAGAGTGAGAAAACTCGCCTAACATAGATCAATATTGCCCCCAGAGACCCAGCAAACTCCAACCCCCCCAGCCCTTGTCCTCTCTCCGCCTCCACTTGCAAACGTGCTTAAACCTATTACTCTCCCACTGCCCGCTCCTTCCTTCCAGCCTCAGGGGTCTGCAGGAGCATGTACGCTGCTGGTACCTTCATGCCTAGCCCCTCACAACGGGCCTTCCCTGCTCTGGACTGGGTGATAATTGCCCAGTTTACAACTTCCTGGCGCCAATGCCCCCTGCCCCCTCCCCACTTCTAACTTAATACTTATATGTCCATGCCCACCTTCATTTTCACTGCGTTCCCCCACTCCAATCTTATTCTGCTTTAAGGAGCAAGAAGGTTTACCAGACGCATTTTCAAGGCAGTCTGGGCTTTAAAACCTCTGACTCATTACATCATCATCATCACCAATGCATCCTCTTAATAGTAATGATCCAAGGAAAAATCAGGCGCCTGGTAACTACGGAGCGTTGGTGAAGCATCTGCTTTCCTGAACTCTTCTTAAACCCTCACAGCAACCCTGAAGCTGGGACCTTTTCCCCATTGTTCAGAATCCACTGACCCGCCCAAGGTGAGGCAGTTACTAACTACCAAGTGAGGTAGGTCCACCGTGTCCCATACCCTCTACTTCCACCACCCCGACTCTTCCCACTTAAGAGATGAGATCAGATGCCTAAGAAGAGACAAAGAGGAAGAAACACCCCCAGGGCCACGCAGGGGGCACCTTTCCTGGCAGCCTGCACCCCTCCCCAGGGGGAGAGCACGGACCAGCCAGGGGGTCGCGGCCCGCGGCCCGCCTAGCTGTGTGCGCCTGGCTTCTTGCCTCGCCAAATCTCAAGTTTCCGCGTCCTCAGAAAGGGGGCAATCACCATGCCATCCTAATAGACTGTTGAGAGCGTTTAATAAAAGCAGTCAATCTATGAAAAGCACTGTGCAAACTGCGCGGTCAGTGTAAAGGCTCAATCCACATTCGCTTTCTCTCTCTCTCTTTTTTTTTTTTTAAACTCTCTGGGCTGGTAAAGTCTGAACTTTACGTGGGGATGATCTGAAAGCTAGAAAGGATCGAGAAAAATCCCAAAGCTCTAAGCCTGAGCTAGGGAGGGTCTCAGAGGGAGGTCTGACTGCAGACCGGGAGTCTTCTCCTCCCGTGCGCCGCTGCCCGGGACGAGAAACCCGTGGGGCATCCAGGACTAGGACACGAGGTCTCAGCCTGGGCAGGTGGACAAGCTGTGGGGTCCCACCCTCCGCAGGCGATGGCTTCCCAAAGTCTGTACAAACCGGTTTCGCCGGGCCGGCCATGCCCGCCCCTCTTCTCGGCGTGGGAAGCCCTTTCAAAAGTGGAGGGGAGCGAGTGTCGCGCCCTGCCAACCCCGACTGCGCCTGGGCCCTCCCCGCGCCGGGCTCCGGAGCCGCCCCTCCTGACTCTGCGACCACGGCCGGGGACCCTGCGCGCGCCCGGGAATGCAGAGTCTCCAGCGCCGCGCAGGGCTCGCCCCGACCTCGGCCGGCCCTGGGCAACCCGCTCCGCGGCCAGTCCCCACTCCAAGATGTGGCTCGGCTCCCACCTCCGCGGGGGGGAAATGTCGGGCGACCCCCACACTGACCTTCCTGCGCACCCAGCGCAAACTACGAACCCAGAGTTGGAGCTGCCCGCAGACCCCGCGCAGCCAGACCCCGCGCCTTTATCCCGCCCCGCCCCGCCCCGCCCGGCGCACCAATCCCCGGCCGAGGAGGGGCCGCGTGGCGCCGCGGGGGGCGGGCCGCGCACGCCCCCCGCAGGGAGGACTCAGGGACAGTCAGGGCCCCGGGAGAGTCCGCGCGCATCGCCCGGCTCCGCGGCGCCAGCCATGGCGTCCGTGCGTGGCCCCGCCAGGGATGGGGCGACGCGGTCAGAGCCGCACGCGACCGAAATCCGCACTCTGGAGCCGCAGAGCGCGCGGTCTTGCTGTTTAGCGGCTCCCTGGCAAGTGACGTGGGGAAGAAACGCAGGGCGCAGGAGAGACAGCTGGAAAGGTTTGCGGTGTAGCTGGCCCAGGATTGAGGGTCTGGAGGTCGGGTGTTGGAAGACCTTGAGCGAGGCACTTCTTGGCCTCCCCAGCTGGGAGGCATCGCTGAAAAATTAGGTGACCCCCAAGACGGTAGACCAGCAGAGTCAGCGTCACCTGGGCGCCGGTTGGAAATGCAGATTGGCAGGTCCCACCCCCAACCCCTCCCGACTTGCTGAGTCAGCATCTCTGGGGGTGGGGCTCGCGCGCCCCCAGCGGGACGCCGGTGCGCGCAGTAGCTTAAGAAGCTGGGTCCAAGGCGCTGGTTCTCAAACTCCGCTGCATATTGCAATCACCTGGGAGCTTTTTAACCTCCAAACGCCCAGGCTGCCCCCGGACCAAATGACAGAATCTCCGGGGCTGGGGGGGACGGGGATAGAGAAGCCCAGACCTAAGTATTTTTTTAAGCTCTTAAAGCGATTCCAGTGTGCTGTGAAGGTTGGACCCACGGTGTGGTCTCTGGACAAAGCAGCCCCCACTCCAGACCTACCGAACCAGGGAATCTGCATTTTAACAGGATCCCCAAGTGACTTGCAGGCGCCTTCGGTTTGGGAGAAACAACTCTAAGGTGTCTTCTGACATTAACAATCTGTGATTTTGTGAAATCTGTCTCGTTTTGTTTAGCGGGCTAGCCAGGCCCCGTTTTCTTCAGCTTCTCCCTTGACTTGATCCCTGAAGATGGCTCTGCCTCTGGCGCCCTTGAAATATGTCGACTAGGTCATGATCACCGTGCATTCTGCTCAGCGTAGTCTCCCCGCCTGAAGTGTTATTAATGCAGTCTAAAATGACTACGGTTCTGCGGTCTACCGAACTGCCCACGGAGGTAGGGGTTTCAGACTTTTGGCATCTCAAGAGACTTGAGATTACCGAGACCACGATACCCCCAGAGACGTGACGAGATGGGATCAAGGCCACGGGGGACCAGAATGCTGACCCAGGCAACCTGTCCCTGCCTCGCTGCCCTTTGTAATACTCCTTATCATATCATGAGGAGCTATTTTCCGTTCTCCACAAACTTGGTGGTGGATGGAAGAGGATATCAAGCTCACCTTGAGTGGGATTGAGGTAGGAGGCGGGGCTCAGACACCAGACCAGATTGAGGACAAACTAAAGCAAGGTCAGGGCCAAAGCAGCTTTCCAACAGATAGGACCACCAGGGTGCCACGTCAGTTTACCGTTGCCATGTCAATACCAGGGAGTTACCGCCCCTTTCCGTGGCAGTAACCCAATAATTACCACCCCTTCCCTAGAAATTTCTGCATAAACCGCCCCTTAATCTGTATGCAATTAAAAGTGTGTGTGTGTGAGTGTGTGTGTGTGTGTGTGTGTGTGTATGTGTGTGTGTGTGTGTATATATATATATATATATATATATATATATATATATATATATATATATATATATAAAACTGCAAAACTGCCCTGAGCTGCTCCTCTCTGCCTATGGGGGAGCCCTGCTCTGCAGGAGCAGTCACGGAGCTGTAACCCTGCCTCTTCAATAAAGCTGTTTTCTTCTACCTCTGGCTTGCCCTTGAATTCTTTCCTGGGCAAAGCCAAGAACCCTCCTGGTGGAAGCTCCACTTTGGGGCTCACCTGCCCTGCATCAGGATTACAGGTGGGAGCGTTGCGGAGTAGAGCGATCCGCTGACACTGCCTCTGGTCTGCATTGGGGAATGGCGGCCGGTCGGGCGGGGTCACAGACCATAGCTTCAAGCTTTGTTCTTGGGGATTCCAGGGACTGAAAAGTGGGTGCTTTCTGGCTACCTAGCATCCACTTCCTCTCTTCCCCATGCAAAGAGGCTGAAGTGAATGGCGTCAGTCCTCGCCCTCCTCAGTCAAGGGGCAGACACTATCTGAGATTTAAATCCTGTCCCCACTAGCAGAGGCCCTCTGAGGCCAGTCCCGCCCAGGGACACTGCCAAGGGCTTCCTGGCTCTAGGACCGCCTTGGGTTTCTGCCCCTTCAGGCTGCTTCTCCAGTCCTCCCAGTGAGCCTGTGTCCTCCTCAGACCCTTTGGCTTCTGTCTGCAAAGTAAGTTTCTGTCCTAACTTAGGGAGTGATAATATTCAGAATTTCTCTCCATTTTCACGGTTGAGATTTTGGCGCTAAAATCACAAACCCAAATAAAAAAATAAATAAGAACAAATAGCCTCTAGTCTATATTCATATAAATAAATAACTGAATGAGTGACTAAATGGGGGGAAAGGGCAACTCTTTTTTTTCTTCGAGGCAAGATGTCACTCTGTCGCCCAGGCTGGAGGGCAGTGACATGATCTCAGCTCACTGCAGCCTGGCCGACAACTCTTTCTTGCAGAATTCCAATTAATACATATGGAAGGAATGAGAGACTTGGCAAATCACCACTGAAACACTACTGCAATCATTGCTGCAGGCAGGGTCCCCAGATGTGGCAAAATTAGCTGGGAAAGCCTAAGGAGAAGCAGGATATTTGCATAGTCTCAAAGCATCTCTCCCAAAATAGATGTTTATCAATAACAAAGGGAAAAATAGTAACTTTGCAGTGAACAAAACTGGCATCACCACCTTAACCACGTGACCCAGGTTTACCTCTCCAGAAACGTGTTGACAGAGGAGGCGCTGGGAAGAGCGCAGCACCCCGGAGGTTTTCCTGCCCAACAATGCACAATCTCATTATGAGAAAACATTAGACAACCCAAATGGAGGAACATTCCTACAAGGTAACTGACCAGTACCCTTCAGAAGTCTCAAGGTCACAAAAGACAGGAAGACTGAGGAACTGTCACAGATTAAGGAGACAATGACTCCTGTCACGTGAAATCCTGGATTAGATCTTGGGACAGAAAAAGAGCATCAGTGGAAAAACCAGTGAAACACGAATAAACTTTCTAGTTTAGTTCATAGTACAGTGCCCTTTTTACTTCCTTACAGATTACTTCTCCATTAGAGTTGTACTACAGTTATGTAAGAGGTTAATATAAGGGGGCACTGGGTGAAGGGTTCAAAGGAACTCTACTATTTTTGCAACCTTGTCTGTCTAAAATGATGTTGGCCAGGCATGGTGGCTCAAGCCTGTAATCCCAACACTGGGAGGCTGAGGCAAGTGGATCACTTGAGGTCAGGAGTTTGAGACCAGCCTGGCCAACATGGTGAAACCCTGTCTCTACTAAAAAAAAAAAAAAAAAAAATTAGTCAGGCTTAGTGCCACGTGCCTGCAATCCCAGCTACTTGGGAGGCTGAGGCATGAGAATCGCTTGAACCTGGGAGGCAGAGGTTGCAGTGAGCCAAGATCGCACCACTGCACTCCAGCCTAGGTGACAGAGCAATACTCCATCTCAAGAAAGAAAACAAACAAAAAAGATCTTAAAATAAAAACTTTAAAAAGTATCTTGATAAGAAAAAAAAAGTAAAATTTGTTACTTGGTAAAAATGACTAAAGAGCTTCCTGACAAATGTTCATATGTAAAATTTCACTTGGGAAAAATATACTTTGTAGAAATAATGACCACGAAAGTAGACTGACAATGGGAGAAACGGTTTAACGAAAGTCAACTGACAATGGGAGAAATGGTTTAAACCTGAAAGGAGCAAAATCACTGGATATTGAATCAAATCTTTGTTGCAAAATGTAATAGAAAGTAGTGAATTACAAATAAAATTCAGTAAAAGAAAAAGGGAAAGGAGGGAAAATGAAATCACTCAGAGAAAATCGATTACAGGCTTAAATTTCTAAATGAAAAGATTTTTTCTTCATATGCAATTAGAGAATGTGAATACATTTGTGACAATAAGTTCCTAAACAGGACATATCAAAACATTCTGTTTTAGTTTGTTTGCATAAGATACCTAGATGTATGGTTCAGGAAGAATGGACAAAATATGCAAATTCCATGCTTCATTTCAAGATCTCACAGTGCTTTAAAATATGAAGGGAGAGGCTTGTTTCTGTATAAGGTCTAATAGCATTGCCTGGACAGGGACTTATGCCCAGAATGACTAAAGAAATTAAGCCCCAGGGAACATACAAGTAAATTACATCATCAAGCCACAACTTCTGTCCTTAGTTATTTAATGAAAAAGTAAATAAATAAATAAAAGCACCAGGTCTCCCCTTCCAGTTGCAGGAGTAGAGGGTCTAGAACGATAATGTTCCATACAATAGTCACTAGCCACATAGGGCTATTAAATCCTTGCAACGTAGCTAGTTTGAACTGAAATGTGCTGTCAAACACCAGATTTTGAAGATATGGCGTTTAAAAATGTGACTATCCGTTAATGAATTTCATATTGTATGTTAAATGGAAAATATTTTTAGTAAGGTAAGTTAAATAAAACATATTACAATTCATTTCACCTGTTTTTTTTACTCTTGTGTGATTAATAGAAATTTTTAAATTATATATGTGGCTCATATTAGATTCCCAAAGAACAGCACTGACCTAGAAGTTCTGAGAGAAAGTTCTGTAGGCTATGGACACCCTCTTTCTCCGTTATTTGTAAAAGGCCAGCCTTGACCCTTCATTGGTCTAAGAATTACTTAGACCCTTGAAGATTGCCACCTTCCAGCAGAAGCAATGAAAGCAATGCTGGTAACATCTAAAATAAAAATCCAAGCCATGTCCTGTAATTCACAACCTCCTTCTAGAGAGAAATTACTATTTCTGAAACAAAACAAAACAAAACAAAAAACTCCTTCATGGACTCTTTGATTACGACTTGCTCTGATAAGCTAGTTACCTACTAACCTCCACCTCTTGGTTGACTGCTGATGGTTAGGAAGCTGGTGACGTTGAACCAGACTTTTTCTTTAAACATTTAGCCTAACAATTATTACCAAGTTCAGTAGTTATCAAACGGTGGCATGTAACAGAATCACCTGCAGAGCTTGTTAAAACACAGATTTCTGGTCCCTACGCCAGAGTTTTTTATTCAGTAGGGATAGGGTGGGGTCTGAGGGTGTATTTCTAGCGAGTTTCCAGATGATGCTCATGTTGCTGACCCAGGGACCATGCTCTGTGGACTGTTGCCCTAATAATTCACCTTTCCCATGAAATGTCCCTATCTAGAGTAAACCTTTGAATTGGCCTATTAGAGATCTTCTCCCAGTATACAAGATTGTAATTAAATGTTGGCACATAGCCATAAACAAATTATCTGACAAAACTTCTGTAACCCAAGTTTGTCTGGGCATGGCACGTGATAAGACATATGCCAGTCTTTGTGTCCTGCAGTTTCTGTCTCGTTGTCATTGTAATGGTTAATTTTCTATATCAACTTGACTGGGCCACAGGGTTTCCAGATATTTCTGGATGAGATTAGCATTTACAGTAGTGGACCGAATGAAGGAGAGTGCCCTCCCCAATGTGGGTGGGTCTTATCCAAGCCATTGAAGGCCTGACTAGAACAAAAGACAGGGTAAGAGAGAATTCACTGGCTCTGCCTGATGGTCATTGGGACGTTGGTCTTTTCCTGCCTTTAGACTTGGACTCAAACTGGAAATTAGACCATCGGCTCTCCTAATGCTCGGTCCTTCGGACTCATGCCGCAACACATCATCAGCTCTCCACGGTCTCCAACTTGTAAATCTTGAGACTTCTCAAACTTCATGACCACATGGCCCAATTCCTTATCCCTCTCTGGAGAAAGTAACACAGTCATTAAATGAATCTTAAAATTCTGACAGATAGGGAAGTCACCTTGATTTGAGCAAATCTCCAGAGTTAGCATTAGAAAACACTTTCTTGGCTAGGTGCAGTGACTCATGCCTGTAATCCCAGCACTTTGGGTATCCAAGGCAGGAAGATTGCTTGAGCCCAGGAGTTCAAGACCAGCCTGGACAACATGGCAAAACCCCATCTCTACAAAAAATGCAAATAAATAAATAAAAAGAAAGAGAAAAATAAGTCCAGGTGCCATGGCTCATGCCTGTAGCCTGTAACCTCAGCACTTTGGGAGGCCAAGGTGGGCGAATTACCTGAGGTCAGGAGTTCGAGACCAGCCTTACCAACATGGTCTCTGCTAAAAATACAAAAATTAGCCAGGCATGGTGGCTGGGACCTGTAATCCCAGCTACTCGGGAGGCTGAGGCAGGAGAATCACTTGAACCTGGGAGGCAGAGGTTGCAATGAGCCGAGATCACACTATTGCACTCCAGCCCAGGCAACGAGAGGGAAACTCCGCCCCTCCCCCACCCTGCAAAAAAAAAAAAAAAAAAGGAAGAAAGAAAAATAAGCCAGGTGTGGTGGTGCACACCTGTGGTTCTAGCTACTTGGGAGGCTGAGGTGTGAGGATAAATTGAACCCAGGGAGGTTGAGGCTGCAGTGAGTCATGATCATGCCATTACACTCCAGCCTGGGTGACAAGACGGAAACTCCATCTCAAAAAAACAGGAAAGCAAAGCAAAGCAAAGCCAGGTGTGGTGGTGCACACCTGTGGTCCTAGCTACTTGGGAGGCTGAGGTGGGAGGATCAATTGAGCCCAGGGAGGTCGAGGCTGCAGTGAGCCATGATCATGCCACTGCACACCAGCCTGGGCAATAGAGGGAGACCCTGTCTCAATGATAATAATAATTTCTTGATGAGAAAACTTGATATATGCATGATATTTATTGAATATTTGTATTTATGAACAGACTCAAGACATCCACCAGGTCAAAATGGTAATACAATGTGCCCTTTACTTACACTTCACATCTTAGCCCTTGTTGGTACCCCATACCCAACAGAGATCCTTTCCCCTAAAAAAGAGGAAATCCCCCTCCAGCAGGCCCCTGGAGAAGCCTTCCCCACACCACGCAGCCAGGCAACCATTGCTTCTCAATGCAGGTAGAAGACTCAGCTACATGGATACCTCCAGCACCATGATGTCCAATGCATGAGTCACATGGCCCAAGGCAGCGAGCTGCTTGTATGGCAGCTAGAACTCACTGCAAAGCCTCCTCCTGATCTTTGAGGCCCATCTCAAAACTGGCGGCCTTTCTTTCTTTTTTTTTTTTTTTTGAGACGGAGTCTCGCTCTGTCGCCCAGGCTGGAGTGCAGTGGCGCGATCTCGGCTCACTGCAAGCTCCGCCTCCCGGGTTCACGCCATTCTCCTGCCTCAGCCTCCCAAGTAGCTGGGACTACAGGCGCCCGCCACTACGCCCAGCTAATTTTTTGTATTTTTAGTAGAGACGGGGTTTCACCGTTTTAGCCGGGATAGTCTCGATCTCCTGACCTCGTGATCCGCCCGCCTCGGCCTCCCAAAGTGCTGGGATTACAGGCGTGAGCCACCGCGCCCGGCCGCGGCCTTTCAAGTCACCTGATAAATGGATCCAGTGGTATTCTCATGAGTGAATCTGCTGTCTATGAAATAGAAGAGGCCTAACCAAGTGCTGTGCCTGTCTCATAGAGGTAGGAGGTGCAAGCTTGAATAAGTTAATGGCTTTATCTTGAAAAGGATGCCTCAGCATGCCCAGACCACCAGCCCTCCAAAAACTCCACCAATGTGGCAGGCCCCTGAATCTTTTCTAGGTCTATCTTCCATCCTCTGGAATTCATGAGTCTTACCGAGGCACCCAACGTACTCACCACTTCTGCTCCCCAGCTCTGACAAACGTGATTCACCAACATAGGGAGCAGCCTGACGTTCCAGAGCAGAGGTCAGCAAATTTTCTGTAAGGGAACAGATTGTAAATACTCTATTTTATTGTCACAGCTACTCACCTCTGCCATCATAGAGTGAAAGCGGCCATAGACATTACTGTACATAAGCAAAGGAGTGTGTCTGTTCGAATAAAACTTTATTTACAAAAACAGGCAGCGGGCCAGATTTGGCCTACAGATCTGGGTTTGCTCATCCCTGTTCTATAGAATAGCCAAATGATTAAGGACCCTTTGGACTGTATTGTGATAGAGAATGAATAATTATTAAAGGCCGGGGGCCATATCATGAATGTATACTGACTCTTCCAAGGGAATAGTTTCTGAAAAGAACAAATTTGCCAGATAAATAGTATACCAATTGTCAGAGGCTTTGTAGGTCTGTTCTAGTAAAGGTGCAACATCTGGGCCTAGCAGCTGTTTGATTGGAGCTACCACTTAATTAAGATTATAATAGATCACTATCAACCACCATGACCTAACTGGATTTGCAGGGGTCAGACTGATGAATTAAAAAGAAATGTTAAGGGGATTGACACCCCTGCATCCTTTAGTCCTGGAGAATGGTGCTAATCTCTGCCACTGTGACATGGCCTTGCACAGGGGGCACACAATGTCCTATAACCTGGACACTATATGACCCTACTCTAAAAGCAGTCATGGTGGCATCAGGAGTCCCATGGCATTATCAGTTCAGATGTTATATCTAACAGCCCTCAAAAGAGCTATGGACTCCCTTCTTCCCAGCACAAAATTATTCTGGTAAATGACCACGTGTCTCTTTGGAGAAGGATTGAAGGAAATTGCTACTGTCTAAAGTTGCCATGGTGCTGCAGAGTCACTCCTTAAAAGGAACTACCTGTCTTCAATCCACAGACTCTGGGTCTTAGAATATTTCAGATTTAGAAACTGAGCAAAAAATGTAATTTTTCATCGTGCCAGCTGACGTCAGCCTTCAACTCACCCATTCTTGATCATATTTTGTATAAGGCAAAGCAGTGACCTCCTTGGCTGCCAGTCTCATCCATAGGAATGCCGTGGTCTATTGGCCATTACCACAGATCGCTGTGGAAAAGGTTCCCCTGGTCACCATTCCAGCTTTGCTTCCCATTACAGGAATTATGTCTACCTTTCCACTGAAGATTAATTGTTGCCATCTGTCCTCTGCTATTCTGAAATTCTATCCTCACCATTGACACTATGGAGCCCGGTTCAATAGAGCCACTTCCCCTACAACGAACTCCAGCCTACAAAGGTCACCACCACTGAGCTTCCCAACAAGGCCAGTGCCACCTCACTAGCACATTTCTTATTGCTATTATGATGGGAAGACCTCTGGACACTCCGGAGAACAACAGAAGCTGGTCCATATAATGAATTCATGCAATCATACCCACCTCCACGTGCCTTTTGACTCATTCTTCAATACTCTGCCGAGGAAGTTCTGGCATCCCCACTTCATTTACTAAAGACCATCATTTTTCCAAGCATCAGCTCCAGATGTCCTTGCCAGGACGCTAAATTCTGAGTCATGGGACAGTGTCTCCAAATCATTGCTCCTCCTTTCCCAATCTTTTCCCCACAAGTCCGAATGCTCCCTCAAGATCCATTCCCAGACATGTTCTCCTTGGACATATTAGCCAAGTCCTGAAGCTGCTGTGAACAATTCCTTGGGGAACTACAGCAGGAACCATGTTGAGATTTGATTCTATTTATATTCATTGTCATAGAATCCTTGAGAGGTGGTGGCAGTAAATCCTAGGAGGACAGGTACTATCTTGTGAAGACTCAACCTCAAGAGTGACATCAAGAAGACAGCAGAGTAGGAAGTGACAGGAATCTGTCTCTCTACCTTTACCGGAGCACATGAATTCAGTCACTGGTACCTAGAATGCAATGAGAGATATGGCAAATGTGTTAAAAATTTATTTTCTCAAGGATCATGAGAAATAGTTTGCTTTTCCCTAGCAGGACCGAGTCTACTTTCACAGTTTTGCCCCAGGGCTATGTCAACACTACTGGCCTCTGCCATATATAGAATGCAGAAATCTCAATTGTTTTGACATTCTTAGACTATCACACCGGACCACTTCATTGAATACATGAAGCTGATTGGATCTGATGAACAGGAAGTGACAAGTACCTGAGATGTCTGAGGAAGACAAATGCAAGGCAGAGGGTAGAGGAAAAACCCCACAAAAATTCAGGGCCCTGCCAATTTGATGAAATTATTGGTGAGTGATGGTCTGGAGAACGTTAAGATATCCAAGGTGAAAGAGAAGTTGCTGCACCTTGTACCACCTATTACTAAAAACCAAGTGCAGTGATGCATCATGACCCTTTTTGGATTTTGGAGGCAACATATGTCACATTTGAGTATACTTCTTAGAGCTACTTAAGTTACTATAAAGTAACCCAACAGTCTGCTGGTTCTGAGTGGCTACGAGAGCAAGAGAAGCCTAGGCAACAAGTCTAGAATGCAGTGCAAGCTGCATTGCTACTCAGCGATCTAGTGATATTTGGTGTCTGTGGCAAGTAAGAATGCTGTATGTAGCCTCTGACAAGTCCCAGTAGATAACAGTCCAGAACTCTAAGATTTTGCAGCAAAACAACGCCCCCTTCTGCAGATTACCATTTTTTCTTTGAAAAACAGCTTCTGGCTTGCTATTAGACCATGAGTCATCAAGAACTCCGGCAACCTGAGGTACTCATTATGAACTGGGAGTTATCTGACTTTCCAAGCTAAACAGTTGGATGCATACAATAGCAATCCATCCCAAGTGGAAATGGTATAGTGGATGGTGCTTGAGCAAGTCCAGAATGCACTAGAATGTTGTATGTGCAGGTGATTCCGATCCCTTTCACACTTACTTCTGCTGCATTGCCTGCTCTCGTTTAGCTGGCATCACTGGCGTCCTGAAGATTTCCTTATGACCGGCACACAGAGGAAGAAAAATATTGGACCTGTCGAGCAGAAATATTCCAAATAACTTTAAGGGTATATTTGCTTACTTTCCTGGCATTGGAGATGGCCAAAAAAGTACTTATCTACATCAATTCATGGACAGTGAATAATGGTTTGGCTGGCTGCCCAGGAAATTGTAAAGAACAAGATTGGAAGATTAATGACAAGGAAGACTAAAGAAGTATTTTAAATACACCTTTCAGACTGGGCATAGAGTGTGAAGATTTTATATTTCGGTGTGAATGTTCACCAAAGGGAATCTAATACAGAGGAGGTTTTCAATAATCAGGTGGACACGTTGACACAGCCTATGGGTCATAGAGCCAAAGGATCAGTCAGCCTCTTTCTCCAGCCACCCCAGGTCCTGGTAAATGGAACCAAATACAAAGTAGTCATGTGGTAGGGATGGAGGCTATGCATAGACTCAGCAACATGGACTTCCTCTGGGCAAGACCAATCTGGCTACTGCCACTGCTGACTACCCAACCTATCAACACCAGAATCTAATGCTGAGCTCTTGATATGGCACTCTTTTCTGAGGGTTGGAAGCAGCCAGCCACCTGGTAGAAGGTTGATTACATTGTACCTCTTTTATCATGAAGGAGTGATTTGTCCTCACCAAAATGTATATATTCTGTATGCAGCTATGCATTCCTTGTCTGTAATACTTCTGCTACCTGAGGATAGAATGTTATTCACTACCATGTTATTTCTTGTGAGTTTAATTGTGTCCTCCCCCCAACTTCACGTGTTGAAGTCCTAACTCCCAGAACATAACCTTATTTGGAAATAGGGTTATTGCAGATGTAATTAGTTGAGATGAGGTCATTAGGGTGCGATATAATCCAGTAAGACTAGAAAATAAAAGGGGAAATTTGAACACAGAGACATGCACACAGGGAGTATGCCATGTATAGATGAAGGCAGAGATCAAGGTAATGCTACTACAGGCCAATTAATGCCACAGACTGCCAGCAAAGTACCAGAAGCTAGGCAAGAAATACGGTCTTGATTAACGTGGCTTTATAATAAATCTTGAAGTTGAGTATTGTCAGTCCTCAACTTTGTTCTTCTCCTTCAATATTGTGTTGGCTATTATGGGTTTTGCTTTTCATAAACTTCAGAAGAAGTTTGTCACTATCCACAAAATAACATTTTGATTGAGATTGCATGGAATCTAGATCAAGATGGGAAGCACTGATATCTTGACAATATTGATTCTTCCCATCCATGAACATAGAATATCTCTATATTTATTTAGTTCATCTCTGATTTCCTTCATCAGAACTTCGTAGCTTTCTTCATGTAGATTTTGTATATATTTTGTTAGATTTATATCTAAGTACTTAATTTTGGGGAGCTGCTAATGTAAATGATATTTTTAAATGTCAAATTTCATTTGTTCATTGCTGACAGATAGGAAAGCAATTGAATTTTGTAAATTAACCATGCACCCTGCAACCTTGCTATAACTGTTTATTAGTTCTAGGAGATTATGGTTGCTTATTTTAGACTTTCTACATAGAAAATCATATCATCTGTGAACAAAGAGTTCTGTTTCTTCCTTCCCAATCTGTATACTTTTTCTGTTTCTGTCTCATTGCATTAGTTATAATTTCCCATACAATGTTGAAAGGAGTCGTGAGAGTGCACATGCTTGTCTTGTTCCTGATATCAGCAGGCAAGCTTCTCAACATTAAGTATGTTAGCTGCAGAATTTTTTTAAGATGTTCTTTGTCAAATTGAGGAAGTTCCACTCTATTCCTAGTTTACTAAGAGTTTTAGCATAAAGTTTTGGATTTTGTGAAAAGCTTTTTCTGCATTTACTGATATGACCATGTGGTTTTTCTTCTTTAGTCTGTTGATGTTATGGATTACATTAACTGACTGGCTGAACTGAAGGCTGATTTAACATTTAACATTTAAATCAGCCTTGCATACATGGGACATCATTCTTTTTTCCATTCCGTCATTGTCTGCCTTCTGATTGAAAAGTGATTACATTTAATGTAATCACTGATAAGGACTTCTGCTGTTTTGTTACTTCTTTTCTGTATGTTTTGTTACTTTCTTGCCCCCCATTTTCCCCATAATGACTGTCTTTTGTGCTTAGTTTATTTATTTTTGGTAGTGATATCTTTTGATTCCCTTCTCATTTCTTCTTGTGTTTTCCATAGATATTTTCCTTGTGGTTACCATAAGCATTACACATAACAACCTAAAGTTTAAACAGTCTAATCTAAACTTATTCCAAGTTAACTTTAATAGTATAGAAAAACGTATGCCTATACAGCTCTGTCCCACGCCCTTTGTTATTGATGTCCCAAATCTTTATACATTGAGTGCTCAATAACATTTATTTTTATGCCTGTCTTTTGATTCCTTAGAAAATAAAAAGTGGAGTTACAAGCCAAAATTACATTAATACTGTTTTTTTATGTTTGCCATTGTATTTACTTTACCAGTGTCTTAGTCCATTTTTCTGCTACTATAACAGAATACTACAAACTGGATAATTTATATACAAGTTTATCTGGCTCAAGGCTCTGGAAGCTGGGAAGTCCAAGAGCATGGTGCCAGCATCTGGTGAGGGCCTTTGTGCTGCCTCATCCCATGGCAAAAGGTGGAAGGACAAGACAGTGTGTGAGACAGAAAAGGACCGGGGCTGAATTTCAGAATCTTTTTTATCAGGAACCCACTTCCATGATAACTAACTCACTCCCATGATAATGGCATTAATCCATATATGAGGGCAGAGCCCTTATGACCTAATCATCTCTTAAAGGTTCCACCTCTTAATACCATCACAATGGCAATTAAATTTCAACATGCATTTTAGAGGGGACATTCAAACCATAGCAACCAGAAATATTTATTTCTTCACTCAGGTTTGAGTTACTGTCTACCATCCTTTCATTTCACCTTCAAGGACTCCCTTTAGCATTTCTTGTATGGCAAATCTACTGGTAACAAGCTCCCTAACATAGATTTATAATTGCTTTTTTATGTTTTTGTCTTTTAATTCCTATGGAAAATAAAAACTGATGTTATAAACTAAAGTTATAATAATACTGGTTTTTATATTTGCCCTAGAATTTATCTGTCGTGGAGATACTTCTTTCTTCATATGGGTTCAAGTTACTGTCTAGTGTTCTTTCATCTCACTGAAGGACCCCCTTTAGCATTTCTTGTCAGGCATATCTCGCAGTAACAAGATCCCTAAGCTTTTTAAAAATCTAGGCATGTCTTAATTTCTCCCTTATTTTTTGAAGGACAGTTTTGCTGGATATATAATTCTCAGTTGACAGGTTATTTTCTTTCAACATTTAAACTATATCATCCCATTGTCTTCTGGCCTCCATTAATTCTAATTAAAAATTAGTTGATAATCTCATTTAGGATCCCTTGTAATGTGATGAGTTGATTCTCTTGCTACTTTCAAGATTCTTTGTGATTTTTGATAGTTTTCATATACTGTGTCTTGGTATGAATCTCTTTGAGTTTATGGTATTAGAGGTTGTTGTAGAGGCTTCTTGGATTTGTACACTTATGTCTTTCATCAAATCTGGGATGTTTTCAGCCCTCATTTTTAAAACACTTTTTTGCTTTTTTCTAGGACTCTCATAAACCATATGTTGGTCCACTTGATGGTATCCTACAAGTCTTGAAGTCTATTCACTATTTTTATTCTTTTTCTTTATGCTCCTCAGAGTGGATAATTTCAATAATCCTATCTTCAAATTTGCTGATCCTTTCTTCTGCCTGATCAAAAACTCTACGGAAGGCTGGGCGTGGTGGCTAATGCCTGCAATCCCAGCATTTTGGGAGGCCAAGGCGGGTGGATCACAAGGTCAGGAGTTTGAGACCAGCCTGGCCAACATAGTGAAACCTCATCTCTACTAAAAATACAAAAATTAGCTGCGTGTGGTGGCATGCACCTGTAATCTCAGCTACTTGGGAGGCTGATGTAGGAGAATTGCTTGAACCCAGAAGGCGGATGTTACAGTGAGCTGAGATCATGCCACTGCACTCCAGCCTGTGTGACAGAGCAAGATTCTGTCTCAGAAAAAAAAAAGCAAAAAACAAAAAACAAACAAACTCTATCGAACCCTTCTAGTGAATTTCTCATCTCAGTTGTCGCACGTTTCAGCTACAAAATTTCTACCTGGTTCCTTTCTATAATTTTTATATTTTTATTGATATTCTCATTTTGTTCAAACATCATTTCTCTGATTTCATTTAGTTGTCTTTTAACTCTTGTGCATATTTAAGACAATTGTTTAGTCTTTGTCTAGTAAGTCCAAAGTCTGGGATTCCTTAAGGATAGTTCAATTAATTTTATTCCTGTAAATAAGCCAGATTTCTCATTTGTTTGCATGCTTTGTGATATTTTTATTATAACTGAACATCTCAATATTATAATGTGCTATGGAAGTTAGACTTTCACTCTTTCCTAGGATTTATTATAATTATTTTTTTTCTTTTATTTTTTTTTTGTCTTCAGTCTTTGTCTTTATTTATCCCTGTCCCTCCCAACCCCCGGGCTCCCAAGTTCTATCTCACTCCTCCACCTTCCCTGTCCTCTCACAGCTGAGGTTCCGGGCTGTAATGATGGCAATGCTGCCCAGCACAACCCCTGCCCCCATGATGTCAGAAAGTGCCACAGTCTCATGGAGCATATAATACTGCAGTATAAGGGCCACAACCACCTCGGAATGCAGGACAGCGCACACCAGGGCAGGGTGGGCCTTGGTGACCGCATAGCCCACACATGTGAAGGAGACCAAGGCGAGGATCCCCTCTGCCCCCACACAACTCCAACTCAGGAGGTCACTGGGCAACACGGGGGTCTGCAGCACAAAGAGGCCTGGCACACAGCCCAGCAGCCCCACCAAGCCAGATAGGAAGGCCACTGTTGGGAGGCAGGAGGGAAAGTGCAGAGAACGATAGACCAGAAGCCCCAGGGACAGCGCCAGGCCTCCCAGGAAAGCCTGCACATAGCCCAGGGTGGTGTAGACACCTGTGGTCCCCTCCTGTAGTGTCCAGAGTCCAGGTCCCAGAATGATGATTAGTCCTAGGATGCTGCCCAACAGTCCACACCACTCGTAGCCACCGAGACCCTGGCTCTCAAGGCAGAGGGTGAGGACAGCGGAGCATACGGTGGAAGAACCTTTGCGAACAGTGGCAGCGTTGCCAGCGGGCACCACCTGAACTGCACTGTAGGCACATCCAATGCTGAGGACGTTGAGCAGGGCACAGAAGCAGGCCCAGCCTCGGATGTCAGGAGGTCCCAGAAGGGGGTCGCCACGCAGTTTAAGTAGCAGGGCAATAGGGAGGTGGAAGAGGCATCGACAGATGAGCAGCTCCAGCGAGGGCAGGTTGGAACCCTGGTAAGCCATACGAGAAAGGGGGCCCACGAAGCCAGCAGGCAGGCCCCCACCCAGCAGGGCCACCAGCAGGCCATTGGTGGCACCAGAGGGCTGGCAGCGCTGGTGCCAGCGGAGGCTGGGTGGAGCGGAGGGCGGCGATGGGTGTGTGGAGTCAGGCAGGTTGAAGTAGGGGTGACTGCCAGCCATCTTTCCTTGGACTTTCTCCTCTCCTCCTGGCTCAGGGAGCCTGGGCCCCTCAGAGCTCCAGCCATTGTGACCTCATTGGAGTGCGGGTGGGGTTCTTCCCTGGAACTCTCCTGAGGTGGTAGCACGCCTATTTTCCCGCTGAGTCCAACTCTGCTTCTTTTCTTTCTTTCTTTCTTTCTTTTTTTTTTTTTTAATTGATCATTCTTGGGTGTTTCTCGCAGAGGGGGATTTGGCAGGGTCATAGGACAATAGTGGAGGGAAGGTCAGCAGATAAACAAGTGAACAAAGGTCTCTGGTTTTCCTAGGCAGAGGACCCTGCGGCCTTCCGCAGTGTTTGTGTCCCTGGGTACTTGAGATTAGGGAGTGGTGATGACTCTTAACGAGCATGCTGTCTTCAAGTATCTGTTTAACAAAGCACATCTTGCACCGCCCTTAATCCATTTAACCCTGAGTGGACACAGCACATGCCCCAGAGAGCACAGGGCTGGGGTCAAGGTCACAGATCAACAGTATCCCAAGGCAGAAGAACCCCTCCCAGTACAGAACAAAATGAAGTCTCCCATGTCTACTTCTTTCTACACAGACACAGCAACAATCTGATTTCTCTATCTTTTCCCCACCTTTCCCCCTTTTCTATTCCACAAAACCGCCATCGTCATCATGGCCCGTTCTCAATGAGCTGTTGGGTACACCTCCCAGACGGGGTGGTGGCCGGGCAGAGGGGCTCCTCACTTCCCAGAAGGGGCAGCCGGGCAGAGGCGCCCCCCACCTCCCTCCCAGACGGGGCAGCTGGCCGGGTGGGGGCTGACCCCCCACCTCCCTCCCGGACAGGGCGGCTGGCCGGTGGGGGGCTGACCCTCCACCTCCCTCCCGGACGGGGCGGCTGGCCAGGCCGCGGCTGACCCCCCACCTCCCTCCCGGACGGGGCGGCTGGCCGGGCGGGGGCTGATCCCCGACCTCCCTCCCGGACGGGGCTGCTGGCCGGGCGGGGGCTGACCTCCCACCTCCCTCCCGGATGGGGCGGCTGCCAGGCGGAGACGCTCCTCACTTCCCAGACGGGGCGGCTGCCGGGCGGGGTGCTCCTCACTTCCCAGACGGGGCAGCTGCCAGGCGGAGGGGCTCCTCACTTCTCAGACAGGGCGGCCGGGCAGAGACGCTTCTCACCTCCCAGACGGGGTCGCAGCCGGGCAGAGGCGCTCCCCACATCTCAGATGATGGGCAGCTGGGCAGAGACGCTCCTCACTTCCTAGACGGGATGGCGGCCAGGAAGAGGCGCTCCTCACTTCCCAGACTGGGCAGCCGGGCAGAGGGGCTCCTCACATCCCAGACGATGGGTGGCCAGGCGGAGACGCTCCTCCCTTCCCAGACGGGGTGGCGGCCGGGCAGAGGCTGCAATCTCAGCACTTTGGGAGGCCAAGGCAGGCGGCTGGGAGGTGGAGGTTGTAGCGAGCCGAGATCACGCCACTGCACTCCAGCCTGGGCAACATTGAGCACTGAGTGAACCAGACTCCGTCTACAATCCCGGCACCTCAGGAGGCCGAGGCTGGCGGATCACTCGCGGTTAGGAGCTGGATACCAGCCCGGCCAACACAGCGAAACCCTGTCTCCACCAAAAAAATACGAAAACCAGTCAGGCGTGGCGGCGCGAGCCTGCAATGGCAGGCACTCGGCAGGCTGAGGCAGGAGAATCAGGCAGGGAGGTTGCAGTGAGCCGAGATGGCAGCAGTACAGTCCAGCTTTGGCTCGGCATCAGAGGGAGACCATGGAAAGAGAGGGAGAGGGAACTCCTGGGCTCAAGTGATCTTCCCACTCCAGCTTCTGAGTAGCAAGGACTGCAGATGAGCACCATCATGCCTGGCTAATTTTTTTATTTTTTGTAAAGACAGGATCTTGTTATGTTTCCCATGCTGGTCTCGAACTCCTGGCCCTATGTGATCCTCCTGCCTCAGCCTTCCAGTGATTAACACAGACATATACACCAATGGAACACAATAGAGTGCACAGAAATGAATATGCATATGGTCAAATAATCTTCAACAAAGATACCAAGACCACACAATGGGAAAAGGACAGTCTCTTCAACAAAGTGTTGGGAAAAACTGAATATCCATATGCAAATAATGAAATTGGGCCCTTACCTTACACGGTATACAAAAATTAATACAGAATGGATTAAGATCTAAATGTAAGATTTTAAACTATAAAACTCCTAAGACTGCTTTTTCCCTCCAACAGTGGTGCTGTTTCTGGATGGATCATATCAGAAGGCACATGATGTTGATATGTCCCATTACTAATGATGTTAACTTTTCCTGAAATAAGGTGATATCTACCAGTTCCTTTCACTATAAAGTTAGTATTTTCTCCTTTGTAACTAGTAACTATTTTGTGGAAGGCTATTTGGAGATTATATTCTGTTCTTCACAAATTTTCACCTGCTAGTTTTGCCATTCACTGTTAGGCATTGCCTAAGTCAATGATTACTGTAATAATATGCCAAATAGTGGCTTTTTAATTCCATTTTCTTTCTACATTTAATAGCTGGCATTCTACTCTAAGAAAGAGCTTTCCTTTTACCCTCAATGAGTCATGTGTTTATATTAATACATACTAAATCAATAATATGTAGAATACATATTCCTAATTCTTGGGAGATTCCTGTGAAGTATTTAGAAGACAGGGTCACAATGTCTGCAGCTAACTCGGATGTTTCAGCAAAATAACAGTGTAACAAACACACACACACACACACACACACACACGTGGTATTAAAGCAAATATGGAAAATTTTACCAATCATTCAATATAGGAACAATCTAGGGAGATCAGTGTACTATTTTGCAGCCTTTTTGCAGATCTCAATTTTTTCAAAATGTAAGGTAAAAAATATATAGATTTAATTGAAACACCATCCAAACCTTCACCAATATTTGAAAAAAAAATTCAAATAAGCCCACAGATTTAATTTATTAGCACTTAAATATATTCAGATTTTATTACCATCGTCTATAGAAATTTAACACTAGCCATCTGTGCAACTGTCCTCTGAGGCAGAGGAACACCATACGCAAATATTACACACTAAGAACAGTACCACATTCGACAAGACTCTTTCTTGATTCAGTAAACCAAGCTTGACAAACCGGCCAACCCAAGGTGAATGATTACAGTTATAGGGTACAGGGGAAATTATCACCTAGTGAATATTACAAACAATATTAAAATGTTACACAGACTTACAAAAGTTCTGCTTTTTTTTTTCCCTAAGACTGTATGTATATGTGTGTGTGCGTACACAGGTTCACAATATGGAAACCTGTACCTTACAGCACTCTTGAGGTTTCAGCAAAGCATACATTATAGACATATTTGCCATACAGTGCAATTTTATTGTATAAGCCATGAATAATAGTGCACTTAAATCCAAGAGTCACATTCAAATATTATCAAGAGAACAATCCAAATACCCGGCTATTGAAGAAATACACATTCTTTGTTTTTATAAACTAAGTTCTGCAACTACAACATTTTTTTGTGTAGATGGTATTAGATCAGTAAGGTTTTAAACAATGAGATTTAGGGTGCATTTTGTAGAATAATTCACCTCTCCAAAGATAACGTGCATTTTAAAAGTGAAGCAAATGTCTTGGCCAGACAAACACAGGCAGTGTTGTACAACTCAGTTTTATTACAAATCACAAATATAGTTAATCCTTAGACCTGCAGACGGTTAAAGAGAATGGCTCTAGAAGTCAGTAAACTCTCATCAGAATTACTTTGCAGGACAATGTAGTGTTTACAGTGAGCCTCATTATCTTCCACTAAATTGGGCACAAATTACTGTTCCACAGTGTAGTTCAAGAGCTGGAACATTAAGTTTCTTAAAAAGGATTTAGATAACAGGTTCAGGCATTTTAATATCCAGTCCTAGAATTTCAGAGGGTCTCTTCTGGGACTATTGGTTTAAAGGAAGATGCTGTGGACAGTGGATTATAAAGACCAAATGAAGGTAGAAGTAATTTTATTCAAGAAAATAAAGAAAACTGATACCATAAGAAAGTTATAGTATCAGTATATATTTTATCATCTGAGAATAAATGTAAATGGATAAATGAGTCTTTTTTTTTTTTTTTTTTTGAGATGGAGTCTTGCCCTTTCGCCCAGGCTGGAGTGCAGTGGTGCGATCTCGGCTCACTGCAAGCTCTGCCTCCCGGGTTCACACCATTCTCCTGCCTCAGCCTCCTGAGTAGCTGGGACTACAGGCGCCCGCCACCACACCTGGCTAATTTTTTGTATTTTTAGTAGACATGGGTTTTCACCGTGTTAGCCAGGATGGTCTCGATCTCCTGACCTCATGATCCGCCCGCCTTGGCCTCCCAAAGTGCTGGGATTACAGGCGTAAGCCACCATGCCCAGCCTATAATGTTTTTAAAGATGATGGGTAACATAAAAATACTATGTGGTAATAACTTAGAATACTAGGTCTGGAGGAGGAGAACAGGCCTAGCCCATGTGAAAGAATAAGCAGTAGCTAATCTATGTGGTCTTGAGGTATAGTATAAACCTGGAAAGTTCTCTGAACCTCTTCAGTTCTGAGGGTTGCCCAATTAAAACAACAACAACAACAACAACAACAAAACTTTATCAGATGTACTGAATGACTTCATTCTCTGATAAATTTCAAAGCTTCCAGAACAGAGGATCAACTATTGTAACTATTGCCCATTTCTGGTCCAGGAAATACCTTTCTGATAAAGAGTGCTCATAAAACGCTTGTGTTGTTTTCATTCATTCTATCTAGAAGTGGGCAAATACCAAAACCTTTATCCCAGATTAAGGTCGGATAATAAGTGAACCTGATGACCTACTTTAGAATGACAATTCAAACAGCTATCCCTGAAACCAGACAACTACACGAGTTATGCCTTGAAGCAGATCTTTCAAAGTGCAACGAAACATTACTCCTGTTTTTCACTTGAGGAGACTAAATTATGGTCATATCTTTTCCATGATACTGATTTTTTATTTAACATAAACCAAATACTGACTGAATCAAAGACTAAAACCCCACAAAATTTCATCCTTTAAAACAAAAAGCAATAAAATCCCACCCCTAAATCAGGCCTCAAAGTTCAAAGAAATGTTTAAAAATCCCCCATATGGGATCTGACATGAATGTCTATTATTGTCCCCCCCAAGTCTTCTCAAAAATCACTTTAAAATCTTGCTTTGAGACCCTAAGTTTTCTTGGAAATAAAATACATTTATAGATTGTTTTAAACCTACTGAATTTTACTATTTCTGCTTGCTTTCTTCCCATTTAATAAAATCAAAATAAAAAATTTTGACCAAATAAATATTTATTGAAAGGTCCTGCCACCAAAAAAGCTTCAGGTTTTTAAAAACATATAATCAAACAACAATGTTCTTCTGATTAAAAAAAAAAAAAGTACTTATTTAAATCTGAGGATCCTTATATGTTCAATAGAGGATTGTGGTGATCCTTTGTATTTTAAAAATATTATTTGTGGGGCCTACTTTACGTATCTCCTGTATAAAAACCAGCTTTCACTCCACATGAATAGAGAAGATGCTGAATACGCAGGAATCTGATTATCCCTCACGTGATTATTACCGGCCCCTCTGGGGCAATCTGCTTGCTCACTCATTCTGCCACCATTCTCTTCATTCAAGTGTTTAACAGCACATTTATCAAAGGCAGCTCTCCGATGCAATGTTTAACGAGTGTCTTCTCAGGAGTGTATCCGTGTCATTTATTCTTCTCATCCAGGTAAGCACGAACTTCACAGTACTACTAAAAATCTTCTTCAAATTATATTGATAATGGACTTATTTCTGACCGTTTTTGGATTTGGGAAAACTCTAATATTTGGATTACCAAATAACACTTCTGTAGATGCACTGATACCGAAGTTTATTTTTACAACCTGTAAACAGATCTGAAGTTTGAACAATCCCTAATTATAAATTAATACTAAAATGCAAACTTGCCAAAACAGTATAGATTGTTGTCTCAGTGAGACAGAGAAAACGAAATGCGAATACCGTGTTATGACTGTACTCTGGCTCGCACAGCAAATGTGCATCAGGAAGATGGGTCTACCTTGATGGTACATCATCCCTCCATGACCAGACCTAATACAAACTCCCTCACAAGTTTCCACCCATGGAAGCCCTATGGCCGATCAACAGAAGCAGTGGGAGTCACTTCTGGCTTTTTCTTTACTTAGACACAGGGTCTCGCTCTGTTGCTCAGGCTGGAGTGGACTGATGCGATCATAGCTCACTGCAGCCTCAACCTCCTAGGCTCAAGGGATCCTTCTGCCTCAGCTTTCCTAGTGGCTGGGACTATAGGCACACACCACCACACCAGGCTAATGGGAGTCACTTCTAAAGAAAACTCTCTAGATGGTTTTCCTTATATGCCTGTTAGCTGAGAAGAAAAGCCTCCTTCATATACAATCTTGAGACAAAAAGAGAAGAAAACAAAAAGCTCAGCTGTATTAACAGACATAGCAAGCAATTCTGAGGGAGCACAAAAAAGTGAGGCTGTTTCCTTTTTTTTTTTTTTTTTTTAACAAAACTAAGATGGACATTTCACACAACGCAGAGCTACGAGAACATCTCTTATGCTCCTTGCCATGGGATTTTAATGCCCCAAGGTTCATAACTACAGCAAAGAAAGTAAGTCAAAAATAAACTGAGCTTAAAGAAGGTGGCAGGCCAATTTTCCCAAAAAGACTGTGGACTGTGGGCTGCTGTGTAGCCTTTGCTACAAGGCTGAGGAAGCAGAAGAAAGATGAATTGGGCAATTGGTGATGAAAAGTATTTGCCATTTTCAAAGGCTTCTCAGTGTGGCCATAGATTTTGCTAGTCAATTTTTAAAAAATTATATTTTTAGCTCAACACACAGCTCTAAAGCAGGGTTCAGTGTAGTGTGTTCTCTACCGAAATGGTTATATACAGATGGTATGGAAATGGTTTTAAAGATTACTCATAAACTATCCTTTTAAAGAAAAACTAGACTCGGTCATATTTGTTAAAATGAGCAATGTCACCAAACAGAAATGTAGGTGGGAAATACTGAACCACAAACATTTGGAGTTGCAGGCATAGACTAGCAGAGCATGAATAGTCATCACTGTTTCTATAATACTGAAACACTCAAATCTGTTTCTGAGGTTTAAAACACAGAGCTATATTATATTCATAAACTTCCCCCTCCACTTAAGTTATATTTGCCTAACACATAATGGACAAATCAATAGAGCCAAAGCAAATTTGCAAAAGGCTCAGGTCAACATGAAAATTTTAACCTTAGTATTAGGAAACTCTTAGAATACTTACAAATTAAAAAAACACACAATAAAACACACATACACATATAAACCAGTGCAATAAGAACTTTAGACAAGGGCAGTGCATCTCTGGTTTAAGAAAACCTATTTGTAGCTTGATTATAATAAATTAACTCTATTCTAGATGATGGTTTAATTTTACAAGCAGCATTTGAAACACATTGTATATGTATGCTCAAAACCTGAAAACCAATTCACCAGTAACAATTCTCAATCAGTAACAAATTCCTACTTTAATTGTATATTGCACATACTTTTAGTGTCTACGTTAAAATAAATTTAACTCTTCTTAATGTAAATATCGGAGGACCATACCTGTTGCCCTTGTAGAAATAATTTACCTTGAATAACAGATTTTCCTTTCTTGACAAACAAGAATGAGAATAGATTTCAGCTTCGTTAGTCCAAAACTATTTTAAAGAAAATGGCTATTTTATGTGGCGAAGACACTGGAAATGGATTGTTAAACACAAAATCCTTGGTTTATCCATTGTTGCCATTTTGAAAAACATTTCTATGGTCAGAGTGTTTAAAAGTCTGACCCTTTTTTTAAACCACCAAATAGTCCCTAGAGAGATTAGCTGTCTCCTTGACTGCTCTAGAATGCTGTTTGGAGAGTGGACACAGAGAAAAAGCTTTGGATAAAATGGCATGAAACACAAATGGCATTAAATAGGTCATCTATTTCACGTAAAAATAAAATGACTAGCACCTCCTTCCGGCTCCCAAAGTGACAGGCCCTAACAGGCCACATGAAACATGGTTTATGATAGTAAGTTTCATTATTCATACAGTATTGAGAAATCCATTACATTAGGGGGGTCCCACATCTAAAGCCTTCACTTCAAGGCTACCGTGTAAAAGTGAACTGAAGGGCACAAGGAGAGAACGGCGGACACAGGCCCAAGAAGGTCCTTGCGAAGGGTGCGAGGAGACCTTTCAGGGACTCTCCTGCATCCCGTCCTCTGTTTCCAGTTCTGCCAACTGCCTTCGAAGGATATTGACTTTTGCTTGTAATTCTTTATTATATTCAATGATGTTAACCATTTCTTCATATGCTTCATCCAAATACTTAGAGGATCTATTCCAACGTAGGAAAATACCTATTGAATCCAGGAATGGAAAACAGAAGCAAGAAAGGTATATACAATGGATTAAAATTACATTTGTGGATAAGATGTAATTTATGTATTATACATTCTTTTTTCTTTTGTTGCCACAACTCACATCTGTATTTTATTATACTCTAAAATATACAGGAATCTTGAGGTACTGAAAAGGATGCAATTGAATACAATATTTGAGAAGTCACTACTTGTATGTACATGCTCATTGATTCTTCAGAAATATCCCACAAAATTATCAAATAGATCCAAATACCATTTTATGATATATTCAGGAAAACAAGATGATAATTTGCAATGTCATAAACTTTCCAATTTCACAATATAAATCACTTATTTTTATAATTATAGAATATTGCTCAGACATGTAAGATCCCTTAAATGTGTGAAGCCATTTTCACCTGAAAAGTGACAACTACAGTAAAAGCAGAACCACATATGTTGTTATTTGAAAGCCTGAACTGTAGCCCACGTGCTTACATGCCTCTCTCCCTGTTACTTGAGAGGCAATCTTTCAATTCTGCAGGCAATTTCTTCTTTCCCCAAATAATAATAATTATCCTTTTATTATGAACCAAAAGGAAATATTTTCTCCTCTCCATAGCCCTATGTTAACTGTATCACACCACAATAATGCCTTACAGTTACTCAAGTCAGGAGGCACGAAAATCTTCCAGGCTGCACCATGTCAGTGGATGGCAAGTTCACAAAGGTTTTATGATTCATTAAAACACTCTCTACAAACCAAACTGCCATGGGTCCTAATGAGCCCTTCTATGCAGCTCCCAACATCAGGCTGTATCAGAAAGGGAAAGCAGAACCACAGCGTAAAGCCTGACCCACCCATGTTGATTTTTCTAATTCAGGAATTTCTAAATATTAATGGTTAGCTGTGATGTAAATGTAAACAGCAGAGAGATATTTTAAGGCCGAAGAGCAGTCTTATTCAATATAGATGCCTACCATAGGATTTTACCTAATAGAGAGCTTCTTCTTCTCCCAGCTCTAGGTTGAGGAGCATGAAACACACACTGAAACTCCGGCATGGCAGGACTTAATCCACAGAACAAGGATTTCATCCCATCACTTATCTCTAAGCTCCACAAGGAGGTTTGGTACAAAGCAATTAAATCATCCTTCAGGCCACCCAGCTCCCAATGTGGGTTTTCTCCCAAACAGCTACGCTCATTTCAGTTATTAAATGTGACAGTGGCTTTAAGTACATTGTCCCAGAAGTCCTAAACAGGAAGAATACTGTAACCTCTCGTTTAAGAGATCATGAACCCTGTACTGACTGTGACGACAATCACGAAAGTAAGCAAAGAGAAGTTCTGAGCAGTCACCATCCCTTCACAAATCAAAGCACTAAAGCTCACACCCAGAACCTCAAGACCATCTAAGACCATTTCCCCACAATGCTAACTAGGGGACACTTCAATAGATAAGATTAGAAGCATGAACTGAGGTGGAAGGAAGCCACTAATGGCAGATAAGCCAAGAGGAACTAGATGTGACAGCTGACATCCAGAGAAGAGACAGAAACTGATTTGGTCTCAGACTCAGAAGCCAAAGCAATCTGAGACCCGTTTCCACAAAGGGCAAATAGTTTTCCACACGTGAACTGCCTTTGAGAGTATAACATACTAGAATACGGCGTAACAACTGGCATTAACGGTAATTCGGTTTAATTTAACAAACAGCT